>NC_000009.12:131672548-131986366 GCF_000001405.40 Homo sapiens
CACTGTTTCAGAAGACAAAGGTCTGAGGGAACCGGTTGAGCTATTAAGATTTTCCACATCTTGGGCCAAAGACGGGGAGGGGCTGATGACTAGCCCAGCACAGCCCAGGGCACATGGGAAGTGACAGGCAGATGGGACCCTTTGACTTCGACAGCAGGGGAAGTTCTAATCTCATCTCAGATCAGAACATTCCTTAGGATAAGCCCCTCCTGGTTGGGAAACAAATCTGTAAATGCTGAACCTGGAAAAGGTCCGTGTAGGGTAAGAGGGGGTGACCACCAGTTCCAGCCACCAAATTCCAACTAAGCAGTCACCCCTACCAAGGAAATTTAGCTGAATCAGGCTCTTCTGGTAAAAGGCTCAGAGCACCAGTCAGCCAGTATCTCCTGAAGCCCTACTGCGTGTGTGGAGTGACAGACATAAGAACCAGGGGGCCAAAGCCACCACTGAGCCCTGCTCTTCCTTCTGCTTCAGGGCTTGCTTGTTTATATTTGGCTGTAGACTTTGTTTAGCACCTACTTTGTGCTGGGAAAAAAAGTGCTTTTTGCCCTCAAATAACTGCACTAAGTCAGTGATTCTCAGGAGAGGAGTGGGGTGGGTCAGAATGACCTGGCGTCTGGTCTGAAAAAGTGCACCCAAAAAAACCATACATGTTCCTATTTGCAATCAGAAGAAAGCAAATCTGAACAAAATCTTTTAGTCTCTCTCATAGGAATACAGAGTAGATACAGTGATTTTCAAATCAGAATTCCTAAGAGGGAGGGGCTGAAACATCAGTGTGTCCCAAATCAGGGCTGGATGAAAAGCCACCATGCCACCTGGCCTGCTAGGAGCAGGCCCAAAAGCTAGAGGTTGGGGTCCCAACTCCACTGCTGACCCTGTCCTGTAGATGAACTGTGTCCTCAGTGGAAAGCAGTTATCTTTAAAGTTCTTTGAGCACATTCTAAGATGATAACCACCTTTTACATTTAAGATGGACTTAGAATTTTCTAAACAGGTAAACCAATTGGAACCAACTGTAAATCAACTGGAAGGGAAAGGAATTTGCTGAGGACCCTGTGACCCAAAGCACAGGTCCTCTGCAGATGGTTAGAAAGCAGGACATTCCTATCAACTCCATCTGTGGAGGGCTACAAAAGCACCCCCCCGGCCGCCCCACCCAACAGAGAGGAAAGGAGGGGCCAGGAGAAAGTCCAATGGTGCTGAGTCAGAAATTGCCAAGAGCCACCAGTGACCGTGAAGAAAAACATGCCGCTTCATTTTCCACTAGGTAGATGGGGCCCATCATGTACTCATCGTGGCCTCTGTTTCCTAAAAGACGGTTCCGTTCTGCAGCTGGTGTCTGCCAGTCCCCATGTCCTCAGATCTAAGGGTCCCTTGATAATAAAAATATGGAACTCGGAGAGCTAGTAGACGTTTTTGCAAATGCATGACAATCCGTGGACTGAATCTATAAATGGGTCTCTAAACTCTGTAAAAAGCAGAATGATGCGAGCAGAGAGTTATGAACATTGTTCGAAGCCACCTTTGAAAGCATTTTTGGTTCTAACTTTTGCTTTACAAATTGAACCACCACTGCAGAGCAGGGATTGGGATATATCTAGTTTCTTTATAATAATATTTTCGTGTTCTTTGTGGTGGGGGTTGAGAGCAGTGTTTTTAAATTTTTCATCAAAACAAAAATATTAGCACAGAACTATGTGTCCTGAAGCTTGTTAAAATCGGGGGTGCTTCAAATGGGGCTTACCGCTTTCAACATTCATTTCTGAGGGCAATGAACCAACTACGTTAAGACCAGTCTGAAAATGCTGAAATAGGCGCCCTGCAGAGCACGGTTTTGCTTTAAAATTCTGCCCTCTTACCCAAAGCAGTCAGCCTGACTTGAGAAGGAGCTCAGATCTCTGTGTTATGAACAGGCCCTGGTCCGGTTCCCCAAGGCGTGAGAAGCCACCACTGTGGTCCCTCTCCCTCAGGTGCAAGGAAATCTAGGTCTCCACACTTGGCTCAGGAGAAAACCGTTGCCCTGCATTGTTTTGGGCGGCTAGGGCTGGAGCTCTGGCTGCTTGGGCGGTGGGCGCGTGGAGGTGGGAACCGCTGGCTAGAGTCCAGTCCGGTGACCGCCTCCCTGACACAGCCCACCTGCTCCAGTTCAGACGGCCTTCCCACCAACCCAACCTGAAGAGGGATCCCTAGAAGGAAAGTCCAATCTGAGCTGGCTGCCTGCTGAGGAAAAGCCTCTGTCCTGTCCCCTACTCCTCAGAGAACAAGAAACCCTGTGGAGGCGCGGGGAGGGCAGACCTGAAGCATCGCTACCGAGGTCAGGGGACAAGTGCTACACAAGTGAGGCCAAAGACCCCTAACCAAGTCTGGAGAGAGGGGTGGGGGTGGCCTCCCCAAGGTGAATGCTTAAACCTTGGTCCGGTTCCCCAGAAGCAGACTCCTGGGATGTGCAGGGACACTGGGGGGTTCTGGAGGAGCAGCTGGGAGGGAGGGAGCAGAGAGAAGGCGAGCGTCATAGCCCTTTCCACAGAGGGTGGTGGGGGGTGGTAGCAACTGTGCTTGCCACCAAGAGGAAACTGGCTTAAAAAGAAGCTGGTGAGATTTGCTGCACTTGGCTAGATTTGCTGCACTTGGCTGGATTTGCGCTGTATTTCTCGTGGGGATGAGGCACGGACCGAGGGGAAAATGCTCCCAGCAGAGGGATGAGCACATCTGGAAGGCCCCAGCCCAGCAGGGTCAGCTGAACAGGTGACCTGACTCAGGGAGGGCAAGAGCCAGGGGCTGGGCGAGGCTGTGGAGGAGGGCTCTGCGGGAGCAGGGAGCCCGGCAGCTTCCTGCGGGTGCCGGGACGTGCCGTCCACAGGGTTCACCATGTGTTTTTTTCTTCACCGGCCATGAGAAAGGATTAATTCAGAAATCTAAAAATGGTCCCCAACAGGCTGAGAAGCCAAACACCCACAAGCCACCTTCCACTAAGAGACGAATTACCAATGTACTGGTGGTCCTGATGTCTAGATAAAAATGAATTCCCCAACCATGTCTTACAGCAAATTGCCACAAGGCAAAATCCAAAGTAAGCACACACCATTATCCTGCCCCTGTACCAGGAAAGCCCCCAGGGAATGAAGGTAGAGAAGAGGAATTTAAGGCAAGGGTTAGTCAGGAGCTAGTCTACTTCTTGCTCCTCAAAAGATAGCCTGTAATTTACTGAGCACTTACTATACGCCAGCCCTGACAGGCAGACATTAATTGCCATTTTGCAGATGAAGAAACTAAAGCTCAGAGAAAAGAACTAGGTGCAAAGTCACAGCATGATTGGGAAACAGCCTGAACTCGAACTGCTCAGTTTGACAAAAACTCAGTCTTTTTTTTTTTTTTAATCTCGCCCTGTGGCCCAGGCTGGAGTGTAGTGGCATGGTCGTAGCTCACTACAGCCTTGAACTCCTGGGCTCAAGTGATCCTTCCACCTTGGCCTCTCAAAGTGCTGGGATTATAGGCTGGCCTCACAGTCTTAATCATGACAATAAAGTGCCTTCCTTAAGTGGAGCCAGTGGCCATGTCTTTTAGAATGGGGAGGTGGGCACCAACAGTGCAATGGAAAGGATGTAAAAGAAAACCGTGGACAGAAGGTGGCCACAATAACCTCCTTCTGCCCAAACTGAACAGCTTCTGAGGTGGGCATGGGCAGCCGCTGGGGGTTCTTCCCAGCGCACCCTGAGGAAAGGGGCAAGGGCTGTGAGGAAGTGAAGGGTCCCTCAAGTGTGCTCCCCTCACCCCAATCTCAGTGCCCACCATGGGACATGGGAATCACCTGTGTGGGGGACTGAGTCCCCTTCAAGGCAGCTGAGCCCCAAGCACCCCGGCTGTGCTAAGATCTCCAAGATGGGCAAGAAAATCTGGGGACACAACTGCCAAACAATGAGAAAACTTAACTTGGCTCCCAGCCCAACCACGTCCTTTGATGGGTAGCAGATGCCACAAAGAGTGGCTGGTGCAGCTAACACATACCTGGAACGACACCTCCTGTCCTCTTGTTCTGTTCCAAGGTTGTCAGGCTGGGACGAAATCCCAAGAAAGAAATGGGCATGTGGTCACTATCATAGCAGACTGCCAGTTAGGGACATCAGAATATATTTCTCTGTCCTCAAGTTAGGAAGTGAGAGGACAAACCTGGCCTTCTGTGTTGTTTCAGCCACTAATTGGTTTTGTCAATTAGGCAAAACATAATTTCTCTAAGCCTCTTTTCTCATCCACAGGCATTAGCCTAGTCAGCGGTTCTCAAAGTGTGGTCCTGAACCAACAACGACGGCAGCTTCACCAAGAGACTTCTTAGAAATGCAAATTCTTGGGCCCATGCCACACCTACAGAAGCAGACACTCTGGGGGTAGGCCCAGCAATCTGTTTTAACAAGCTCTCCAGGTGATTCTGATACACAGTAAGTTGGAAGACCACTGGCCTAGCTGATGTCCCTTTTTATTGTTTTAGAAACCATCCTTCCTTACGGCCTCCTATCTGTAGTGCTACTGACTTCATTTACCCCAAACAAATATTTACAAAGTTTCTACTATGTGCTAGGAACTGGGGACACCAGGGGAACTTACACGTCTGCTTTGTGTTTAAGTTCTCATCACAATAAACGTGCACGCAGCTTGTTGGCTGGTTGTTCACTGAGTAAGCAGCACAACTGTATTTTCCAGCAACTTGCCTCTTTAGCCATGATCTTCTTCCAAAACTTACTGTACTTTTAAAATTAAAGAGCTCTGCATGCAAGTAGAGATGCAATGTGCTAACAAATACAATGTTACTGTATTGCTGATGATAAAAGAAAGAGATTATGGATGTCCAATTAACATAAGCACAGGAATCAACTGGAAAATTTCTAGAAGGAAATATAGAAAAGAGTAACACAGACAACATTCCTTTCTCCTAAAACTATTTTAGTGACTCACAGTGCTCACGGGTCTTGAATGTTATTCTAGGCACAAAATAACAAACACCAAGTGACATTTTTAGCAGTCCATTTTGCTTCAGGATATATACACAGGAAATGCAAAAGCAAAAACAAAAGCTAAAATGCTCTACCCTAAGAGGAAAGACGCAACCAAACTACCATAATATTAAAAACAGGACTAAAATTAGCTTCCTCCCTTACGCTTAAGGGTCTTACTAAAAACATCTGCCAACAGCTTTTCTTCCTCTCTCCTCTGCTCAAGCAGACCAGGGAAGGCAAATGAAACAGGCTCAGAAGACAAACAAGCGGCCAGCTGCTGCAGAGCTCGGCCTTAACACGAGTCTTGGTCTGCATCAATCCCACAAAGATTCACTCCAGGCCAGAACTAAATTCTCCTAAGTCAAAACTACATCATGGGATTTGACCCTTTTGAGTAGAAGCAGAAATCAGAGTTCTCACCCAGAGCACAGGTCAACAAGCTCTTGTCTGCACTAGTTAAAACAACTCACCTAATAATTAATAGAACATACTCACAGCTGTTTCTGCTTAGAATCGAGGTCAACGCAAACCACGGAGCTAATGTGCAAAGTTACAAAGCAATTCCTCCCCTAATGGTAGGTATTTATTTAGAAAACACTAAGCACACAGCAAATGAGACACTTTAAAAGCAAACAGAGTCAGAAGCTTAGAACTCAAGATTTACTGCAACTGAGTTGTATTCGTTTGGTTCTAAGTTTCCTAGTGGCAAAGGTAAAAAGGTAAATAAGATAGGTTTTGTCCATTAAAAGAAAGTAAATAAACTCAACAGAAGAGGGACTTTTCCTAGCACAACATTCTAGAAGGAATTTCAAGAAGAATGTAAAGTAACTTTGAATCTGGTCTTCAACTTTGCTTTTACAAGATCTATGATGTTCTTCAAATAACAATTTAATATTTTCACTCTACAAAAAATCAATAGTCTGATAACTTTATATCAATACACATTTCTTAGAGAATCTAAACCACTAGTATAAGCCAGTGTGCTGTTTTCAGGAGCTCTAACTTAATCCAGCTGTAACCCTCAAGAGCTTAACAGAAATATGTTCCTCCCCATCTATTTTTGGCAGAAGTGAGACGGTGATCACATCAACACTGAGCTCTGAGGCCCAATGTTTGCAGCTCAGAGCGGTTAAGTGCTGATGACTAAGGCCTGACACACACCCGTGCCCACAGGGACTGTCAGCACTGCAGGTACTAGCAGGACCTCAGGGGTGCAAAAGGACACCCAATCAAACAACACACCAGGAGGCCAGCCTCCATGATGGGGGGTGCCGGGGGCACAGGCAGCCCTCTTCCTCCTCAGAGCACCTTTCTTCAGAGAACCAACAATCAAACAAGAGCCAGGACTACACAGGGGAGGCTGGAGGGTTTGGTTTGACCATTTCCCCCTGCTTTTTATGAGTGAAACTGGATATGGTTTTGAAGGGCAGTAGCTAGACAAAACAGGCCAGCAGGAGCAGGACAGATTAAAAATGCAGGAATTCCTCAGCCCGGAGAAGCAAAGGCTAAGAGGCAGCAGTGACTGGGGGTGGGGGGAAATGATGAGGAGAATCCTAGGACAAATATGGCCCTAGGGTGCTGGAAACTCACACGAGGAAATCCCAACTGCGAACTCATTATGTGACAAGGGGGGGGCCACAAGCAGCTGTACAAAGGATAGATTATAAATGTCTCAAGATGCTACCTCCTTGGAAGCTGCAGCTGACCTCAGGGAAGACAAGCCTAAGGGGCCAGCCCCTGTCCTCCATGTGTCCTTCCATAAAAGAACACTGGGCCAAATGATGTGGGATGCCCCTCTCTTCCACTATGACCAAGGAAACCTGTCAGTGCTACAAAAAGGACCTCAGGAGCCACTTTTGCCTTTGCCTGATGGGAAGAAAAAGGGAACGGTGGATTAGAAGCTCACCAAGGCTGTGATTCAGATGTTCCCATCCTAAAGTGATCTGACTTGGCTCAGATTTTTATAACATTAAATAAGTACCAGTAACAACTTGTGTAAGTCCTGAAATGTTTCGTATTGCCGCATAATGAAGTACACAAACTTAGTGGCTTCCAACACACATTTATCCTCTACCAGCTTCTGTGGGTCAGGGGTCCGGGTCCACGCACAGTTTAGCTGGGTCCCTGAAAGGCTGCAATGAGGGTACTACGCAGCGGGGACTCCGCCAGGGAAGGGTCTTCATTCAAGTTGCCCACTCGGGGTGTGGGCAAAAGAACTGATTTCCTTGGAGCTGTAGGACTAAGGTCCCCAGCTTCTTGTTGGATATAGGCAGGAGGCCACCTTCAGCTCCCTGCCACAGGGGCCTCTTCCTCAAAGCTAGCCAGGAAGAATGGCCCCAGAGGGAGTCAGCTGGCAAGAGGAGTTAGAAGTGGGAAGCGAGTCACAGGCCACATCCAACTCCAGGTGAGACAATGAGACAAAGGCGTCAACTCCAGGAGGCAAGAATCCTAGGGGTCACCTTAAAGTCTGTCTGCCATACGCATCTAGCTCCTTTACAACTATAAAATCAAAGCACATTTATAACTAAACGCAACTAAAACTCCCATCCCCAAATTTTGATTAACAGTGCACACTGATGGACAATAAGGACAATGTCTTCTTGAGACTGCACAGTCAGTTCCAATGTGAATCCAGTGTAGAGAGTTAGTTATATTGGGGTTCAATATGCTTAACTGTGTGTCACAATGACAACTCATTGTCTTACCACTTTTTTCTACTGAATCACGACATCATTTTAGCTTTCCATTGGCAGAAGTGCCTCATCCACATTATTAAGCCTGGCTCTGCTCTTTTTTCATCAGCCTGTCCACTGCAATTGAAGGAGGAGAGGAGTGTTGGGAGCAGGCCCCCCAAAATCTGGCCATAAATTGGCCCCAAAACTGGTCATAAACGGAATCTCTGCAGCACTGTGACATGTTCATGATGGCCATAATGCCCACGCTGGAAGGTTGTGGGTTTACGGGAATGAGGGCAAGGAACACCTGGCCCACCCAGGGCAGAAAACCACTAAAGGCATTCTTAAGCCACGAACAATAGCATGAGAGATCTGTGCCTTAAGGACATGCTCCTGCTGCAGTTAACTAGCCCAACCTATTCCTTTAATTTGGCCCATCCCTTTGTTTCCCATAAGGGATACCTTTAGCTAATTTAGTATCTATAGAAACAATGCTAATGACTGGCTTGCTGTTAATAAACACGTGGGTAAATCTCTGTTCAGGGCTCTCAGCTCTGAAGACTGTGAGACCCCTGATTTCCCACTTCACACCTCTATATTTCTGTGTGTGTGTCTTTAATTCCTCTAGCGCCTCTGGGTTAGGGTCTCGCGGACCGAGCTGGTCTCGGCAAGTAGCGTCCATCGTGGGGGCTCGAATCCAGGTGGAGGGGTCGCCAGAGTGATGGCTGGAGAATGCGGAACTAGCTGGAGGACACCCGAGTACTCTCAAAGCAATCCCCCTGGTGAGTAAGAAGGGGAGCTCAGAAGCATCAGGGTAACAATAGGACAAGTGTGGGGGTGTGGTTCGTCCCACCTTGGAACTTTTTCACACCGATGATGAGGAGGAAGGAGAGTATAGCTAGGTAACAAAAGAGGTTACAGAGCATGTTTATTTACCAGCTAAAGCTAAAGCAGCAAAGGAGGGAGAGGTTCATCCCTACCCCTCTGCACCCCCTCATTATTATTTTGAAGAAAATGATCCTCCAGATCTTTCTTTTCCGGAGGACACTGGGCGAAAATTAGTTGCCCCAGTGACTGTTCAAGCAGCACCTCGAGCGACCACTCTTAATTCTATTCAGGCAGGAATTCAGCAAGCTAGACGAGGGAGTGATTTAGAGGCTTGGCAGTTCCCTGTTAGAATACACCCCCAGATCAACAGGGAAATATTATAGCTACATTTGAGCCTTTTCATTTTAAATTACTCAAAGAATTTAAACAAGCTATAAATCAGTATGGACCAGGTTCTCCTTTTGTAATGGGACTGTTAAAGAATGTTGCTGTTTCCAGTCGGATGATTCCTACTGACTGGGATGCTCTTACTCGAGCTTGTCTAACTCCTGCTCAGTTCTTACAATTTAAAACTTGGTGGGCAGATGAAGCTTCCATTCAGGCTGCTCGCAATGCCCAGGCCCAACCTCGAATTAATATAACTGCGCACCAGCTTTTGGGGGTCGGCGGCTGGGCTGCTTTAGATGCACAACTCATCATGCCGGATGATGCCATAGAACAGCTTAGAGGAGTGTGCATTAGAGCTGGGGAAAAAATCACTTCAAGTGGAGAACAATACCCTTCCTTTAGTGCTACAAAAACAGGGATCCAAAGAACCATACGTTGATTTTATAGCTCGGTTACGGGAGTCTCTTAAAAAGATGACTGCAGATTCGGCTGCTCAGGATATAGTGTTGCAGTTATTAGCTTTCGACAATGCTAATCCCGACTGCCAGGCTGCTCTGCGACCTATCAGAGGGAAAGCGCATTTAGTTGATTATCAAGGCCTGTAATGGTATCGGAAGTAATCTGCATAAAGCTACTCTGCTAGCACAGGCAATGGCAAGACTGAGAGTGGATAAAGGAAATACTCCATTTCCTGCAGCTTGTTTTAACTGTGGGAAGCATGGCCATACTAAAAAAGAATGTAGAAAAAATAAGCGAGTCAGGCTGCCAGATAGGGGAAAAAAGAAAACTGCTGAGCCTGAAATATGTCCAAAATGTAAAAAAGGAAAACATTGGGCTAATCAGTGTCACTCTAAGTTTGATATAGAAGGGAACCCGATTTCGGGAAACGCCATGAGGGGCCCGTCCCGGGCCCCGTTCTAAACCGGGGCATTTCCAGCTCAGGCCATTCCATCACCTCCGTACAATGTCTGTCAGTAGATTTATGCTGCACAAAAGCTGTGAGCCTTCTGCCTGGGGAACCTCCGCAAAAGGTTCCAACAGGAGTCTGTGGACCCTTGCCAGTGGGGACAATATGATTACTTCTAGGAAGGTCTAGTTTTAAGTTTAAAAGGGGTGCGAATACATACAGGAGTCATTGATTCAGATTACAATGCGGAAATTCAAATTGTTGTAACTACTTCTGTTCCCTGGACAGCAGAGCCAGGAGAGTGCATAGCACAGCTCCTGATTGTGCCGTATGGGGGAATGGGGAAAAGTGAAATTAAATGAAAAGGAGGATTTGGAAGCACAAATAAACAAGGCAAAGCAGCTTATTGGGTAAGTCAAATTACTGATAAACATCCTACCTGTGAAATAACTATTCAGGGAAACAAATTTAAAGGTTTGGTAGATACAGGAGTGGACATTTCAATCATTTCTCTACAGCACTGGCCGTCCGTGAGGCCAATTCAACCCGCTCAATGTAACATATTTGGAGTTGGTAAAGCCGCTGAAATATATCAAAGTAGTTATATTTTGCATTGTGAAGGGCCCGATGGACGACCTGGGGCTATTCAACCAATTATAACTTCTGTACCTATAAATTTATGGGGGAGAGATTTATTACAACAATGGGGAGCACAAGTTCTAATTCCAGAACAATTATATAGTCCTCAAAGTCAACATACAATGCATGAATTGGGGCATGTCCCTGGTATGGGACTAGAAAAAAATTTGCAAGGTTTGAAAGAACTGCTTCAAGTGGAAAAACAAAGTTCCGCCAAAGATTAGGAAATAATTTTTGATGGTGGCCATTGTTAAGCCTCCGGAACCTATATCTTTAAAATGGTTCACAGATAAGCCAATTTGGATAGAACAATGGCCGCTAAGTAAAGAGAAACTGGAGGCTTTAGAGAAATTAGTTACTGAACAACTAGAAAATGGGCACATACTTCCTCCAACATTTTCCCCTTGGAATTCTCTAGTTCTCGTAATTAAGAAGAAATCAGGTAAATGGAGAATGTTAACTGACTTAAGAGCCATCAATTCAGTTATACAACCTATGGGAGCATTACAGCCAGGATTGCCTTCTCCTGTTATAATTCCAAAAAATTGGCCTTTAATAGCCATAGATTTAAAAGACTGTTTCTTCACTATCCCTTTGGCTGAGCAAGACTGTGAACGGTTTGCATTTACAATTCCTGCAGTAAACAACCTGCAGCCTGCTAAGCGTTTTCATTGTTTTACAGATGGGACTAGTAATGGTAAAGCTTTATTCTGGATCAAAAAGTAAAGATTTCCAGATGCCCTATATTTCAGCTCAAAAAGCGGAGCTTGTAGCTGTAATTGAGGTATTGACTGCTTTTGATATGCCTATTAATGTGGTTTCTGATTCTTCATACATGGTTCATTCCACACAGTTAATTGAAAATGCTCAGTTATGATTTCATACAGATGAACAACTGATGACTTTATCTACCCAACTGCAAACAGCAGTTAGAAGTAGAAGGCACCCTTTTTACATCACTCACATTAGGGCTCGTACACTTCTTCCAGGACCTTTGACTGAAGGGAATCAAATGGCCGATCGCCTAGTTGCTAATGAAATATCTAATGCTAGACACTTTCACAATTTAACCCATGTTAGTGCCTCTGGTCTCAAACGCAGATACAGCATTACCTGGAAAGAAGCTAAAGCTATTGTCCAGTGATGCCCAACTTGCCAAATGGTACATTCTTCATCTTTTACAGGAGGAGTTAACCCTCGAGGACTGGAACCTAACTGTCTTTGGCAAATGGATGTCACACATGTTCCCTTGTTTGGGAGACTAGCTTATGTACATGTATGTGTGGACACCTTTTCTCACTTTGTCTGGGCTACATGCCAATCAGGAGAGTCTTCTGCCTGTGTTAAACATCACCTTTTGCAGTGTTTTGCGGTGATGGGCATTCCAGCTTCTATTAAAACAATAATGCCCCAGGCTATCCTAGCCAAGCTCTAGCTACATTTTTCTCTATGTGGAATATTAAAGATATTACTAGTATCCCATACAATTCTCAAGGACAAGCCATAGTGGAAAGAATGAATCTTTCCCTAAAACAGCAGTTGCAAAAGCAGAAAGGGGGAAATAGAGATTATGGAACACCGCAGATACAACTGAATCTAGCATTATTAACTTTAAATTTTTTGAGCCTGCCCAAAGGCCAGATGTTATCAGCAGCTGAACAGCATCTACAGAACAGCTGCAAAGACAGAAGCAGAACAACTGATTTAGTGGAGAGATCCGATAACAAAAAGTTGGGAAATAGGTAAAATAATAACTTGGAGTAGAGGTTATGCTTGTATTTCTCCAGCCCAAAATCAACAGCCGATTTGGATACCATCAAGACACCTGAAACCTTATCATGAGCCAGATGCCGAGGAAGAGATTCCGGGAGGATCCCAAGGACCCCTCAGTTGCAGCCATGTCGAGACTGATGCTGAGGAGGACCCCAACTGTCATGAGCAACACCCGTCGAACACAGCCACCCACCTGGGGACAGATCAAGAAGCTGTCACAGATGGTGGAAGAAAACCTGAGGAAAGCGGGACAACCAGTCACAACAAGTAATTTAATGGTAGCTATGATAGAGGTTATCACCACTGCCGTGAGTATTCCTTCAACAAGGGCTGACACAGAGAACAATTATACTTACTGGACATATTTATCTAGTAACCCATTAAAATGGATAAAAACACTTGGAAGCTCTGTGATTTCAATGATGATTGTGCTTTTAATCTGTGTTGTCTTTGTACAGTCTGCAGATGTGGATCCTGACTCCTGCGAGAAGTAGCTCACCGCGACAAAGCTGCCCTTGCTTTTATGGATTTGCAAATCAAAGAAGGCGGACATGTTGGGAGCAGGCCCCCCAAAATCTGGCCATAAACTGGCCCCAAAACTGGCCATAAACAATCTCTGCAGCACTGGGACATTTTCATGATGGCCATAATGCCCACGCTGGAAGGTTGTGGGTTCACGGGAATGAGGGCAAGGAACACGGGGCCCACCCAGGGCGGAAAACAGCTTAAAGGCATTCTTAAGCCACAAACAATAACATGAGCGATCTGTGCCATAAGGACATGCTCCTGCTGCAGTTAACTAGCCCAACCTATTCCTTTAATTTGGCCCATCCCTTCGTTTCCCATAAGGGATACTTTTAGTTAATTTAATATCTACGGAAACAATGCTAATGACTGGCTTGCTGTTAATAAACACGTGGGTAAATCTCTGTTCAGGGCTCTCAGCTCTGAAGGCTGTGAGACCCCTGATTTCCCACTTCACACCTCTATATTTCTGTGTGTGTGTCTTTAATTCCTCTAGCGCCGCTGGGTTAGGGTCTCCCCGACCTAGCTGGTCTTGGCAGAGGGGCATATAGTGGAGTATGGAGAAAACTCAGGCGAATTCAGCTACGTGCATTTGGACAAACAGAGAGGCAGGGCAGGGCAAGGAGGAAGGAGACACATTTTAGGCAAATCACTCTCCAATTTAGTCAGAGCATATGATGCCAGGTGAGGGTCAGATGGAGAGGCGAGGTGACTGCTTCTTCAGTTCCTTCATGCGTTCTGGGGTGTGAATATCTCACCTCACTGATACGATTCTGGTGTTTAAAGGTAACAATTTTCTTTTTACAACGTAGTACCTGAATATAAAACGAATTCCTTCATTTGCTCCAAAGCAGAGGGCAGCAAACTTTCCTTGAAGGGCAACATACGAAACAATGGACTTCGTGGGCCATACAATCTGTTGCAAATATTCAACTCTGCCACTTTGGTAAGAAAGCAGCACCAACAATATGTAACTAAATGGGTATGGCTGTGTTCCAACAAAACTTTATTTATAAAAACAGACCGCCAACTGGATTTGGCCCATTTGCCATCCCTGCTTTTAAGAAACAGCATTCTGTTCCAATGCTGAAGACAACTGGCTCTGTGGGTCTCCGACAAGGATTCTCTGTGTGATTTTGACTATGGGTAATTGGTGCTGTGTGGACTTTTCAGACCCAACCCCCCACCTGTATGGAATGCAGCTCCACTACACAACTGGGCAGCCACACAAGGAGCTGCCCAATTGGCCTGAAATCAACACAAAGTCACCATCCAGGCTGTCCACAAGATGCTGGGTTCCCTCTCTGTTTGAATAATTTTTTTCTCCCACAGACTTCCTTGACCTCCTAGACGGGGTAATGAGGCCAGAGCTCTCTGCATAGCATTCACCTCTCTGTGTTGTAGGTTACATCCACTGCCTTTGTTTTCCACCTGGCAGTGAGAGGATGCCTCCTGGAAAAGGCAGGCAAAGCCTCTATATTGCTCAGTGCCCAGCACAGTGCCAGAGACTTAGACAGTCCTCATTAACATCTGCTGATGAAGTAAGAAACCGGGTTTCAGTGTATGTTTTTCTCAGCCCCAAATGTTTTACATTCACAGTACTTAAATGTAACTACATCGTCATACTATAATTATTTAGTTGAACTATGATAGCGTTCTGATGAAATGGAAGATCTAAAATAAGTTGACTGCTGAGGTGTTGAGGTTCAAAACCACGCGAAGATAATGAAATAAAATTACCAATAGGATCCGTTATGTTAAGTCAAATGTTATGTTAAATCAAATCAACACCAGCCTCTGGCTTCTTGACAATACTGGAAAATTTGAGAATGCAAGCCTGGACAACAGATTCAATTCATAATCAATCAGTAATCTTTCTGAGTGGCCAATCAAATAACTTGCATACAGTTTTTTTGTTCTTTTGTTTTATTTTTAAAAACAGAGTCTTGCCCTGTCCTCCCCGCTTGAATGCAGCGGCACGATCTCAGCTCACTGTAACCTCCACTTTCCAGGTTCAAGCAAATCTCCTGCCTCAGCCTCCCAAGTAGCTGGGACTACAAGCGTGCACCACCACCCCTGGATAATTTTTTTTTGTATTTTTAGTAGAGACGGGGTTTCACCATCTTGGCCAGGCTGGTCTCAAACTCCTGGCCTCAAGTGATCCGCCTGCCTCAGCCTCCCACAGTACTGAGATTACAGGCGTGAGCCATCGCACCCGGCCTTGCATAGAATTCCCATTCACTCCTCCCCAAAAGTCTGTTCTCAACTGAGCATGTTTTCCTTAGATTTCATTGTTTAAAATGCCTCAAGAGTAAGGTGGTCCTTGGCTTTTAATGGGAAGAAGCAAAGGAAACGCATGGAGGCAATGCAGCCACTTGTACAACCAGCCTCCTGTGATTCCTTTAGAACTCAGAGCAGCCCCTAGGTTGGTGCCAAGGAGGACAAGTTTAAATGTAGCTGAAAACACTAAATGCTTAATCTTCTCTCTCACCACGCCACACATCCCAGGATCCTCCACCCCCATGCCTTAAAAAAATCAATTTTCATATAATGTTCTATATAAATGGGAAATTAACCTGTCAATCTTGATACTCCACCATCACATGGGTCTCAATAGTTTAATGACAAAACCCTATGGGCTGTGAGGAACAAGTGTGTTACCCACGTGAAGATACACAGCATAGCAATTCTTCTGTAAATCATGTGAGTTGCTCATGGATGGAGGCTTCCCGGAACCTCTGAATGAGAAGCATTTTCATTAGGAGCCCAAGTACCCAAGAAAAGAAAGGAAAATGAGCCACAGCCAGGTCTCTTGACCTTTCCAAGGTTAGTTCGTGCACAGTTACCTGCCTGGGCAGAGGTGCTTAGAGGAGATATGCTGGAGATGCCGTGCCAGATGAAAGGGAGACCTCTCTCAAGGTGGAGAATTGTCCCTCCAAGTCACTCCCTTTAAAAGCCCCCAAATCCCACAAGTTAAGAACTTCAGGAAGAACTGAAGTCAATTATTCCGAGTCTGTGAACACCTCCAGTCAATGGTTTACACTCTGGTGTTGAATAAAAGAACCACAATTCACTGTTTATACATAAACCAAATAAACAGCAACAAGTGTCCTGTATTTCTTATCTCAGTGGATGTTAACTACCCATTAACATAAGCCAGGAACCTGGTGGCATCCTTGACTCACTTTATACTGCTAAATAAAACGTACAAGGGCCTACATTTCTGGCACTCAGCTGGCTACTTTGAAACTCTGTAAGAAATTTACATCTATAAAGGAAATCTCCATTTTGTAAGGGATCTGCCTCTCTGCACCCTGAATCACTAGAAACTATTACAATGAAGAAGGCAAGACTCAAATCTAAATAACAAGCCTGTGGCTGGGTGTGGTGGCTCACCCCTGTAATCCCAACACTTTGGGAGGCCAGGAGTTCGTGACCAGCCTGGGCAACATGGCGAAATTCTGTCTCTACCAAAAATACAAAAAATTAGCTGGGTGTGGTGTAATCCCAGCTACTCGGAAGGCTGAGGCAGGAGAATCACTCGAACCCGGGAGGTGGAGGTTGCAGTGAGCCAAGATCGTGCCACTGCACTCCAGCCTGGGCCATAGAACGAAACTTCGTCTCAAAATAAAAATAAAAAACAAGGAAACAATAAGCTTCACCTTGGACCACTGTGTCTTAACTGGAATTCCCACTTCACCCCTTTCTTTGTCTTGACAAATAATGGTGTTTAATTTTATGCCTTTGAGATGTCAATTTTTAAACTCGTTTCATCCAAGAGTCATCTTTTTGGAAGGACAGATTTAGGGTTGTCTGGCTAACAACTGCTTAGGGTGATGGAACAGAAAATGGAAAGATTAATGGTTTGAAATATAAAGAATCATATTTAACTTCTGTTTCTTTGATTCTGTGATTTTTTTTATACCTGTCTTGTTTGTCAACAAAAATAAAATAATGTAAGATGATGGGGCAGAGGAGGGACTGATGACAGCTGAGTTCTTCTGAGAATCTGTCTTTGGGCAGGTACGAGTTCAGAGAATGCCTCTCCCTGCATTTGTTGTATTTCAAGTACATGCAGCTGGAAGTGATCAATATACTAATGCGACATATTCTGGAATGGCATTTCCTGAACTCCTTCACTGATTAGTTTTAAGAAGCATTTCAAGCATAAATATTAAGCATGACTAAATTAGGTGAATGTAAAGGGGATAAAGGTTTATAGACGGATTAAATCATAGTTTCAAAAATCCTTTTCAGTAACTTGAATTTTTTTTTTTTTTCCAGAGACGGAGTCTTGCTCTGTTGCCCAGGCTGAAGTGCAGTGCTGTGACCTCGGCCCACTGCAACCTCTGCCTCCTGGGTTCAAGCGCTTCTCTTGCCTCAGCCTCCCGAGTAGCTGGGACTACAGGTGCCCACTGCCATGCCCAGCTAATTTTTGTATTTTAGTAGAGACGGGGTTTCACTGTGTTGTCCAGGCTGGTCTCCAACTCCTGAGCTCAGGCAATCCGACCGCCTCGGCCTCCCAAAGTGCTAGGATTACAGGCGCGAGCCACCGCGCTTGGCCAGTAACTTGAAATCTTAAAGTCAAGTTATGTTAAGTAATAGTTATGAAATGTCTGAGTTGTTTCTAAATAAGTTAAAATACTGAAACATTAATATCTGAATATAAATGTAAAGTATATGTATTCTGGCATCTTGTTTTTATATGGCATAAATTAAATACATGCGGGCCTTGTGAGTCTGTTAATAAACATGAAAAAAACTGTATTAGGGCACATGTTCCTAAAAATTAAGAAATGGTGCTCATGTACAAAGTGCTGATATAAAACAGTTTAAATTTGCTCACTCCCTAGTTTTCACTAGAAATTAAGGTTACCAAGAGTTAAAAAGTCTAATTAATGGATGACCATTAAAACTAGAAGGAAATAACTCTGTATGTGAGGGAAATAAGATACTTTCTAAATAGGAAGTTATAAAGAATGAGACTTTGTTAAGGGAAAAAGAAAGTAATTTTTTCTTTCTACAGTAGAGTGACGGTTCTTCCAAAACGAGAAAGAGAAACATTAGAGGACAAAACAGAATCGATCAGAAAATGGTAAAAGGTTTGTGGAAGATGAATCTTGTGAAAGGAATTTTATGTTTGATCGAGCTAAAATTAAAAGGAAATTATTTATAATGTCCAATTTTTTTCTAAACCTTTTTTTTCTAAAAATTGAGCATTAATATCAAAAGTACACTGATGGGTCAGGCATGGTGGCTAATGTCTGTAACCCCAGCACTTTGGGAGGCCAAGGAGGGCAGATCGCATATAGCCTAGGATGTGGAGAACAGCCTGGGCAACATGGCAAAACCTCATCTCTACCAAAAAAAGGATACAAAATTAGTCAGGCATGGTGGCATACACCTGCTGTCCCAGCTACTCAGAAGGCAGAGGTGGGACCCTGGGAGGTGGAAGGTACAGTGAGCCGAGATTGTGCCACTGCACTCCAGTGTAGGTGACAAAGTGAGACCCTGTCTCAAAAAAATAAATAAATAAAATAAAAAGATGCTAATGCAAAATAGAATTTGGTTCTCTCAACACGAGGTTATCAAGGTCATTTTAAGTCTTGTTATCTACAGTTAATTGCTTTGTTCTGATGCTTGTCTCAATGCTTTCTTGGAGTATTGATTTACTCTTAATGAGAAATAGTGAAAGGTTTTTCTTTCTTTCTAGATAATTGGCCTAGGAAATAAAGATTTTGTGTTTTATCAAGACAATTTCTTGCGCTTTGCATTTTCTTTTATTAGGCCTTTGATTACTTAAGAAATGTGAGTCTTCTCAATATTAAAAGAGCTAAATTTTTGCTGACAACTATGTAACTTACTGTATTTGCCTTCTGAAGTCTTTTTCTTATCACTGGTTAAATGAACAACTATTATTTCCACAATGACATGTGATACTATTTTAATTGTTTTAAACCTGTTGATATTTTTGACAAACTTCTCAAAATCAATTTTAGATCAAGTCTCTCTGACCTCAAATTCACTTTGAGGTTTCTCAGTTGGGCCCCCAGAAAACATCAAAGGATGAGTCTCTCACCGTGAAAAAGAGAAACATTACTCCAATTAGGCTTATCTGATCATCTGATATGCTGTCAGTCATAATTTTGGTTATCATGTTAACTTGTTGTATGCCACAGAAACAGCCAAATTTCCTTGTCAACTGAATCATTATTATAATGAACCCTCATCAGATCTCTAATCATGGTCGCTTTAAGTCCTGTTATCCACAGTTAATTTGCTTTATTCTGATGCTTTTCTCAATGCTTTTTGCAAGCAACTATAATCCTAAAATGTTGTGTTTTCAAGGAGATTCATGGAAAGGATGGAAAGGACTTTGACAAGAAGAGGTCTCTAATAACTTTAAGATCATACCATTGGACTGGCTAAACATTTCCAGAACTCTAATAAAGAAACTGATGGGCTTGTGAAACTACTGACCAAGATCAAGCAGAACAAAAATTAATTACATGAGACAGAATAAAATGATAAATAACAATTGTGGGTTTTATGGTTTTTAATTTGACATATTGCTGGTGTTTTATTTCTCAGATTAAAAAAAACACCTTTTTCCTTATATTAGCTTTCAGTAATTTGGTAAAGTTATACTCTTATGAACAAAAACGAAATATTTATGTTTTCTCCCTACCTAATATCTCCAGAATTCGGAAATTATTTGTGACTCTTCTTATCTTTGTGCTAATATAGTTATTTCCATTAAGTTCAATATGAGTCTGCTCTCATAACAGAATATAGTTGGAAATATCAGTTTGGCTTCCTAGCTTTGAGAGTCCTTTAAAAGTCCAATCTGAGATTTCTTATCCAAAGTTCCAGCAAAGCAAACTTTGTGATCAATCACTAGCATTACTGCAGTTGTGTAAATAATCAGGCCAAGTTTGACGAGACTAAGCTCATTTTGCAAAAAAATTCACCTCGCTTTATCTTTAGTAGAAATGAGGGTGACTGTAGAGAGAAAAACTATGTTTCAGAAGAAAAACTATAGTACACCTGTTATTAGATTGTAGCCCTGTTCGTTGTTTTTGAGTTTTTACTATTTGTAGGCTGGAACGGATCCAGAATTCTTCTACTTTCCTATTTGGAAACATCTGGCTACAACTCTCCAAATACACACAAGAACTGCTCTGTCCCAGAAGCCCTACAAGCTGGAGCTTGACAACTCCATGTATATTATGAGGGACAGGTCTCATACCTGATATGTGGGCCACAGAGAGTTCACCCAAACACCGGACGTTATAATCACAGGCAGTCAAACTGCAAACCAGGACAAGCTGACAACTTCATGCTGTGGACAGCTTTTCCCAAGACATCAGAACAAGATTCTTTATCATAATGAGGCTCTGACTCCTCTTGATTTTTCCTTGCTTATGCCTACCTTTTTCACTTGGCAGGATAATGCTACATTGCCGGAATTGCACAATCAGTAGCTTCTACAGAGACTTGATGAAAAAACGGATCTGTCATGCCAAACCTAGTCATGGGATGGTAGGTAACAGAAATGCCACCTTCTAGCCGAACAGGAAATAATCTGCACAGTTGCTAATGCTTCTTGTTGCACATGGATAAACCGAACAAACAGGCTGCTTGGCTAAAACAGGTAGATTCCCCATCTGGCTCATTATTTGATCTAAATGATTTCAGTTGGTTTGGTTCATGGGGACCCTGGCTAAGGGGCATACTCCAAACTCTTGGTATTATCATCCTCATAGTCATTAGCCACAACAGTAGTCTCCCTGGTGCACTGTATCCTCTCAAAAAAGTCTTAAATGTGCATATGCAGCCATCTGCTGAATGGTAAATGTTCTCTCTCTGGCTGGAATAATGGAAACTCCAAGAAATGCATGATAATGAGGACACCCATGAATGACGTGTTAAGATTTAAACCCCAAAATAATGATGACGGAGTAGTGCTGATGCCCTAAGTTTTGGTCACACTGTCTCCTAGGTGAGAGCATGACAAAAAGGGAGAAATTGTTAAATTAAATTTATAGGAGGTCATTGGTTTGAACTGAGCTCCTGCAATATGCCCAATAGACCAAACCAAAATGGTGTCACTCACGCTCAAGTTCCATACCACTAAGCCAAAATAAGATTTTTATCTGACCTTCAGAGAAATCAGGAGAGAGAGAGAATAGCCAAATCCCCAAACAGGCCAGTTGTAGCTGGCATGATAAGAAAGTCCCCTCTGCTTTAACCTTTATAAGAAAAGTAACTCTGAAACAACCAATCTGCTTTTTATTTTCTGTTTCTGCTTTCCTCAGTCCTTTTCTTTCTATAAAACCAACCTCCTCTGCTTGGCCCATCAGAACACTCAATTCTATTCAAGTGTTTCTCAATTCTGGAATCACAAGTAAAAGCCAATTCAGGTCTTTACATTGTTGTAATGTTGTCTTTTGACAATACCTTTCCAAACCCCAGATCCCATCCATTCCCAAGTCCTCTTGGAGTTTCCATTATATCCAGGGAATCTGTCCCACTGCCACCACCCTTATCTGCCTGCAAATACAAGGCAGCTTAAGAATTCCATTCTTGCCATTCCAAGGCTTTCTCCCACTGCAGCCAGGGCAATCTCATCAATTTTTCAAAGCACAAATCTCGTATCCTCTCAATCAGTTTCTCTCTCTCTCTCTCTCTCCAAACACTTAATGGCTATTTAGCTTGAGACTGAGTTTAAGTGTTCTTAAACTCAAGGCTGTGACAGGCCCTACAAAATCCATCTCACCCCCTCTCCCACCTCTGCCTCAGGTCTCTGCCCACTGTTTTCTCACCTAGACAGTATCCTCTCCCTCCCCAAGGGCCCACCTCACATTTCACCTACTTTACTCTGACTTACCCTTCAGATCCTAGCTCTGATCTTTCATAGTATTTACTAGTCTGTAATTACAGGGCAAGGGCTGGGGGCAGAGGAATTCTGCCTTTTTCAGTCAGGGTTCCAGCAGAGAATGAGGCCTAATACCCTAGGGCATGCATTAGATGTACTGAATGAACTTCTCTCCCAAGCATCCAGAAAGCATCAGCTGTGTCACACTCCTGGAAGAGCTGAAGAGCTGAACAAATAGTCACAGAGTTCTGTGTTGTATGGTTCAGATGGGGAACCCAGGTTTGAAAAGCTTTGTGCCAAATACTACTTGACACAGAGTAGGTGCTCAAAGGTTTGTTAAAATGAAACAGAAATGTAATCTTGCAATGAACCCAAGGCTGGCACGCTCTCGCTCACTCTGCTGCAGTCACACTAGATTCGTGCTGTTCCTTCAATACCTACCAGGTCCCCCTGCCTGGCATGCCTGTGCCCCAGGTTTATCTGCTTGGCCAACTGCTTCACCTTCTCAAGACTGGACGCAGATATCACCTTTCAATGAGGCCACCCCGGACACTCTCTTTAGCTCTGCAACCTGACCCCATGATCCCTGGAATTCCTGATGCCCCCTTATCCTCCTTCCTACAGCACTCATCACCTTCACACTTTCTTTTTTTTTTTTTTTTATACTTTAAGTTTTAGGGTACATGTGCACAACGTGCAGGTTAGTTACATTTGTATACATGTGCCATGTTGGTGTGCTGCACCCATTAACTCGTCATTTAACATTAGGTATATCTCCTAATGCTATCCCTTCCCCCTCCCCCCACCCACAACAGGCCCCCGTGTGTGATGTTCCCCTTCCTGTGTCCATGTGTTCTCATTGTTCACGCACTTTCTTTACATGCAACTCACTAACGGATAATGTTGACTGTCTATTGTGTATTTTCACCTACTAGCAATATAGGTTTCATGAGGATATCTGTAACCCAAGTGGCTAAAACAATGCCTGGCATGCAGCACATGTCTAATCAATGTTCATTAGATAAATGCATGAACGTGCTTCTTCTGAGTTACCACTCTCTCATAATTCGGAAGCACACAGGGACTGCCTGGTTCCAATTCTGTAGATTCTTTAGCTCAAATCCCCGCCAATGATTAGAATGCTTCCCTGTGTCCGGTTTCAAATTCCTGAGGCAGAACCAATTGACCCGGCTTGTCTTCCCAAAGCAGGCCACACGATAGAGGTCAATGGTAGCTACCCATGGATGAGCCATTTAGTGTAGAAGGGCCTCTTGGCACAACCGAAAAAGAGCAAAGCCATCTGAAGCTATTCAGTGTGGAAGCAAAAGCTCTCCCCAGATTGCAAGCGCACTGCTGTGTTACAGCAGAGGCCACACTGGGTATCAGTGGAAGCAGGGGCATCAGGAGCGAGTTGGATCAAGCTAGACGTTTAGCTGCCAATCCTAACCTTAGTGGGGGCTGCTGCCAGGACTGAGTGGTGTACCTCAATGTCTGGCTCACCCAGAAGAGGTGCATCACTCCCTCAGGAAACTTAACTGTCCATATGCAGCCATCTGCTGAATGGTAAATGTTCTCTCTCTGGTTGGAATGATGGAAACTCCAAGAAATGCATGATAATAAGAACACCCATGAATGACATGTTCCCATCTCATCCTCTCCATAAACAGATTTGTTGACAAGTGTAACCAGCAAACATTTAATAAAAAAATCAATGTAACTCTGCAGGCAAGCAGGCATTCTTTAGAACTCCTCACCGCACCCCGTTCCCTGCTGCAGATTTTATAATGACCTGAAAGGCAGAGTGGCTGACACAAGCTGGATAGTTCTGGCTCAGGAAGATGTCTCATGAAGCTGCAGTCACCTGAGGCCTGACTGGGGCTGGAAGAGCTGCTTCCCTTCCCTGTGGGCTGCTGGCCAGAGCCACAGACCCTCACCTGTGACCTCGCCTCACCACAGGACAGCTGGTCTCCCCCCAGAGCAGGGGATCCAAGAGAGACAGGCTGGCGGAAGCTACAACATCTTGTATGACTTCTGCTGTATTCTACTGGTCATAGGACCAGCCCTGATCCAGAGAGGGAGGGGATGACACCTGAGTGTGAATACCAGGAGGCGGGGATCCCCGGACCATCCTGGAGAAGACATACCACAGTCTGCTCATGTAGACAAAGACCTATTTTTTAAGGGCCCAGAGCTAACAAAAGGTTTTTACATCTTAAAGGGCTTTCCTTAAAAAGGAAAATAAAGCAGCATATGTGACAGAGACCACAGGTGGCCTGCAAAGCTTAAAATATTTACTATATGGTCTTTATAGAAAAAGTCTGATGACCTCCGATGTACACTGTACTTTACAGATGATTTAAGGGATCTTTCAAGGCTAATTCTTCCTCTGTGCCATGTTCTCTTTATGCTCGGACTTTAGAATCTATCTCCCAAGTGAGCAACTCTATTGAAACAGGTGCTCAGCGAACTGTAGCTCTGAATATTATAGTGGCAAGCACTAAGAAATGAACAGCTCATCATAACCTGAACAGAAAGATAATAATCAACAGTTCCTTGTCCATAAGTAGGTGTCTGATAAATACAAACTCAGTGAATGAATGACTAAATGGATACGAAATACTACAAAGACGCATCTTGAAAGTATGGAGCTATCATGACAATAAAAATATCTTTAACCAACGATTTACAATATAAACACAACAACATGTGAAGGTGCTATAATAACATTAACAGCTGAAATTTATCGAGGGCTAACTCTATGCCAAGTATTGTCAAGCATTCTCGTATTCACGCCTCATATGCTAAGGCAGGTGTAATTAGTTGCCTTCATTTTACAGATGAGCAAATTGAGGCTGACGGAAATTAAGTAATTTCCCCTGGATTACACTGATACATAAGTAGCGGGGCTATTTTCTCTTAGCAAACTACATAAAAAAATAAAGAGCAACTCTGCATCCTGAATGTCATGCCTGAGATGAGCTTGCTGAAAGCGCAGCAGAGACAGCAGCCCTCTGCTGGCCCAGGCTTCTCCTCCATCCCTTCTCGCTCCCTCCCTTCCTCACACTCAGCTGGCTGGGATCCCAACCCAGGGACTCCAAGAAGGGCCCAGCTCCGGGCTCCCTATGTAAGCAAGGTCACAGAGACTTGAAATGGGTGATTGAACCTAATTACTCACTGCTCTGCTCCCTCTATCCAAAGAGAGCTTGAAAACATTTTCACTGAGGTCTTTGCTGAGATTGCAGACTCAGCACAGGACCTGCCTCCTGCTTTCCTAAATGAGCGAAGTGGCTTGCAGCGGCTCTAGCTCTGGGGCCAACAAGGTTTTGACGCTTGAATTAGGAGAGGGCAGAGAGAAGGCTGCAGCTCTTGCAGCAAAATGCAGGGCTGTCAGGTATACACCCAGGACACACTGCAGCCACTGCAACAGAACAGAACTGAGCTCTAGGCCACGGGTTTCCTAGGCGGACATAAAGAGATCTCACTCTCCCTGAATGGCCTTGGAGATGGCTCAAAGTGTCCACTCTTCCCAGATTCTTGCACCTGAGGGTACAGGACTTGCTCAAGACTATACAGCCAGTGTCAGAGACAAAGTTCACTGATGCTAATTCAAATTTTCCCACATTTTGGATTCTGCTCTTGGAAAGCTTGAAGTCCAGTTGGTTGAAAAGACAGTTGATGATGACAAGTTCTGGAGGGAAGAGGACCTGGGCAGAGGGAACCTGGACTAGAGGCTGAGTGTACCTGTGTCAGGGCCAGAAAGAGAGGGGCCAGGATAAAGGCAGACAGAGGAAGTCAGAGGCCTGGAACAAAGTGGGGCGTGAAGGGGAACATGTGTGACTATCTGGACAGGAGAGTCAGCTGACCAAGGACAAGGGCAAAGACTGTCAAAGGGCACTGAGGGACCAGCTGAGAGCAGAGACATGAATCTGTGTCAATAACACACCACTGTGACCTCAAAGGGATTCTCATAAATACAGCTGTCCAATCCCCGCACAGTAAACATGCAAGCCACAACAAGATGATCACCTCCCTCAGTCCACCCTGATTATGAGATAATCATCATCCACAAAAATATTATTCCCATGCCTAACAAGCAAAGGGAGGAGGGGCCCTCTAGTCTGCCCTTGTAAACAGACACTTGCAGGAAGGGAAAATAGGGAAGAAAGGGGCTTTGACGTCAGAGACCAGTTTAGGTCCCAATTCTGCCACTTACTAGCTGCATGATCTTGAGCAAGTTACTGGATGCTCAGTGACCTGGTTTTCTCATCTGTAAAATCACAATCATACTACCTACCCCAAAGAACTCTTGTGATGATTGAAAGCAACATGCTTAGCTCACAGACAGCTGTGACAAATTGTTTGCAGTAATGGCCAAACGATTCCCTGCTCCTCATACCCACAGCTTGGCAAGATGACTTTGCACTCTCCTGTTAGAAGGGCGGGTAGAAGGAGGGGGCAGGTCTCTCTCTCCCTTCCCCTTGAATCTGGGCTGGCCTGTGGCCTGCTTTAGCCAATGAAATAAAGTAGAGGTAACTGTGCGGCTTCTGACCTGGGGCCTCAGGGCTGCCCCCCTTCCCCGACCAGGTGAGCAACCCCACTACGGGAGGGACCCTGGGCTAGCCTGCTGGAGGCCCAGGGATAAGCCCTCCCAGCAGCTGATTGTAGACACTTGAGGAACCCTAGGCAAGACCAGGAGCCCAGCAGCCCAGCCTGAACTGCCAGCTGCAGAAGTGTAAACTAGGTGCCCAGTTGTTATTTAAGCTCCCTAAATAGCGGGGTGATTTGTCAGCAAGGACTGTAAATACTCAATGCACCACAGCTGATAATCAGGACTTCTCTCTCGTCCGGCAATTCTCCTGGTCTTGAGCGATGTTTCCATCTCTACCAGGTCATTCCCATCAGCATTCAACCTTGCCATTATTTCACCCTTTATGAAAAAACTTTCCCTTGACCGCAATACCCTTAACAACTACCACCTTGTGTCTTCACTCCCGCTTTCAGCAAAACTCCAAGAACGCCCATGCTCCCTGTGGCCAATTCTCCTCTGCTCATTCTTTGACACTTTCACACCCAACACTCCACTGACACTTTTTTTTTTTTTTTTTTTTCTGAGGTGCAGTTTTGCTCTTGTTGCCCAGGCTGGAGTGCAATGGCGTGATCTTGGCTCACTGCAACCTCTGCTTCCCAGGTTCAAGTGATTCTCCTGCCTCAGCCTCCTGAATAGCAGGGATTACAGGCATGTGCCACCATGCCTGGCTAATTTTGTATTTTTACTAAAGACAGGGTTTCTCCATGTTGGTCAAGCTGGTCTCAAACTCCCGACCTTAGGTGATCCGCCCGCCTCGGCCTCCCAAAGTGCTGGGATTACAGGCATGAGGCACTGCGCCTGGCCCCACTGACACCTCTTGTCAAGGTCTCCAGTGACCACTATGTTACTGAATGCCAAGGCCAAGTCTTGGTCCTCAAGGGATTTGACCCAGTCAGCATCATGTGTCACCGAAGCCCCCTCTCTGCCTCCTCCTCAGGAACACTTTCTGCAGTTGGCTTCTGAACACCAGTCTCCTGCTTTCCCCCTACCTTCCTGGAAGGTCTTTCGAGGTTTCTGCTGGTGCTCCCTCATCTCCTCCACCTCCTAATGCTGGAGTGCTCTGGGGCTCAGGCTTTGGCCCCTGCTCTTCTCTGACTTACTTGCTGGTATCTCACCCAGTCTCATAGCTTTAAACACCATCTTTATGTCAACAACTCTCAAAAAAGCCTACACTTCTTTTCTGAACTCCAGATTTTTATACTCCAGATTTTAATGGCCTAATGGCCACCTCCTTGTAGCTCTCTGACAGGCACCTCAAACTCACTCTGTACCCACACAGCCCCAATCATCCCCCACAATCTGTGCCACTGAAGCTCTCCTGCTTCGAAAGTCAACCTTCCGATGCTCAGGAGAAAACCACTGGGGTCGTCCTAGACTACTCTTTCTCTCTTTCACCCCATACTCAACCCCTCAGTAAATCCCACTGGCTCTCCCTTCCAAGTCCTTACAGTCATCTCAAGGCCTGGCTTCATCTGCCATGGGTCTCCAGCCTCCGCCCTAGTCACACATTCCCAGGTCAGGGCCTCTGCGCCACCTCTTCCTTTTCCGGAGCGCGCCTGCCCAGACATCTGCAACACACAGGATTCTGCTCCTTATTTCTGATCACTCTCCCTTTCCATCACATGTAAAACTAACAACCCTCTTCCCCTGTCCATCCTGTCCCCTTCCCTGGCTCCTCTATATGATACCTGTCATCCAAAAGCCTACATATTATACTTGTTCATATGTAAACTAAAAACTCCAGAGGGCAGAGATGTCTTATTTTCCTCATTAGGTATCCCCCGTGCCTGGAACAGTGGAGACACAGGACCTGTTCAATAAACATTTGTTGGATGAATGAACATCCAATCAATAAATGAACAAATATAGAAACAATAGAATTTTTTTTAGTACAGTGTCCCATTTAATAGTAAAGGAAAAATGCTGAAAGCCTCTATAGTCAATCATGAGGTTCTACAAACCTTCCACTGTCTGTTTTCTCCTTATTACAGTGGTGAGAAGAAGAAGGAGGTCTCCATTTGCATAGATGGAGACCTGAATGTGTGTGTGCCGGAGAAGCCAGAAGGCTCGCTGAGCAACCCCAGTCAAACAGGAGGCTGCTTGTTCGTAGCCTGCAAGTGAAGAATGGTTTTCATATTTTTAAATGATTTCACTTTAAATCGTTTTATGGGTATCTACATAATAGTCTTACTTTTGCTTCTTGGGCCTGCAAAGCATAAAATATTCATGACTTGGCACTTTTAGAAGTTTACCAACCCCTGGAGGCAAACTTCTCGGTAGTCCACAAGGCCCCCTGAAACAGTTATCCAGGTATTTCAGCAAAAAGTGACATCTGAAATCAAGTGCCTTAGAAGCAATCAGTGAAAAGTGATTGGAAAAGTGATTAAAGTGGGCACTGGCCATGGCTATTATCTAAAATAATGGTGACACCCTCTATGCAGCTGGGAAAGAAATAGCCAAACACGGAAATGTATTTTACGCACGTTCCCAGGGTAAAGCATATCCGAAAACCAATGGCTACGGATAGATATTGTTCTAAATTTGGAGGTATCTGATGACAGAATGAAGTTTCCTTCCCTTTTCTTACCCACACCCAAAACTACACCCATACTTCTCATGAGAAAAATTCTGTCACACTTAGGGTTTCCCTTTCCAACATCTGATCTTTCACTTAAGAAAAAACCGATTTCCAGGACACTTTAGTTACATGTCAACTGCTCCCAAATGGAAGCTCCTAATATACACAGACCTTTCAGTGCCATGCCTGGCAAATAGGAAGCCACTGGCATTATTGTAATACTGTATCCCAATATGTTATTATTGTATCATTGTTACATATATTATTGCATCATATGTTATATATGATACAATACATAATGGATTGCATATACAATGTATTGAATATTCTGTAACATGTAAATATAAAATCATAACATATACAGTATGTTGTATGGTTTTATATTATTACATGCGTTATTATATCACTGTTATATTGCTATCCTAACTTAGGAGACACAAAGCCACACTCTAGCTGCAGGGCTTCAGACAAGTTACTTCACTTCTAGAAGCCTCAATTTCTTCATTGGCAAAATTAGGGAATAATTTGAGATTTTTACTCTTCTCTTCTAGCTCAAGATGTCTGTGATTCCAAAGTCATGTTAAATAATCTTTTGTTTACCTTTCTCTCCTACCCTGAACCAGTTTATGACTACATCCCAATATGGCCTCTAACCTCACTGATGAACCAATGGCCTTGTCCGTTCTATTCACTCCAACGCCCTGACGTTCTACACTAGTTGATTCAAACTACCCTCCCAGCAAACTGTTTAATGTATCTATTTTCCTAACAATTGAATTGATGCTCTTGTCATCCATATGCAGTTAGGGAAATGGTTAGCTCTCTACAGAAGCAGCGAAGAGGGATTGCTGGGTCATTAGTCACGCTGCCTAACAGTAAGCATTACATTAACAATGTTAACAACACTTCTGGGCTCACTCTGTCTCTTTCATGTGAAGAAACTCAAGTATTTAATAATCATTGCTCTCTGGAAGGCAGAAGACAAAAAGTTGTGATGGTAATTGGGTACGCTTAAATAAAGCCTCATGTCTCCTTTCTATGAAACTCAGCACTTGAATGAGATTGAGTCAAGCCCAAAGCAAATGACTGTGGGAAATTAAATTTTATAACAAAATGGATTCTTAACACCGATAATGGCTTTTGAACTTCCCATACCCTTTCTCTGAGTCCCGTGCCATCAGATAATTCATCAAAATGGTGTTTGTAAGTGTAGTTTAAGTTTTACAAGAGGAACGATTTCAAAATAATATTCAGTGCTGATGTGCTTGAGAGTAACTGGTAAATTTATACATCACTCATGAAAATGCATCACTTTTGGAAAACAACAAGGCAAGATCCTTAAAGCTATTTCTATGTTCCTGGCTTGGGAACTTTACACTGGGAACTTATCCTAAGGACATCATCCAACAGAATCACAAAACTATATTAATGAAGCTACTTACTGCTGCCTGACCTGTAAAAAGTGGAAATAATTTCGATATTCAACAGCAGGTGAATGATTTCATAAGTTATGGAACAGTAACATGATGGAATGTCATAGTCATAGCAGTTATTAAGACCACATAGAAGCATAAAATTAAAAGAAAAAAAAGCAAAATTATTTGCATACGATGACAATTCTATGAAAAATATGCATCGTGCAGCCGCTCTGAAAAAGAATAATGGCACTGACTAACACTTTTGCCGCCTCACTATGTTTTAGGTCATTCACTCATTCATTCATTTTAAGACAGGGTCTCAGTTCACCCAGGCTGAAGTGCGGGGAGGATCACCTGAGCCCAGGAGGCAGAGGCTGCAGTGAGTCATCACCATGCCACTGCATGCGTGCCACCACGCCCAGTTAATTTTATTTTTTAAAATTTTTTGTAGACAGGGTCTCACTGTGTGGTCCAGGCTGGTCTTGAACTCCTGAGCTCAAGTGATCCTCCTACCTCAGCCTTCCAAAGTGCAGGGATTATAGGTGTGAGCCATCATGCCCGGTCATTTATGTCTTTTAGGCTTAGCCACTCAACATGCATTTTCTTGTTTGCATTTTGTCCGTTTGTTCCAATGTTTTTCTTTAATAATGTAACATCATTTCAACCAAAATTAAATGTAACTTCTCTGTATGTGGCCTAAAAGCAATAACAATAATAAACTGACTGGATACTGACTGCACGCCAGGCACTGTCCTAAGCACTTTGCATGGACAGACTCCTTCATCCTCACAACATCCTATGAAGTGGGCCCTATTTGCAGATGAGGAAATTGAGGCCCAGAAATTAAGTAACTTGCTGAAGGACAGCCAACTAGAAAGTGGGAGAACAAAGACTCCACCCTGGCACCTGGGCTCCAGAGTTCTAAAGAAATTTTCAAAGAAATTCAACACCATAAAAAGCACTCCTATGATCCCTCAGCTCAGCCAAACCGATGCTGTCTAAGCAGGTACTGAATGCTCCAGGAGCTAGCACATATGAAAGGCAGTGACCACTGCTGATGGTCATTGATGCACAGCCTGCAAAGGGTCCTTCAAGACCATCAGGCATGCGATACCTTAAGCTGAGAGACAGAAACAGGTGGAGAATTACCCAAACTCACACAGCCATTGGGATTGGGATGAAGCCAGGCAGATAATCCATGTCCATGGATCTGGTAAATCCAGGGTTCTCTTTACTATGCAATGCATAACAAGAATCACTAATATTCATTAAATGCTCACTGTATGCTAAGGGCTATAACCCCTTTATGTGAATTATCTCATTTAGTGCTCACGGTAGTCCTTCAAAGTACGCATTATTATTAATCTCATTTAGAGATCAAGACACAGGCCTGGAAATGTGAAGTAATTTGTCTTGTCTTACTTATTAGCTAGAAGGCACTGAGCCGGTGGTTATTGCAGCACCCAGCCCTTGTGCATTCTGGATCAATATTAATTAGCTGGCACACGGGCATCCAGCTGCCCCAGATGCTACTTTGCTATCTAGTGTGCAGAGGCAAGTCTAAACACCTTTGCTGGCTGGAATCCAAACATTTCTAAATTTGCCCCTATGGCAGAGCAACCACTGGCATTCAAAACTGAGGCAAATCCTTAACTCACCCCCTGCCACCCCCAGCCCCACCTGGGCCTGCCAATCTGCTTCCAGCACAGCAAATCCCACAATCTGCCAAGGTCTGTGGGCTGAAGCTTTTTATACTCAGCTCTTCTACTAAGGGTGTTAATTTCATTCGCTCACACCCACACTGTGTACAAACATGCAAATCATTAACATTTCCATTTACCAGGCTGGTATGGCCTGGAGCTGCTGGGATTTTTGAAGGAGATAACAATTCAATTTGCAATTACTGCTGCAATTTTTAATTCCCAAGGAAACTTCTGTCAGTGCTGTACTCCCGAGAGCCAAAATGAACACTGTAAGCAACTCTTCAAATCATTTCGAAAGAGAGGGAAAAAAAGAGAGGAAAGGAAGGAATGAAAGGAAAGGAAAGAAGGAAAGGAGCCAGTCAGGCAGGGTGCCTGCCTGCCTGCCTACCTCTGGGAGGGCAGGATTATAAGCCTATTTCAGAGAAGTTCAATTTAGCTCTAAATTTCAAAGTTTCCTCCAGCTGTATGAATCAACAACTAAATGTTGATTCTTTAGGAGGGGCTTTTGTGAAGTAATATTTGCAACTGAACAATCATCAACACATTTACTGTTTGTAAACTCAGAATTGCTGTGGGATAGAGGAAGGTGTACCTATTTTCATTCTCCAGTGTTACTACTTTGGGCAGTTAAAGGCTAAGAATGAACATTTCCAGGTCCCAAATAACCACCTGCCACCTTCCAAGTCCCAAAGACACCTGCTGGCACTGGTAACTACTATTTATTGCACGTCCACTGTGCACTGTGCACCAGGAACCACCATGCCCTGCATAAGCCTACCCTTCTTCATACCAGCAGGGAAACTGCAGCCAGGGAGCACTCACAGAGGGCACATGTGCCAGGCACCGTGCAAGTGCTGGGGACAAAACAATGAACCCTGCGACTGCCCGCCCTCAGGTGGTTTACAATCAAGTGGTAAACAGATCAATTAAAAAAAAAAAACCATGGATGTAAATTAAATAACACAATAAGATGCAGTCATTTGGAACAGGCCACTGTAGACGAGGAAAGCGAGGGCATTTGGCCTTAGAAAATGCATCTGTTCAAGGTCAAAGAGCAGGCTGGGCCACAGCTCTGGCTGGAACTCTCAGGGTCACACTTGAGCCACTGCTTCGTCCCACTCCCCATCTTATTTTTTTCTGTTTGGGGCCTGCTGGAACTCACTGCGGTAATACAAATGAGTCAGATTTCTCGACCACGAGAAGCATCCATTAATGTAAAAAACATTTTCTTGTTTGGGGTTGGTCCTGAGAGCTATCAAAAAATAAAAACCAGAACCATAAGTCAGACAGTATAATGGTCCCCTCATCGGGTATGTGTCCCACACTGTCTCAAATCACTAGAGAAGCTTCTCTAGCAGGCATCAAATGCTCTGTAGGGTGACAGCAGGTGGAGGCTGTAAGACTCATGTTTTTCACACTAGTGTTCTGCCTCTGCGGCTTTTCAACTCCCCAGGTGTAGGACATGGAAACACACGTAAATGATCTAAATGGCAGATAACAGTTTCCTTTAAATTTGCCTTTGGAATGCACTCTGGGCCTGCCCTTCCTAATCATGATCATCTTTGGCTCTGGTTAAAGTCTTATTCTCCAGAGCTCCTAACACAGGGGAATCCGGGCAGAAATCAGGGGCCGCCTGGTCTGTCCCAACTGTCTGTAGCAAATCCACATAACGATATGCCCAGGATTCCCATTCACTTGTTCCTAAACTAGACACAGACCATGCTACTTTGCCCTGGAACCTGGGGCCATCATCCACCCACCAAGATTTCACAACCACGTTGAATGTGGGCTGCAGATCAGGGTCATGGTGGTGCCCTGACATTCTTCTTCTTTTTTTTTTTGAAACAGGGGTTTTGCTCTGTCACCCAGGCTGGAGTGCAATGGTGCAATCTTGACTCACTGCAACCTCCGCCTCCTAGGTTCAAGCAATCCTCCCACCTCAGCCTCCTGAGTAGCTGGGACTACTTGCGCGCGCCACCATGCCTGGTTAATTTTTTGTATTTTTGGTAGAGATGGGGTTTCGCCATGCTGCCCAGGTTGGTCTTGGTTTCGAACTCCTGAACTCAAGTGATCCGCCTGCCTCGGCCTCCCAAAGTGCTGGGATTACAGGTGTGAGCCACTGCATCCAGTGTGCCTGGGAATCTTTAATTCCAGTTTGTAAACACTGTTCTATAATCCCATTTCCAAAATGTAAGCAACCTTTCAAGAAAAAGACAAATAAACTGTGAAGGACCACTCCCTATCCCTGTTATTTCGGCTCTTCAGCAGGACACCATGCGCTATGAAAAACGGCTTTTCCTTCTGAGATGGACTTTGGACCGCAGTCCCCGGGTCTATCAGCCCAAACAAATAAAACCCTATGCGCCAAAGATGTGCTCCTGGTCAGTGGGGCCTGTGAAGGCTTAAAAACCAGAACTGCTCTGTTCTCTTCTTTAATCTCCAATTCACTGTGGATCTTGAAATCCCTACTACCAACAGTGGTCCTACCACTCTTCTCATTTAAATTACTGAACACAACTAAACAAAACCACAAAATAAAACATCAAACCTGTCTGTCTGTATACCCAGCTGCTTCCAATGAAAATCTTCAGACATTTTAACTCATGGTTTTCTAAGGAGAACCAGAGACAATCCAAACGTAAGTAAACATATTAAATTTCTATTCTAAAAGTGGTGCTTTTAAGTAGTTGGATCAATGCTGATTTTCTCCTGGCTGGCTGGAGACACCAGCCCACACGGTGCTGAATTCAGAAGAGTACCGCATCTTGGTCTGCTTCAGTAAATACCGGTGTCTGCTAAGGCCCATTCTGAAGACACTGTACTATGTATGACACAGTCAGAACTGGTTCTTTATTTTAATGTGTAAAAATACATGAAAGAAAGTATAACAAACCTCATATATCGATGACCTGGACTCTAACACTTGTTAAACTTATCCCATTTTGCTTATCTTAGGTCCCCATTTATTTATACAGTATATTTTGCTGAACCTGTTTTTTTATTTTGATTTTTTCTTTTTTGAAACAGAGGCTCTCTCTGTTGCCCAGGCTGGAGTGCAGTGGCATGACCTCAGCTCACTACAACCTCCGCCTCCTGGGCTCAAGCAGTTCTTGTGCCTCAGCCTCCCGAGTAGCTGGGATTACAGATGTGCACCAGCACGCCTGGCTAATTTTTGTATTTTTAGTAGAGATGGGGTTTTATCATGTTGGCCAGGCTGGTCTTGAACTCCTGGCCTCATGTGATCTGCCTGCCTCGGCCTTCCAAAGTGCTGGGATTACAGTATTGTTTTTAATTGGAGAAAAGGCATACAAATTTATTAACGTGTATACAGGGAAAATCACAGAGTGATTATGATTTTAGAGAGTAAATTATAGATAGCATAACTCTTCACCCTTAAATACTTCAGCATGACTATTCAAAAAAGCACACACTCCTACATGACTCAGCACCGTTTCACACATAATCACATGAGCAACAGTTCCTCATTATAATCCACCATGGAGTTCATATTCAAATTTCCCGAACTGTCCCCCAATGTCTTTAATAGCCGTTTTGTTCAAACTTGGATCCAATCAAGGATTGCTAAGGAGTACCCTTTCCAAAGTAACATGTTAGACAAAAGAATGACTCACAGAAAGTCAGAAGGGCTGGAACCTGACAGTAAATTAGCATCCCACCTACTTTCTTTTTAAGAGAAAATGATCTATGATTTGACAAACAGCAACTGCTCTTAATATTTCCATGCATTTTCTTCCAGTTATTTGTTTTCTTTTCATAAACACACCCATATATGCAGTTGTGAAAAAACTGTCTTGCTACTGATCAAATGCTACCGCAACTTCTTCTGGCAAGAGGAGGCAAAGACCTGGTGAAGTCTCGCATATGTCATCTCTGGCATGCCTGCCAGCCGGCCGGTCTCCTGGGTCAATAACTGTGATAAAAGGCCGCTGAGTGCGTCAACAGACTGTCCTGCACTGAGACACTATTAAAGGTCCTTGAGCTCCAAATGTACCACTGCACTGCTCTGTGGCCCTGCCAACTTCCTCCTCCTCAAGCTGACATGACCCCAAGCCCTAGAGAGACAGAGTAGGTGTTAAGAGAGGCTGTTGTCCCACTTCCTGGGTGTCCAGGATGGATAAATGAAAGATTTTACAGAAAGTACCTTGAAAGTACTTTGGAACTTTTGGAAGTGCTATATATTTAAAAGCTGTTAATAACATTATCTAAATCAAAAAATATCACAAAAGCCTCAAACTCCTAGATATCAAAGCTTTGACCTGGGATATTTCTTTTTCTTTCTTTCTTTTTTTTTTGAGACAGTTTCACTCTGTCACCCAGGCTGGAGTGCAGTGGCGCAATCTCGGCTACTGTAACCTCCACATTCTGGGTTTAAGCGATTCTCCTGTCTCAGCCTTATGCCTGTAGCTGGAAATACAGGTGCCCACCACCAGGCCTGGCTAATTTTTGTATTATTAGTAGAGACGGGGTTTCGCCAGGTTGGCCAGGCTGGACTCGAACTCTTGACCTCAAGTGATCCGCCTACCTTGGCCTCCCAAAGTGCTGGGATTACAGGCGTGAGCCCCTGTGCCTGGCTGACTTGGAACATTTCTAAAAAAGTAAAAATGTTCAGCCAGGCGCGGTGGCTCACACCTATAATCCCAGCACTTTGGGAAGCTGAGACAGGTGGGTCATGAGGTCAGGAGTTCAAGACCAGCCTGGCCAAGATGGTGAAACTCCATCTGTACTAAAAATACAAAAATCAGCTGGGCGTGGTGGCGGGTGCCTGTAATCCTAGCAACTCAGGAGGCTGAGGCAGAGAATTGCTTGAACCTGGGAGGCGGAGGTTGCAGCGAGCTGAGATCATGCCACTGCATTCCAGCCTGGGCGACAGAACGAGACTCCATTTCAAAAAAAATAAAAATTTTCAACAGACACATACTGCACCAAATGAAACATCTCGAGCTGAACTAAACTCTCAGCCAAACCAAGCCATCATATTGAGAGAGGAATCATCTTATTCCTCAGGAGAATTGTGAATTTTCTTGAAATCATGTTGGACTACCTGTGCTTTCTGCTCTGGAAGGTGATTCCCCAGGCACTTCAGCTCTGCTGCTGGGCCAGTCTCTCAGAGAAAACTGCCTCCTTGCTTCTTCCTGGAAAGGAAGCCCAGGGCTTTCTTACCTTGTTTCCAGGGGTACAGATGACTTCGTTTCAAGGGCTTCTGTTTTTCAATAGCATTGCCCATTTTAAAGCCAGAGGACACAGGGCCCTTCCCAGCCCCAGCGTCTTTCCGGAGCAGCAACTGAGGACCGAGTCACTGGCTGAAAGGGGATATCTCTTGGACATCCCAAACCACCCAGCGGCAGAACCCAGGCAGCCTCACAAGGGAAGCCTGAGGAATCTCATTCTCAAGTCTTTGCCTTCTGCCTTTCAAAATCCCTTTGGCCCCAGGGAGGAAATCAGAAGAAAGGGCTTGTTATCGCCCTACCGGTGCCTCTCAGGCATGGTCTATATTAAGAAGCTCTTTCCTCAGCATCCTTTTGACACTTTATTACTCATCAGCACAACAGCGGCTTGCAAGATGAATTTTATGTCCAAATACTTTTAATACCACTTTTCTCCGCAGGAGAAATGGGGAATCAGGTGATCAAAATGCTGAAAGTCATAAATGAACCATTCTGGGGCATGCCAGGAGAAACATTTTCATACAGACCCTTATGCCACGCCTTCTATTTCAGAGTCCCACGCTCAGACCAGTGTGCACCACGTAACAAGTACTGTCAGAGAAAACAAGCTGATTTCACTAATGCTGTGTTTCCAAGGGAAACACAAAACGAAACAAAACATCAAAACACTGCTACACCTCAGTCTCCAAAGAAGAAAACACCTTGGGGACAAATACAGCTAAGAATTTATAACCCCAAGCTCCAAACTCCCACTGCACTTTGGGAACAATTTTGCTGGAGAAAGTGCTACGCTACCTAAATTCTGAACAAAGGGTTTTCTAGAAGAAAAGAAGGGAATGAAATCAATCACATATTCTTGGTAAAAAGGAAGACAATGTCGAGGTGGATGAAAAGATTTCATTTATTTCAGTCCCAGAGTTTGAGGTTATAAAAGCCCCTAAAGAATCCCCACAGCATAATATGGGTAAGAATGCAGGCTCTGAGCCGGGCGAGGTGGCTCACGCCTGTAATCCCAGCACTCTGGGAGGCTGAGGTGTGTGGATCACTTCAGGCCAGGAGTTCAAAACCAGACTGGCCAACATGGTGAAACCCTGTCGCTACTAACAATACAAAAATTAGCCGGGCGTGGTGGGACGAAGCTGTAATCCCAGCTACTTGGGAGGCTGAGGCAGGAGAATCACTTGAACCTGGGAGGTGGAGGCTGCAGTAAGCCGAGATCACACCACTGCACTCCAGCCTGGGTGCAAATACTAGCTCTTCCCCTTGGCTTTGCCAGTTGAGCACAGCAGCCTCAGTTTCCTTATCTGTTAACTGGGCATAATTCCAGTCTCACCTCCTCAGCTGTAATAAGAATCAAACAAAAGAGAACATTTGTGAAGTACGTAGCATGCTGCCTGACACTCAGGAGGTCCCTGGTGAATATTTAACTTTTTTTTTTTTTTTGGAGTCAGGGTCTTGCTGTGTCACCCAGGCTGGCGTGCAGTGGTGCAATCATGGCTCACTGCAACCTCAACCTCCCTGGCCCAAGCAATCCTCCTCCCTCAGCCTCCAAAGAAGCTAGGACTACAGGTGCATGCCACCTCGCCTGGCTAATTTTTAAATTTTTTTGTAGAGACAGGGTCTCCCTATGTTGCTCAGGCTGGTCTCAAACTCCTGGTCTCAAGTGAACCTCCTGCCTCAGCCTCCCAAAGTCCTGGGATTACAGGTGTGAGCCACTGCACTGTGCCTATTATCACCTTTTTTTTTTTTTTGAGACAGAGTCTCACTCTGTCACCCAGGCAGGAGTGCAGTGGTGCAATCTCAGCTCACTGCAACCTCTGCTTCCTAAGCTCAAGTGATTCTCTTGCCTCAGCCTCCTGAATAGCTGGATTACAGGTGTGCGCCACCACACCCAGCTAATTTGTGTATTTTTAGTCGAGATGGGGGATCTGCCACGTTGGCCAGGCTGGTCTCAAACTCCTCACCTCAAGTGATCCGCCCGCCTCGGCCTCCCAAAGTGCTGGGATTACAGGCGTGAGCCACCACGCCCAGCCCTTCATCACTTTTATAATTGTAGACGGAAAATACATTAGCTTAGGTGGCAGATATCTGGCTTCGGTCAATTTAGTCAAAAGCACCAAAGTAAATTTATTTTACAGAGTTGGATGGTACAAAATGGGAGCAAGTATAGAACCGGAGTAATATTTGGGACAACATTCCAAAAAAGACCCACAGAACCAGAGAGACCAAGTTTAAGAGGCACTTAATGCTCTGTTAAGTTTCTGGGCGCAGTGGGCCACTGTGTTAAACCAGGCCCTTCCTTTCTGAAGGAAGGGGAAATAATCTTTCCAATTTATGCAAAACAGACAAAAACCAAAATCCAAATCTCTACAAGATCTTAAGGCCTCATAATTGATCTACCAATACAGAGATCATTTTTGCAAAATCACGGCCTGAGAGTCCAAACTTGGCAAAGCAAATGGCATGTGTCTGTCGCACCGTCTCCAATGAGGTGGCAGGAAAGAGCATGGGTGCAGAGGCTCCCTGTTTCCCTCACAGAGCCCGCAAGCTCCTCCCCAGATTAAACTGCAGCCACAAACTGGAATAAAGCACAGGGAACCCCCACCACGCGAGAGGGGTCCAGTGAAAACTAACAGTTGCACAGCAGAATACCTGGCACACAGTAGGTGCTTAATAACTCTCTGTTGAATAAATGAGTGGATAGGTGACAGAATAAACCAATGAGAATTATCCCCAACATACACACACTGATTGTCCCCACCCCCTGGAATGCATTAACCAGAGTTTCTAATCCATAAACAACCTCTCCTCTCCTAGCAAGAGTCAGAGGGTATGGGCGGCTGGGGCGCTGTTTCCTCCACTTCCCCACTCCTTAGCTCAGGCCACTCTGGGCCCTGGAATTTCTTCCCTATCAGGAGTGCGAAGCCCCTGAAGTCAGGAGCCGTGTCTGGGGCAGCTCCTCCTGGCGCCTGTGCACACAGACAACAATGGGTCACAGTTACAGAACCTGGGCTCAGGTGTGCCCTCTCTCGTTTCTCAGCTGGGGGCCAACACATTTGTAACTGTGTTTCCATGAAAAAACGCATCCTAGGTTCCAAACAACTAATATACTGATGAACCTTTAGAATGAACTGGACATTTTTCCTTGAGAGAACAGCTTTGAAATGAGGACCCTGTGGTCCAACCCTTCTCAATCATGGCTCCCCCAAAATAACTCCAATGTGAACTGTTCAGGGGTAGGGGGAGGGGGAGAGCAACAGAATAACCTAATCTTAAGAATTCCTCTCTAATCCCCAGCTCAGAAAGCGTCTTTTACAGTCATCCCCTCTGCAGTGTCCCAGACTAAGCAAACAAACAAAAAAACATAGAGCCATCCCCAAAGACCAATATGCTTGCAATCCAAGATGGGCAAGCGACCCATCTCCAGTCCACATTTCAGGGAGACAACAGAAAATTTTTCTGATTCTTCACAAATGGGAAGAATCAAAAGTGAACTGTTACCAGAAGCAGAAGGCTGACTGCACAGCCACTGTGATGAGTTTCCAAGCCTTGCACAAATACGCCGAGAACGCTGTGGCTGTACGAACTGCCTTCAATCAGACCCGACCTGGCCATGTGTTATCAAGGTCACTCCTTCAGGTATGACTACTCCAAGCCTCAAATCTCTGTAAAACCCAAGGAGATCCACAAGATCATCTGCTCCAGCGACTCCCTTCCCCATTTCACAGATTCCTCAGAGAGGGGCAGGGATCAACGCTAGGCATTTAGTTGGAGGGCTGGATCCAGCCCCCAAATCTTTATCCTTGGCTAGGAAAACCTCTGCTACCCATTTCCTCATGACCAGAGGAGGCAGGAGGGCAGTGTGAAGGAATTGGCTTTGAAGGCCAGCTGGCCTGGTTTGAATCTATGGGGGCACTTCCTAGCTGAACAACTTTGGGATAGAAACTAAACCTTTCCACACCTTGTATTTTCACATACATTCATGTGTACCATTATGCTGTCTACTTCATGGGTAGTTTAAAGGTTAAATAAGAATTCAGACTTGGGAGGCTGAGGTGGGAGGTTGAGGCAGGAGAATCATTTGAGCCCAGGAGGTCAAGACTGCAGTGATTTGTGATCACACCACTGCACTCCAGTCTGGGCCACAGAGCGAGAACCCATCTCTAAAAAACTAAACTAAAATAAAGATGTTTAAAATTTGTTGGTACACAGCAGATACTCAATGAGAATAGCTGTCACTGTTTTTATTATTATTACCTATAAATCTCCAAGCTTTAGATACAATACATTGAAAAAAATTATTTACCCTCACTAGGGATTTTCTCCCCCATATCAGAGTAAGATCCACTGCAATATTCTAGTAAATAATCATTCTCTTAGTATAATTAAAATAAAATTTATCTTACAAACATCTGTACCTCAGGAATAATTTTTTTTTTTAAGAGACAGGGTCTCCCTATATTGCCCAGGTGGCCTCAAACTCCTAGGCTCAAGTGATCCTCCTGCCTCAGCCTCCCGAGTAGCTGGACTCCAGGAGGAATGATATTTTGATTGTGGAACATGACATAAGCCAGAGGGGTAATATTGTGGCCACTGAAGTAGGAAACATTTTAAGGAGTGCCTGTCCCTACACGCAAGACGCTGTTGGCTCCAGACGAACTCTGAGTCAGGATCCTGCAAGGCGGTGCTCACTTCTTGAAGGAGATTTTTTTTTTTTTTTAGATAGAAATGGCTCAGAAGGGAAGGGCTCGTGGATCCCTGTAATGTGCACACTCACCCACCCAGAACCAAAGAAACAGAGGCTGGGCTCTCAGGCGGGTACCCGGTAGCTCACACAAAGCTTTGTGTATGGAATTTGTCTGCTGGGAGGAAAGTCTGATGTTGGTCACTTCCCTCCTGGAGAAAAATACAACAATACGAGGAAGCGCCAAGCACTGTGGGAATGTTCCAAGTGTGAGTTCCAGCTCAGCCCAGAATATAAACAAAAGCGATGACCAGCCTGGAGGTCAGGCCTAGCAAAGCACTGAGGCAGAAAGTCTGGGAGGCACTCTTCTGTCTTCTGGGGTCCTCTAGACTCTGCCTTTTTTTTTTTTTTTTTTTTTTGAGACAGTCTCCCTCTGTTGTCCAGGTTGGAGTGCAGTGGTGCAATCACAGCTCACTGCAGCCTCCAACTGCTGGGCTCAAGCAATCCTCCTGTCTCAGCCTCCTGACTAGCTGGGACTATACGCACTTGCCACCATGCCTGGTTAATTAGTAAAATTATTTTTTGTAGAGATAGCATCTTGCTTGGTTGCCAGGCTGGTCTCAAACTCATGGCCTCAGGTGATCCTCGAGCCTCAGCCTCCCAAAGTGCTGGAATTATAGGCATGAGCCACCGAGTCTGGCCGAGACTGCTTTGAAGTAACTTTCCTGTCCAGGCCTGGAGGAAATCATCGAAGGCAAAGGCCACCACGTGTCGAATGTCATAGGAAATACAAGCTCAGGGACTCTCTTATGACACATCTGCAAACTTATAGATCAGTCTCAGAATGTCATAGCTGGAGGGGCCTCAGAGATTTACTCAACAAATACCAACACGGAGCTTGGGGAGGGTCGGATAACATGCACGAAGAATCACTTAGTTATCCCGGTGATCAGTGCTAAATTCAGGGTGGGGGACGCATGTCTAGCAGGGCGACCTAATCTAAGCTGGAAGTCAGGGAAGGGTGAGACTTGAAGGATGAGCAGAGCTGGACCAGGCAAAGGGGCAGTGTGTATGAAAGACCTGTGTAGCTGGAGGTATGTGCCCAGGGGAAGGCCGGGGGTCAGATGGGACAGGGCCTTATAGATCCAGGGCTTTGTCTCATGGGCTTTGGGGGTTCCTAAGGTGCCGGCAAACCACGTGTTCATTCTTCTGGGAAGAGAGGTCTATGGCTTTCACCAAAGTCTTAAGGAGTTTCAAGAGGTTAAGAATGGCCGGGCACGGTGGCTCACGTCTGTACTTAGGATCCCAGCACTTTGGGAGGCCAAGGTGGGCAGATCACAAGGTCAGGAGATAGAGACCATCCTGGCCAAGATGGTGAAACCCCATCTCTACTGAAAATACAAAAATTACCTGAGCATGGTGGTGAGCACCTGTACTCCCAAGCTACTCGGGAGGCTGAGGCAGAAGAATCACTTGAACCCGGGAGGTGGAGGTTGCAGTGAGTGGAGATTGCACCACTGCACTCCAGCCTGGTGACAGAGCGAGACTCCCTCTCAAAAAAAAAAAAAAAAAAAAGAGGTTAAGAACTACTGATCTAGCCCAACTCATTACAATAAAATGGAGAAACTGAGGTCCAGAGAAAAAAGACCTTTCACAGGAGGCTAGAGGCCCCAAGTCACTGACTCCCATTGCAGTGCTCTCCCACAGCTAGCCCGCCGACCCACGTCTGCAGGGGATGTGTCAACAACTACATATGCTGGCTCCCATCCCACTGGCCACTGCTGCTGGATCCCACACGAGGCTGCTTCTATCCAGGCAGGCCTAGAAGGACAATCTACGGAAATGAACTGCAAAGTCACCAGCCCATCTTTCTTGTGCAACCTAATCTGCAAAACACAGGGGCTCAGAACCTGTCCCTTGCTTCAGATTTCAAGGACCCCCCCAATGATACAGTTTCTGGCTTTTCAAGAAGCTTCATGGATGAGGCTGGTTCACTGAAGGGCAATCAGGGCTCAGCATCCAGCCTTCTGAAGAAGCTGTTTACTTGTTGTTCTTTACAAAGTCAGGACTTGGCCAGGAACTAAACGTAGCCCTCAGTATGGGAAAGGGAGAAATTTGGAAGACTTGGTGGAAAGTCTAAATATGTAAGGAGAATGCTTCTTAAACCCCTGATGTGGCCAGGCACTATGGCTCATGCCTGTAATCCCAGCACTTTGGGAGGCAGAGGTAGGTTGATTACTTGAGCCCAGGCGTTTGAGACCTGCCTGGGCAACATGGCAAAACCCTGTCTCTACAAAAAAAGGAAAAACATAATTAGCTAAGCATTGTGTTATGTGTGTCTGTAGTCACAGCTACTCGGGGGGCTGAGGTGAGAGAATGGCTTGAGCCTGCGAGGCAGAGGTTGCAGTGAGCCAAGATCGCGCCATTGCACTCCAGCCCGGGTGACAGAGGCAGACCCTGTCTCAAAAAAATAAAATAATAAAAACCCCTCGATGCTTCCTGTAATACTAAAGGTAGAAGTCCTAAGTACGTGGATTGGCATTCAAGGCCTTTTGGAGTCTGGCCCCAAATTACCTTTCCCACCTTCATCTCCCACTTCCTCACACGGCGACTGGACACTGTGCATAGCCGTGCACCTGCCTGCCTGCACTGTAGCTCCTGTCCCTCCTCTCCAGCGAGTCAAAGGAAACCTCACAGCCAACATCCAGTGGACTCTCAAAGATCAGTGTTGAGGGTCCCACAGCCTCGGGTCCCACAGCCTCTGCTTCACTTGGACCATGGCAGTATTGGAAGGGGTAATGCCCGCACTGGGGAAGACTCCAGCCCCTCTCCTGGCCAGCCCGCTGACCTCAGCCTCCAGGCTGTGATGCCTCTGCCCTTTACAACTCCCCGCCTCCAGATAAACTTGACAGAGCCACTCACTGCTGATGGCCCTCTGCACTGAGCTGCATGAGGATGAACACGGTCACAGCCTGCACTCTGGCTGTGCTCCTCAAGCTTGTAAAAATGCACCTGTCTCCCTTAAGAGGTGTGGAGTCCATACACAATGGGTACTCACTATCCACTGAACAAAAATTAGTGAGCGTCAGCTATGTGCCAGGCACCATTCTGGGCTCTGGTGAAATAGCAGCCGACAGGGAGCTTACCTCCCAATGAGGGAAAATATCATAAAAAAGAAGCAAATAGGCCAGGCGCGGTGGCTCACACCTGTAATCCTAGCACTCTGGGAGGCCAAGGCAGGCAGATTGCCTGAGCTCAGGAGTTCAAGATCAGTCTTGGCAACATGGTCCCTGTCTCTATTAAAAACACAAGATATTAGCGAGGCATGGTGGTGCATGCCTGTAATCCCAGCTACCGGGGAGGCTGAGGCAGGAGAATCGCTTGAACCCAAGAGGTTGCAGTGAGCCAAGACTGCACCACTGCACTCCAGCCTGTGCAACAGAGTGAGACTGTCTCAAAAAAAAAAAAAAAAGGCTACATTTAAAGGGGGAAAAAGAGCGGGGGATGAGGGACAGAAAGTGATGCGCACCCTATCTGTTATTCTGGGCCCAGTGGTTAGGGCTGACCTCTCTGGGTGGCATCTGAACAAAGATGTGAGGCAGCTAGGGATAGGGAGCAAAGGACACAGGAAGAGGAACTCATGTTTGCCCAGTTCTTCCAATCGAGTACTCCCCAGCATGAACTCACCAAAACCCTACCGCAGGATCCATCTTATCAATGAGAAACTGATTTTTAAAAGGAGATGGGTGAGCAACTTTTCCCAAGATCACATGATCAGCAAACGGTGGCACCAGCAGCCTTTAAACCGTGGCTCTTGTCCATGGCTTCTCAGCAGGTGCCCTACAATATCTGGGGAATGAATGTTCCAGTAAGAGAACGGCAAGTGCAAAGGCTCTGAGGGAAAGGAACACCTGGAAGAAGAGCACAAAAGCCAGTGTGGCTGGGACACAGTGACGGGGAGAGGGGTGTCAGGGAGTGAGTTAAGGGCCAGAGTCCAGGGCGCACACAGGCCACGTCGAGGACCTCGGATCGCTTCACATGTGTGGGGAAGCCCCAGGCAATCATAAAGAGGATCCATGTGATCCAGTTCACACTCTGGCTGTGAAATGCAGAATGAATGGCTGTGAGTTGGGAGAAGAAACCAAGAAGCCGGTTAGGAAGGCATGGGGCAGTCCAGGGAGAAACGGCGGTGGCCTGGAGTAAGGGGTCAGCAGAGGAGGTACTAAGAAGGACCAGTCAGGATTTATTGGAGTAAATCGCAGGGGTTTACCGAGGGACTGGATGTGCGCTGGGAGAGAGGAGGCAAGGACACCCTCATTGTTTTCTCATCCAAACCAAGATTTCTAAGCCTGAACAATCGGATCAAAAATGGCATTATTTACTGTGATAGGGGAACCCAAGGTGAGTTACCAGGCAGAGAGTGAAGGGGAGAACCAAGAGTTCTGGTTCAGGTGCATAATGTCCTAAAGAGGGGCTGGAAACATGCATTTGAGAAGGACCAGTGTTTAGCTAGCTGGCTTAGTGCCACGGGACTAGGCTGCCTGTTCCCAAATGGCAATTCAGGAGACAGAAGAGCCCAAAACAGAAGGCTGAGATGAAACCCTTTACAGAGCACGTACACTTGATGCTGTAAAATTACTCATGGGAGTACTGCGTGACTTCAGATATAATTTAAATTTTAGAGGTTGTGGCTTTTTGTGTGTGTGTGTGAGACAGGGTCTCACCATGTTGCCTAGGCTGGACTTGAACTCCTGGGTTCAAGTGATCCTCCCACCTCAGCCACCAGAGTAGCTGGAACTACAGGCACATGCCACGGTGCTTGGCAAAATTTTAGTTTTCACGTTCTGGATGCTTAGTTTGTAAATGTCTTGCTTATCATGACTAATATGTCATCCAAATTAATCAGCTAATATCCCAAGGCACAATATACATTCAGAGTGAGATTCACCAAAGAGTTTTCTTCCCAACTGCTCAGCTTCTGGCCATCTCTTGTCAGGGCTCATTAGATCACTGTTGTTTTTCCCTCGCAATACTGCTGACAAGAAGCATGAACTGGAAGCAGAAGTGTCACCATTTTCTTGTTCACGTGTACTTATACTACTAGAAAAGTCTTCAGTCTGTGATGTCTTTTTGGGGCTATTATTAAGCTACTTCTCTATTTTATAAGGGTTTGTTTCAATACTGGGCAGCGGCTTCAACCTAGCTCTTCAACCCAGCTGGACAAGTCACATAAACCCTTCAGGGCTTTTTTTTTTTTTTTTTTTTTTTTTGAGACAGTCTCACTCTGTCACCCGGAGAGATAGTAGTAAGCTGATGTTCATTAGGCACTTAGCCCATGCAGTACCAGGCTCCTTTCTGTGTATTTTACTCTCGTGGTTGCATTAGATCCTCACGATAAGAGAAGGATACTGTTACTGTTCTCATTCTACAGAGGAGGAAACTAAGACACAGAGCTTTTCTTTGAGATCTGAAAGAGTTAAGATTTGTACATAGTCATACACCGAATTGGGGCAAAGTTAGGGGAATAGTTCATCTGACTATTGCCCACACAGCTATATTTTCTTCTTTTCTTTCTTTCTTTTTTTTTTTTTTTTGAGACAAGAGTCTCACTCTGTCACCCAGGCTGAAGTACAGTGGCACGATCTCAGCTCACTGCAACCTCCCCCTTCTGGGTTCAAGCGATTCTCCTGCCTGAGCCTCCCGATTAGCTGGGACTACAGGCATGGGCCACCACACCCAGCTAATTTTTGTATTTTTAGTAGAGACAGGGTTTCATCATGTTGGCCAGGCTGGTCTCAAACTCCTGACCTCAGGTGATCCGCCCACCTTGGCCTCCCAAAGTGCTGGGATTACAGGCGTGAGCCACCGTGCCCAGCCTTGGGCCTCAGTTTTCTCATCTGTAAAATGAGGCCACTGTCACCTCCTTCCAGTGCTTTTGAGAGGATTAAATACACATAGCACAGCTCCTGGCATTACTGCACAGAAATTCTTTGTTACGTCATCATCATCATCATTATTATTATAAGGGCAACCTTTTATCTTACAGGTAAGTCCCTATGACCCTTCCAATTCCTCTCCAGACTTTGAGTGGTGGTTCCAAAGATACCCCCCACCTCTACCAGCAGTGTCACCCAGGGAACTCGCTAGAGATGCTCATTCTCAGCCCAACCACAGACCTACTGAATCAGAAACCAGGCGCCAGAGCCCAGAAACCTCCAGGTGCTGACGTTTGAGAGCCACCGAACAGGCAGGCAGCATTCTGGGTACCCGGCAGGTCCTCAGGACAGCGACCACCTGGCCCCAGATGACCCTGTCAGCAACACCTGCCAACATCACAGGCTGCAAGTTATCAATTTGTCACAAACATCAAGCTTCTTACCTGTCTTTCTGGCTGTTTCCTTTAACCTCCTCCCACAGTATATCACTTGCATAAAAAATGAAACTTCTTAGAAAAATCCTATGCCTGTATCTTTTCCACAGCAACAGAAAAAAAAATCTCTGTCCAAGTTAACCAAGACAAGTGTCCCTATATAATTATTTTTCCAACTTTCTCTATAAAACTTAAATTGACAAAAATACTAATATCCCTTTTATCCATTCCAAAGAATAACAATTTGAGATTTGATGTGATTTTTACCTTAAGATAATGTGATCTGGTTGTTATATGTACATGTTTATGTTTCTTGAACCAAACCATCCCAGATTTTGATGCTTCTAGGAGTGACTGGAACATGCCAAGTAGCAGATGCCCATGGGAGAACGGAGCCCCAGACAATCCCACCGACCCTCCCGCAGACTCCATGGACTTGACCTGCATTAGAACAGGCTGTGGACCTGAAGCAGTTCTCTCACTGCAAACCCAGACCCTCTCCAGTGCGAATTTGTGGAACGCGATAGATGTTAATGATTACTCCCTCAGTGTTTTCTCATCCAAATCAGGACATTTCGAAGGGGGTAGGGAGGACTCTGTTAATAATGATGCCAGGACAGCAGGCAGAAGCCGGGAAGTGTGCTCATCCCTCCATCTGTCACGCGCTCTGTCAGCACGGTGATCCTCAGGGTAATTTTCCTCTGGTGTCCGGATATCTAACTAAGAGGCTAGAAGAGAGGTGCATTGACAAGCAAAAATCCAGAGTCCAACCCTTCAGTCTAAGGCGAAGTCTCGTTTGGAGGGGTGTACTTGGACCCAGTCACAGCAAGCTCCATGAGGGCAGGAGACCTGACTTCTTTACCAGTGTTCCAGGCATCTATTGCCACCAACTGTATGGAATAGTCGCCGAAGAATTCAGCTCGAAGACGGGTCAGTGGCTTATACTGTATCTCCCTGATTCTAAGTCACAGACATTTGGCCCTCTGTAGCCATGGGTTCTGCATCTGTGGATTCAACCAACCTCAGGCAAAAAAAAAAAATGGATGGTTGTGTCTGTAACTGAAACACGTAGACTTTTTTCTTGTCAATATTCCCTAAGTAAGATGGTATAGCACCTATTTATATAGCATTTCCACTGTATTAGGTATTGTAAGTAATCTAGAGATAATTTAAAGCATATGGGAGGATGCATAGGTTATCTGCAAGTACTATGCCATTTTGCATCAGGGACTTGAGCATCTGTGGATTTTGGTATCCACTGGGGGTCCCAAAAATCAATCTCCCTTGGATACTGTAGTTTTTCACAGCTTCACTTTTGAAATCAAGGTGCGTTTTATAATCCACCTGCTAATGTATTTTCTCCTTTGTTTCCTGAGAAACATTAAATCGATAACGCCTTACATGTCTTATATGTGTTGGTGTCTTAGTGTCAAAAAAAAACCCCAAGGTAATTGGTTATCACCCAGATTCATAGAGAGACGTGTTAATGATACTCGTGGGAACAGAGACCCTATCGTGGCCATCTCCAGGTGGCGCTCCCACTCACACAGCGGTACCATGCCACCTAACAGGGCCTGCCAGGCTGGAAAATTCTTGGAGAGGGCCTTGATCTTGCTTTTGCCTAGATCGTCCTCTCTTTTCCCCTCCCCCAAGCCAGTGATACCTTCTCAAGAACGTGGCGATAGCCTGGAATCCTGCCAAACAGCTCTGGAGTAAGTGCCATCTGTGTTGTCAACTCAGAGAGAGTAAGTGCTGCTGATGGATCCAGGCAGAGCCCTCGGAGGGAAGCCAATGCAGAGCTTGAGAGTCTTTACTAACAGCCGACATGAGCCAAGCACTAACTACGCGCCAAGCTATATCACCACCAGGGGCTAGAGCTCAACTAGACATTTAGGCTCCCAGGGACTTCCATCGGCCCCTGATGGGAATGGGAGCTTGCCAGGGGACAGCAGGGGCCCAGTACAGCTGAAAGGCCCAGGTCCAAGATGACTGGGTCCCCATCCAGAGGTGCAGGATCTGCCCTGGATTAAAAGCTTCATGGGCTGGGCATGGTGGCTCCCACCTGTAATCCCAACACTTTGGGAGGCTGAGGCGGGAGGATTCCTTGAGCCCAGGAGTTTGAGGCTGCAGTGAGCCATGATCACACCACTGCACTCCAGCCTGGATAACAGAGCAAAACCCTATCTCTATTTAAAAAACAAAACAAACAAACAAACAAAAACAACGGGGCGGGGGGCAGGCATGGTGGCTCACGCCTGTAATCCCAGCACTTTGGGAGGCTGAGGCTGGCAGATCACTTGACATCAGGAGTTTGAGACCAGCCTAGCCAACATAGTGAAACCCTGTCTCTACTAAAAATATAACAATTAGCCAGGTGTGGTGGTACATGCCTGTAGCCCCAGCTACTCAGGATGCTGAGGCAGGAGAATCACTTGAACCCAGCAGACGGAGGCTGCAGTGAGCCGAGATCACACCATTGCACTTCAGCCTGGGTGACAGAGCGAGACTCCGTCTCAAATAAATAAATAAATAAATAAAAATTTTAAAAAGATATTTAAGATTAAATTATGTAATTATATAAACATTGAAAAAACTGTGGTAAAGTACACATAACATTTGCCATCTTAATCATTTTAAAGTGATTACCACTTATTACCACTTCAGTGGTAATAAGTAACATTCATAATGTGCCATCATCACCAGCAGCCATCTCCATAACTTTTCTACCTTGCAAAACTGAAATAGTCCCCATTCCTCCCTCCTTCCAGCCCCTGGCAGCCACCTCAGCGCCTTTCGGTTGCTATAATTTTGTCTAGCGTAGGCACCTCACGGTCTAGTGGAATCATATGGTACTTGTCTTTTTGTGACTAGCTTATTTTACTTAGCATAATGTCCTCAAGGTTCATCCACACTGGAACATGTCAGAATGTCCTTCCTTTTTAAGGCTGAATAATATTCCATGTATGAACAGCCCACGTTTTCTTTATCCATTCACCCATCAGTGGACACCTGGGTCACTTCCATCTTTTGGCTGTTGTGAATGATGCTGCTACAGAGATGGTACACAAAGGTCTCCTCGAGTCCCTGCTTTCCCTTCTTTTGCGTACACACCCATAGGTATATACTTTGCTGGATCATGTGGTAGTTCTATTTTTAGTTTTTTGGCGAGCTGCCATACTGTTTTCCACAGTGGCTGCACCATTTTACAGTCCTGCCAACAGCGCACAAGTGTTCAGATTCCCCCACATTCTCCACAACACTTATTTTCTGTGGGGTGTTTTTGTTGTGGTGGCAGTGATTGTTGCTGTGGAAAGAGTTTGACTGCTTTATTATATTTTGCCATTAATATTTTATAAAAAGTAGTGAAAATGAGAAAATGGAATAGTTGATACCAGTGAAAAACACAGGTTTCATAAAATACTACTGCCGAGAGAAGACAGAGGTGAGTGGCCATGCCAAAGCTGTAGATCTTCATCCTCACTCAGGTAACTCATCGGACTGTGTGAGTGTCCGGCTGACAGTGTATTGTTAAGATACAGGTTTGATATTCAATTTTCAGACATGCTTTCAGGAAGGCCATATACACATACGAAGTAGCAGACTGCCCATAGGGTTCATGGGAAAAAAGTCCACTCGGCCGGGCACGGTGGCTCACGCCTGTAATCCCAGCACTTTGGGAGGCCGAGGCAGGTGGATCACGAGGCCAGGAGATTGAGACCATCCTGGCTAACACGGTGAAACCCTGTGTCTACCAAAAATACAAAAAATTAGCTGGGCGTGGTGGCGGGCGCCTGTAGTCCCAGCTACTCGGGAGGCTGAGGCAGAAGAATGGCGTGAACCCGGGAGGCGGAGCTTGCAGTGAGCCGAGATCACGCCACTGCACTCCAGCCTGGGCGACTGAGCGAGATTCCGGCTCAGAAAAAAAAAAGTCCACTCCTGTCCTGAAACACCAGGATTGTTATTTTCAGCATCCACGGCCTGGTAAATCCAAGGAAGGCTAAAGATGATTAAGGAACTTAGAAAGAAAGCCTACAGCAACTCTGATGGATGAAATGAGTTCTGACCAGCAATACTGAAATCTGCCACAGGAAATGTCAAGGTCCCCCCTAAAGATCTTGTGATTCTGTTCTCCCTTGTTGCAGAAAGACGGCCTCATCCTCCCAAGAGACACACAGATATTGGCAAACCCTGTTTAAAAACAGCAGCCACAGTCTGTTAATTCCATCTGCCTTGTGCTTACCCATTTATCATAAAGGATATTACAAAGGACACAGATGAAGAGCTGCACTGGGCAGGGCCTGTGAGAAGGGGCACGGAGCCTCCACATCCTCCCCAGCTGTGCTACCTGTTCAGCTATCTGCAAGCTCTATTTTCTGAGTTTTTGAAAACAGCCATCCTCATGGGTGTGAGCTGGTATCTCCCTGTGGTAGGTAGGTATGTACTTAGGTATGTATGTATGTACGTATATATATGTATGTATGAATGAATGAGATGGGGGTCTCACTATTTTGCCCAGGCTGTAGTGCAGTGGCTGTTCACAGGTGTGATCCCAGGGCTGATCAGCACAGGAGTTTTGACCTGCTCCACTTCTACTCTGTGCCAGTTCACCCCTTGTTAAGCAACGTGGTAGTCCCAGAGGTTAACATATTGATGCTGAACTTAGTACAGACACCAGGTAGGCATGGTGCACTACAGCCCAGAACTCCTGGGCTCAAGCAATCCCCCTGCTTCAGTCCCCTCCTTAGTCCCTGAGTAGCTGGGACTACAGGCGCACACCACCATGCTCAGCTAATTTTCTTTTTCGGGGTCTCACTCTGTCACCCAGGCCAGAGCGCAGCAGCGCTATCAGAGCTCACTGCAGTCTTGACCTTGCGGGCTAAAGCAATCCTCCCACTTCAGCCTTCTGAGTAGCTGGGACTACAGGCACGCACCACTGCACCCAGCTCTGTTTGTAGTTTTGATTTGCACTTCCCTAATGATCAGTGATGTTGAGCACATTTTGATGTGTTTATTAGCCATTTGTATATCTCCTTTGGAGAAATGCCTATTCAAGCCCTTTGCCCATTTAAAAATTGGGTTGTGTTTTTTTTTTTTTTTTGAGACGGAGTCTTGCTCTGTCACCCAGGCTGGAGTGCAGTGGCGTGATCTCGGCTCACTGCAAGCTCCACCTCCCAGGTTCATGCCATTCTCCTGCCTCAGCCTCCCGAGTAGCTGGGACTACAGGCGCGTGCCACCATGCCCAGCTAATTTTTTGTATTTTTTAGTAGAGACGGGGTTTCACCATGTTAGCCAGGATGGTCTCAATCTCCTGACCTCGTGATTCACCCGCCTCAGCCTCCCAAAGTGCTGGGATTACAGGTGTGAGCCACTGCACCCGGCCAAAATTGGGTTGTTTTTTGTTGGTCCTGTGCCATCTTTGTCTATTTCTAGCAAACAGACAGATAGTCAGCCAAGGTCAAATTCTCACGCAGATAAGCAGTTATTATGTCAATGCAATAGAATACTACTCAGCAATAAAAAGGAATGAACCAGTGATAAAAAGGACAACTTGACGAGTCTCAAAGTCAGTACAGAGTAAAAGGCCGATTACACACTTTATGGTTGTACTTACACGGTATTCTGGAAAATGCAAATCTATAGGTATAGATAAAAAACAGATCAATGCTGGCCGGGCACAGTGGCTCACACCTGTAATCTCACCACTTTGGGAGGCTGAGGCGGGCAGATCACTTGAGGCCATGCATTCGAGACCATCCTGGCCAATGTGGTGAAACCCGTCTCTACTAAAAATACAAAAATTAGCCGGACGCGGTGGTGGATGCCTATAATCCCAGCTACTTGGGAGGCTGAAGCAGGAGAATCACCTGAGCCCAGGAGGCAGAGGTTGCAGTGAGCTGAGACGGCACTGCTGCACTCCAGCCTGGGGGACAGAGCGAGACTCTGTCTCAAGAAAAAAAAAAAGAAAGGAAGCAGATCCATGCTGCCAGGGTGGGAGAAGGGTATGACTGCAAAGGGGCGGCAAGAAGGCTTTTTCACTCAGGGTGATGGAATTGGCCTGTATTCTGAATGTGGTAGTGGTTATGCAAATCTACACGTGTTAAAACGCACAAAACTTTATACCCCACTAGCCTGGCAAACATAGGGAAACCTGTCTCTACAAAAAAAATTTTTTTAAATGAAAAGGGTGTGGTGGTACGCACCTGTAGTCCCAGCTACTCAAGAGGCTGAAATTGAAAGACTCCTTGAGCTCAGGAGGTCGAGGCTGCTGTGAGCCACGATGGTACCACTGCACTCTAGCCTGGGTGACAGTGTGACCCCATCACAAATGAAAAACAAAAAATACAACTGTATATCCCCAAAACATCAATTTTACTATACATAATTTTTTTTTAAACCTCACCCATAAGGGGAAGGTTCCCCCTTTTATCCATGCAGGTATTCCACCCAGCAGCTTACAAGCCCCATTTCACAAAATCCTTACCAAATTCTGGGAATGCATAATTACTGTTACTAGGGCTCAGACCTGACTGAACTAAGTCCTGATTGTTTCAGACAACAAAAATTCTATTTGATCTTTCCAAGACCCCGGGTATTTGCGAATTCTCACTTATCATATAGTAGTGGGAATTTACGGCTTGGCAGAAACATGTCCACACATAATGAATCTTTCTCCCTGGGGACAAGGTCCACAGAGTTTCCATCAGACTCCTGGGAGACCTATGATCTTAAAAAGCTCAGGAACCTCTGTTCCAGTTCAAGGCCCTCCAATTATAGAGTGGGGTTCAGAGGCCCAGGAAGGAATCCTGGCTTGCCCCAGAGGACATGGTGTGTCTGTGGCAGTGCTAAGCTGGTTCCCTCTTCATCACCCAAAGATGCCACAGGTCCAGGCATTTCTGGTGATCATGACTCACACGCTCCCCATGACTTTAGCCTACAGAATTTCCTCAGCAGTACGTGCATTTCTCCTGCCAAGCTGAGGCCAGGGAACTCCGCACCCCTGCAGCACAGGCAGTCCCTAGCCCGAGTCCCTGTAATCCAGGTCCCTAGCCCAATTCTTACTTGTCAAATATAAAAGCTTCATTCTACAACCTTGCATATTTAGGGTAATTAATAGAGAAAGCTCCTCATGAACAGAAAAAAAACAAGGACAGATCATGCAGAAAAGCATGCTTTTGATCTATGCCTTTGGTCTTCTGATGAGCTCAGAGAATTAATATTTGCAAGGCACTCTTGACAAGCTGAGGCAGAAGCACAAATTAGTGTGGTTATGCTAATTGAGAGGTTCTGTAGCTCCAGGACCAAATGATTACAGAAAGTGAAAAGGGTTGACTGGGCTTTGGTCTCTCTGCAAATAGCACTGTGCTTCATGCTAGCTGCACTGACAAATTTGCAAGGAGACTACACACATTTACTTTCACATACCCGAAATTCCCAGTGGAGCAGGGGTTAAGGAAGACTCAGAACACCAAAACAGCATTTCTGAATTTATCTTTACTGTGAAAGTTAATCAAGAAAGAAAAATAAAGGGTATGAAATCCCCCTTCTTGCAGTGCTCAATGCAACTTGTAAGTTACTTTGTACACGAGGACCTTGAATGTCTTGTGGTTTTTAACTGTCACAAATGCAACACTCTGTGATCATTTCACCTCCAGAGCTGAACGAAGATGATTTAATTAATCCCCGAAAGTCACCCCGCAAGGAGAAACTGGGGAGGTGTCCCTTGAGACAGGGCAAAAAATATACCTGTTGGTGTATCAGCCCTGCTGTGGCTCTGACATATACCACAGCCTGCAAGCACAGGCCCATTCCTTCCAGACAGACTCAAATTAAAATCAGGGCCTCCTGGTCTGCCTGCATGCACTGGGATATGTGTAGCTGAAATGAATTGCCCTCTACTCTTCCTACGAGTGATCACTTCAAAAGTTTATTACTTAATTGTAAAAACCTACTCCCTGGACTTCAGCTTTCTTAGAGAGAGAAAGAGAAAGAACAAACCAGCCTAAAAGGAAATACCTCAATAGTCAGGGACCTCCCCTTCTCTGTGAGTGCTGAGGTTTGAATTTTAGTTACCAGATTACCATTTTTAAAGAAATGGTCACTTTAGAGTAGAAGGCGACCTGAAGTAAGAACAAAAGCTAAGATTTATCGAGCACTTCTTATGTGTCCAGACTCTGATTAAATGCTTATGTACATCATCTCGTTTAATTCTCCCTCAATACCATAAGGTAGGTACTGTTAGGATTTTCCCCATTTTACAGATAAGGAAAAACTGAGAGTTAGACAAGACAGAGTGACATGCCCAAGATCCCACAACAATGACACAGGAGGGCTGGTATCTAAAGCCACAGCTAGAGGACCTGAAGCACATGCTCTCAGACACTGTTCTGTACTGGCTCACTGCACAGATGGAAAGACAGGGTTGGGGAGGGGCACTGATCCAGTGCATCAGTGCAGGCCCAGGGGCCATGAGGCAGGTCTCCCACCTCTCAGCTCAGGCTCATGCTGCCTCTAACACGGATGAGGGTGTGAGAGCCAAGATCAAAAGTCTCCTGTACACAACGCAGGTGGTGGCTGACTGTCAGTTCCCCAAGGGCACTGACGCCTCAGCCCTCTCAGTACCCTCTCCTCCCCTGGCAGGCTGCTTGACACTCAGTGACAGCCAGTGTTGGGTGGGTGGGTGGGTGGAACTACTTTAACTCGTAAGGGCCACTTCCTACCGTTGTGCCATCTGTGAAAGGTTTCTCCAAAGCAGATTCTCATGCAATATTTTCAGCAAATGTACTTTTTAAGCCACTTCAATAATGGAGAAACCAGGGGCTTCTTCATAAATCTGTAGGCAGATGTGGTGCCACCTTAACAGTCCTACAGAGAGGCTGGAAAGCCCCGGGGGAACCCCAGAGTACATTCCAACCCAAGGCAGTGGTGGTGCCGGCAAGTCAGCCCTAGACCCCAGGAAGGGGAGAGAAGTGAAACTCCAGTTCTCAGCAATACACAACCCACCCCTGGCGAGTCACTTCCCTCTTGCTGCCTCCCTTTCCTCAACTGTCAAATGGGCACAATACCTGCCATTGCTGACTCTTTATAAGAACAGAATTAATTAAATCACACACACACGTCTGAAGGTAAAGCTCCTAGCATCGTTCCCGGCACACAGGAAATAATAAATGTGAGCTGCCATCATCCTCATCTGGGAAAAATCTTGGGCAACTCCATACTTATGATAAGAAACAAATTGGCTGGGCGCAGTGGCTCACGCCTGTAATCCCAGCACTTTGGGAGGCCGAGGCGGGCAGATCACGAGGTCAGGAGATCGAGACCATCCTGGCTAACATGGTGAAACCCCGTTTCTACTAAAAATACAAAAAATTAGCCAGGCGAAGTGGTGGGCACCTGTAGTCCCAGCTACTCAGGAGGCTGAGGCAGGAGAATGGCGTGAACCCGGGAGGTGGAGCTTGCAGTGAGCCGAGACTGCATCACTGCACCCCAGCCTGGGCAACAGAGCGAGACTCCCTCTCAAAAAAAAAAAAAAAAAAAAAAAGAAACAAATTAACAAAGCCCAAAACAACAAAGAAACTAATGTGTACAAAAATGTTTCAAAAGCTATTTTGATGATTAGTTAAGTGCTATCCAACATTTACTGCCATTAAAAATCATCAACAAAACAAGCCTCAATAAGTCCACCCCACATACTGCAGTCTAGACTCCCAAAGAACCAGCCTTAGGCTGGGAGGTGGCTCACACCTGTAATCCCAGCACTTTGGGAGGCTGAGGCGGCGGATCACAAGGTCAGGAGTTCAAGACCAGCCTGGCCAAAGAGACCAGCCTGGTCAACATGGTGAAACCCCATCTCTACTAAAAATACAAAAATTAGCCGGGCGTGGTGGCGGGCGCCTGTCATCCCAGCTACTTGGGAGGCTGAGGCAGAAGAATTGCTTGAACCTGGGAGGGGGAGGTTGCAGTGAGCCGAGATCACCCCATTGCACTCCAGCCTGGGCAACAGCAGAGTGAGACTCCATCTCAAAAAAAAAAAAAAAAAAAAAGAAGAAGAACCAGCATTAGAAAGGGCTCCGGGGTGGGTTTATCCACCCTACCAAATTACAACAAAGGCACCTGAGGCTCAGGAGATTAAGCAATTTGCCCACGGTCACCCAGCCAGAAGCAAGGCTTCCGCAGCCCCCTGTGAGCTCCAGCAGGACAGTCAGGAGGAGAGCTGTCTTCTGAAGGAATCCTCAGGATGATGGGGTGTCCTGTTAGTGCAGCAGCTGCCTCTGTGGCAGAGGGGTCCCTGGAAACATGAAGGCTCATTTTCACCCAAGTCACACAGCCAAGAGAATAATATCAGAATCAATAAAAATATAGATGCATGGGGAATAGTCAGATGGGCTTTAGTCCTAACTTTGCCCCAACTCAGTATATGACTATGTGCAAATGTTAACTCTTTCAGGTCTCAAAGAAAAGCTCTGTGTCTTAGTCTCCTCCTCTGTAGGATGAGAACAGTTAACAGTACCTTTCTCCTATTGTAAGGATTAAATGCAACCACAAGTGTAAAATATACAGAAGCGAGCCTGGTACAGCACGTGGTAAGTGCCTAATGAACATCAGCTACTACTATTATTTGTATTTATTATTGAAAGGAGGGGTTGAGAGTAGCCAATTCCATGACTCATGAACAATCATCCATCTATTTATTCAGAACCATCACTTGAAGGAGGATGGGCGCATGTGATAACCAGCAAATAAATACAACCACTGTTTCCAACCAGGGGTTTTGTTTGTTTGCTCGTTTGGGGTCAGCTAAGTGGCTATTTAACACGGTCACATTCCACTGGATGTCAGCTGTCCTCTCTTCTCATTCCATGTCCTTCCTTCTCTCAGTTACTGTCAGTGTCACACTCCTGCTCCGTTTTTAACAATACAGTGTGTGGCTGGGAATCGCATCTGTCAGGTCCACATCAGTGGCACAAATTTTAAAAGCTATAGAGCAAATGCCTGAAATCCGCCCCTCTGAACCCAGCCCTGGGCAAACCACACAGCATCCTGTGCTCAGTGCTCCATTTCTACGCTTTAAAAGCACTGCAGAATCGCCTGATCACAAAACTTAATATGCAGTAAAGTCACTGTGTGGTTTGGGCAAGCCAGTGAAAAGCAAAGAGAAAGCTGCTGCTAAGGGACTGTGGGGACAGAAGTCTAAGCTGTTACAGGAGTCGTGGTGTTCCGGGAAGCAGCAGTCCAGACTGCAGGGTGGGACTTGGGTTCAGAGAATTGTCACCTGTCTTTCAAACTACAGCCTGGGAGAAGAAAGTGGGAGAAAGGAATTGTGACCAGCAGACAGCAGATTTCTAATAAATTCAGATGAACCTCCCCCCCTGTACCTTAGCTCACAGAGGAGGGGGAAGTAGCAAGAAAATACTGCCCATGCCTCTTGACAAAGAAGGAAGGGGGTGCCAGAGGCACACCAACAGCCTGCACCCCAGCCCTAGACAGCACACGCTGCACAGTCATCCTGGGAAAAGAGAGTAATGCTGCAGGAAGCCAGTCCTAAATCACATTCAAAGGCCAACTGAAAAAAAAAAAAATAACAAGTAGGGACAGGGATTCCTGGGATGGTGCTCATTATGGGTGTCAGGCTGAGTAGAGCTGGCACAGGCCTTGGTTTGTAAACACAGGGCAGAACGAGCATTACCTAAGAGCGCTTTGCTCCTGCACATCCCAAAGAACCAGGCAGTCACTACAAGTGGAAGCTCAAAGAACATGCACTCAAGTGGAAGCTCAAAGAACGTGCACTCAAGTGGAAGCTCAAAGAACGTGCACTGACCAATGGATGCGGCATCAGAACCGAGTGGCGGCTCAGCCTTCACGGTGTCCTGGCGTTCTCCCAGTGGTGTTCTGGGAATTTGATCCTAACCTCATCATTAGTGTTCAGAGGACTACAGGAAAACACAGAACCCCCAACTAACTGCACACCACTGATCAGATATTGGTCCTACTAATGTACCAAGAAACATCCTAATTGGCAATTTGAAACCACAATAAGCTACGTCTAAAGATAATTTGAGACTTGGAACCAGAAACTAAAATTCATTCTATGATAATATTAACTAAATTCACTCATTCTTTTAGTAAGTATTTACTGAGCACCTATTGCGTTCAAGGCACCGTAATGGCACCGCAGTGGTAGACACACTCCCTCACGGAGCTAATCATCTGTTTAACATTTCACTTGTTGATTTTTTAACTTGCAGAAAGGAAACTGGGGCTTTGATTTTGAATGAGTGAAACATCATTCTACTCAAGCATTGATCTGGGGCATTTCCATGGAATTTACTATATGTTAGAGGAAGAGAAGGCACAAAGAGCCCAGAGGAAGTTGATTTTGGTAGAGGCAGCTGTGAGAGCATCGAGGAAGTGGGTTTTCACATTGTGTTTGGGGTGGAGGGTCCAAGGAGGAGCCTCGGCCACAGCTAAGCAGGAAGGACTGCATTCAAAGAGGCTTCCCCATTAGTGGTTACCTAATGGCCTTCTTATGTATAAAAAAGGGCCTGCAGTCACGCATGCGGGGCTTCAAACCTAGATGACGGGTTGATAGGTGCAGCAAACCGCCACGGCACATGTATACCTATGTAACAAACCTGAACGTTCAGCACATGTATTCCAGAACTTAAAATTTAAAAAAGCCGGGGCGGGGGCGGGGGGGGGGGTGGTGCGGGGTTGGCGGGGGCAGTGGCTACAGCTTAAAAACACAAACAGAGGAGCGCTCCTTTTGAGTCCCACTCCTTCCTGGCACTGATGGGGAAAATAAGCCCCAGGAAAGGGTAAGAATCACCCAAGGACACAACTAAGATGTTCTCAAACAGATGACCAGAAACTAAGATGACTGGCCTGCTGGATGACAGATCCCTTAATAATTCACAAACGGTGGGTTTTATTTATTTACTCATAAAACAGCCTTTGGGGCAAGACGGGTGACGAGTCAGAGGAACACCTGTCCCGGCGGCGAGGCGGCCGCGGGGTGGGGCAGGCGGTGGGTTGTCAGGCCTCTCCTCTTTCCAGAGCGTGATCTTATCCTGGCCATGGGGAACACGCTCAGCTGGCCTGAGGTAAGACCCAGCCTGGCACTCAAGGCAATCTCCAATCCGGGCTACTTTGGGAGACATTTTTCTGCAAGCTCACACATGACTCATCTCTACAGACCTCCTATAAGGTCTCTTGGCTACAAGGAATCCCATTCAAACCGCCTCTGCCAACAGCTGCTCTGGAGACCAGGAAACATTTGGGGTTGCTGTGGTTGATTTTTCTAAAAACACACTTAGCTGGCATTAGTGCTATTTCTTATCTCTCTACAGCACTGTTAATGTGACTAGTATTACGAGTATCAGACGCAGTCTAAAGACTGTAGTGAGCCTCCCTTAATTTCATTGGTAGATCTTTTTTTTCAAAGATCAGAAAAGAGATTGAGAAGCCTGAAGAATTAAGATGGAAAGCTGTGTCCCCAGCAACCAGGGAGGCTCTAACCAGTGCTCTATAAAGGCAAGAAAGGGGGCCGGTTCCCCATTCCACTTCTCCAGGGCATGACCTTGGGCAAACAACCAAATTTCCCTGGGCCTTAGCTGCCCTGAGGGGCAAAAGAGGGATACTCCGCCCTGCCCTCACCCCCTGGGCTGTTGTGAGGATGAAATGAAATGAGGTAGTCTATAAATGCATTCTGAAAACCACAGGAAATTGCAGAGATGTTCAAGATCGTTCTGATTCTACCCCTGGACTGTGGCCTCCAGGGACAGGTTCCTGCTGGCTCCCTGCCACGAGGCATCACTTGGTGTTTGCCAACAAGGAGGCACTCAGTAAGTGTTAAAACGGGTGAGTGAAAGGAGGCAGAGCAGGTGCCATCAAAATGTCTCATTGCTTGACTGAGTATACTTTGACGACAAAAATTCCTAACTATGGAGGAAAAAGGAAGTACAAATTTGACGAGTTTAAAATTGATCGAAATACAATGACTGCCAATCTAAGAGGACCTCTTTCTCAGGCCACAAAAATGAGTAGCCCTACATCATAGGGCCTGTACTCTTAGTATCTGTTCTGAGAAAATATATCATGACAAAAATGTGACCATGAAATGCAGTCATTATAAATTTCTTTTCGATTTACAATAAAAGCATCTTCACACATTTGAAACCGTAGCACACTGAGCGTGAGACACCTATTTATTCCATCTTCAGGCAGCGTGCTGGGCAAGCCTGTGGCCACTTTAGCAGGCCCAGTGAACTGCTCCAAGGTGACAGGAGCTACAGCGCTGGCAGGAGGGTCTGGTAAATGATGAAACTCCCAGCCAGCCTGTGGTTCGCTGGGAGCACAGAGAGGAAGGAAAGGGACTTTAAAAACATACATACAAAACTGCTTAACTTATGGCCAGCCCAGTTAGAAGGTATGGCCCAGGAGGCCGGGATCTTTGCTGTGTCCCAAGAACAAGAACAACTCCAGGCCCTCAGGAGGTTGCTCCGTGAGGCAGGCGATGAGTGAAGCCACTGAAGGAGGGAAGAAAGGAATGAGTGACTGAAACTGACACATGCAGTCCAAGGACCTTCTTCCCTTCAGCTGAGGAGGCCTTGGTCTGCTCCCACCCCAGGAGACTGGTCCCCTACCCCACTGCCTGTGCCCAGCTAAGTGGACCCATCCTCCGCCTCTCACCTTAAGTCCCATTTTGTCACAGGAGCACAGGAGTTTCCTGACCATCCCTCCCCACTGCAAGTCTGATCTCTTGCCACCTTCCTGCTCACCCTGTGACACACAGAGGATGCCTGTATTCAGGGCAGGCAGCACGACATCTGCTGAGTTCACCACTGAGTCCCCAGAGCCTTGTACGGAGCCTGATGGAGCCGGTGCTCAATCCCTGATGAATGAGGGATGGAGTAATGAGTCAATGAAGGGATGGGGCAAAGGTTTCAAAGTCCAGACAAAAACAAACAAACATGAATCATTTCTCCGAGGAGGGGATGCAAACGCAAATGTCAAAAGTCCAAGTGGGCCGTCGGAGGTGTGGCTGGCTGTGGGAGTGGTGAGGGGCTCTGTGGGAGTGTCCGCCACCTGACTCCTGCCCATAGCTGCCTTGTAGGCAGGAACAAGCGCTCAGAGTTACCAGAGATTCTCATTTTTCAAGGAAATCAGGAACCAGGCTTTTGAGATTTTTGAGTGACTTCCTGATTTTTCAATATTGACCATCAATTCTTTTGTTTTTTTCCTCAAGAACACGTGCGGATCCAACCCAACATATCTGTGGACTGAATCCAGCCCGCAGCTGCCAGTCTGTGCTTAAGCTCCAAAAACATGACGGTATCAACTCTCCTCGCTCAATGTCTTTATTGGAAGATATATGAGCAAAAAGAACCACAGTAACTGCTTGCACAACCAGAACCATGTTCATTTGTTCTCCAAAGCAGCCTCTAAACAGCTGCATACATCTCCCATCAGTCTTCCAGAACAAATCCCTCTGAGCTCCTAGGGAAGAGCCTCTTCTCCTCTGCAGGCCTGCCCACAAGCTCACCCTGGGAGCTCCCTAATCTGTCCAGCTCTCTTCTACTCCCTACCTCCTCGTCATCTCTAGAAGCACTGTAGAGTTTAGAAAGCCTCCCCTGCATCCCAGCTTGTTCCTGGCCCTCCAAATTCAACCTTTCTCCACCAGGCCTCACTTGACAGGCCCCCACCAGCCCAGCAAGTTGTCCCTGTGCCACCCTCTGGCCCAGACTGTCTTGATTCCCCATGGCACTTGGGACCCCCAAATGTGAGGCCTATGACCTTGTGTATTCTCTGAGGATATACATAGGTATGGATGAACCCCTCAAGGCCCTGCCCCAGCCAGGCACTGCTGCATGAGAAAGAAAATGTCCCAAAGAACAGCAATGACTCAAAAGATCTCCCCCAGGGGTTAAGGAGAGTCCTGCACACCAAGGAGGTATCAGGCAATGCAAGGGGGCGGGATGAGGAACAGGCCAGAGCTGCACACTATGCGGGATGTGAAGGGGTTTCCTGTTTACCCAAAAAACCCTGGATGCCTTAAGCACTGAGAACTAAAAACGCTGGTTCTTCTACTTTCAGGGAGAGGAGATTATGAACATATTTAAGCAACGTTTCTGTTGCTTTGAGATAACAAAACAGCAAAACTCCAATCACAACAATTGTTTGCCTGGTGTCAGGCTCTGCCACCACTTCACCTAAGGGCCTCTCCTCTGAATCAAATACTCCTCTGGAGACTGAATAGTGGGAAGTCCATTAAAAAAACTCCAACAGAAATCTAACAAAATGTCGTCTAAATGCAAAGGGAAGTTCACTGAGAATAGCCAGCAGAGACCACCAGGAAAGGTCATCCTCACTCCAGGCGCGCCCCAGTCTTCCTTGGCAGTTGTAATCTTTCACTATGATTCCTATGAACTGCAGCAAAAGACCTTCTGCAAGGAGGCTGGACTTCCAGCCAGCTCCACATCTGCAATCCCCAATCTGCAGGCGAGGTCCTGACCCTGGTCTTGCCAATCTCAGAACTCTTACTTTTTCTGCTTCTCACAAAATGCATCTTCCTCCCACACTTTCCGCAGCTCCTGGTCAGCCCCTTCCCCTCTCTCCTCTTTCTCCCTGTCTCCACCAGGTATATATCTCAGCCCTCTCTTCAGAGCCTAGCACAAACACTGTCCCCTCCAGTGTCTTCCTCATTCCCGCACTCATGACACCCCTCTCTCACCTGTGTCCATGGCAGCACGGTCGCTCGGTCTGGCAGCCTGGGTAGCTTAGAAACTGTGCTAGGTTAGACAAGCTTCTCTGGGAGCAGGCACTTTCATCTACAACCCCCTAGCAGAAGGCGGTGCCCAGAAAAGGCCCAAGGACAAACTATGCTGAAATGAACTGGCCTCAGGTCTTTCTCCCAAATAGCAGAGAACTCAAATGAAGAGTCATTTCATTCCCAGCGGTTTGGGCAGCTCATGGGATGACAGGCAACTTTTTCCTTTTTTTAAAAAAAGAGGCCCAGCGCGGTGGCTCACGCATGTAATCCCAACACTTTGGGAGGCCGAGGTGGGCGGATCACGAGGTCAGGAGATCGAGACCATATTGGCTAACACGGTGAAACCCTGTCTCTACTAAAAATACAAAAAAATTTGCCAGGCGTGGTGGCAGGCGCCTGCAGTCCCAGCTACTCGGGAGGCTGAGGCAGGAGAATGGCGTGAACCCAGGAGGAGGCGGAGCTTGCAGTGAGCCGAGATCGCACCACTGCACTCCAGCCTGGGCAACAGAGCAAGACTCCGTCTCAAAAAAAAAAAAAAAAATTTTTTTTAAAGTAGCAATGAGGTCTCGCCATTTTGCCCAGGCTTGTTTCAAACTCCTGGGCTCAAGTGATCCTCCTGCCTTGGCCTTCCAAAATGCAGGGATTACAGGCGTGAGCCACTGTACCTGGCTGACAGATGATTTCCAATCCGGTTCATTTTACTTTTCTGTGATTTCCAAGTTTTGACAATGAACATAGAATATTCTTATATTATAAAGATATAAAACATAATATAATCTTATATTAGATATAAAAAGATATAATATAATCTTATATATTATAAAGTTCTTATAAAAGAACTCAGTGAATGTTCTTTTTAAAATAAATTATCCAAGTTTCCCAACAGTACCGTTCTGACAAGACACTATACAAGAAGTTCCTGAGAAATGCTGCACAGATGAACCCAAGTTATTTCTGGAGCAGCAGGTGTACAGGATGGCGACTCATGGTCACTCGGCAAGGCTGTGGGGGCTCAAATTCAGTGAGAAAAATACTCAAGAAATGGCACCTGAACCCAAGCGCCCTGCCCCTGAGAAAAGCACCCTGGCTTCTGGTCAGAGGGCCAGGAATGAATATACTAGGGGCCTGCCGCCCTCTTGCTGTCTGGACAGCCGGAACTCACTGAACCTCTCTGAGCCTGTAAAACTGGGACCATATTCTTTCCCACAGACTAGCTTCAAAAATTTAAGAAGCAATGCATTTTAGGTGCTAAGAGTTAGATATATAGTAAACCCTCAATAAAGCCTACAAAAATGTCCTTCTGTGCTTCAACCACAGCCTGCAAAAGTCATATTGCCTTGTGGGTCCGCTGCAGGGGTGCACCCCACAGAAGTATCCCAGATTCAACCCAGGAAACATAAGCAACTTCCACAATCAAAGCCACAGACCTCCTTTGCAGCTCCCTAAAAATCTGCTTTCCCTCATTCAGCCGCCAAGCTAACCTGCTACCGGGGTTATGACCACAGGGCATGCTCCCAGTACAGGAGCCCAGGAGCACCCGCCCACTTCACCTTAGACCCAAGAATTCGCATTTGCCCTGCAAGGTGCTGCAGGCTAATAAAGCCTGGGGCCCCACAGGCTCGACAGTCATTGAATCTTTGGAGACTCTATTTCCAGGACAGGCAAACCCAGGGACTCGGAAGGTAACTCCCCCAGATTTCTAGGAACACACAAAGAGACGAGGTCTGCATCAAGATTTACCATCTACTCCAACCCACCGGTCCCCCACCTGCCCTCCTTGCAGAGCTGAGCTTGATCGGGGTGGGGAGGGGAAACTTGACTACCTCCTCAAAATACCCCCACTCATCCAGCCTGCTTCCTTTGAAGCAACCGAAGTGGACGCTTCTCGTTAAACTCGAAGCTCGTTAGAAATGACACATTTTACAGCTCAGCTGGGTTCACCCTCCTAGCGCCGAGCCCAGGCCGGGCACCGATCGCTGCAGCCGCAGCAGCACGCGGCCCGGGCTGTTCTTCCCCTGCTTGGGGCTCGAGCCATTTTCGGAAGTTCCCGGGGACCGCGGAGCGGCTAGCGCGCCCGGCCCCGGGTTGCAGGGGCCCCGCCCGGCCCGGCCCCTGGCGCCCCCGCAGCGGCCGCTTCCCCCCGCGCCCGGCAGGCAATGGGCCTGGAGGAGAAGCTGCCAGGCGCCCCGGCGAGGCCTCGGTGGCTTCACCCCGCCCCGGCGCACGGAGGGCCGCACATCCCGGGCGACCCGCGCTCGGCCCGGGGAGCGGCGGAGCCCCAGGGCCGGGCCCGGCCGGAGGGAGCCGCCCCACGCCCGCGCCTCACCTGCTTTCTCGATCTTGCCGGACATTTCCGGGCTGCGCCGGAGGCCGAGGCCGCCGCTCATCGGGCCCGGGCCGGGCCGCCGCGGGGCGACAGGGGCGGCGCGCCCGCCGCTCGCCTCGGCCCTGGCTCGCCACGCCTCAGACCCGCGCCGGCATGGCGGGCTCCGCGCGGCCGCGGCCCTGCGCTCGGCGACCGCGCTCCAGCCCGCCCGGGCCCAGCCGCTCCCGCCGCGCCCGCCGCCGCCGCTCCGCCTCCCGCGCGCCCGCCGCCGCTCCCCCGGCCCGCGAGCCGGCCGCAGCGCAGCGACGCCGCCCGCCCGCCCGCCGGGCCTCGGCCGCGGCCACGGCCACAGCGCCACCTGCCGGGCGCCCGCCGCGCCGCCACAGCGCCCCCTGTGGGCCCGGAGCCGCCCGAGCCTCCCGCGCGACGCGCGAGACGCAGCGCCCCCTGCCGAGCCGGAGTCCCCACGCCGGGGCCTGGGGCCTGGGGTGTGGGGCCGACCCCGCCTGGGACTCCGCATTCCTCTGCTGTGGGACCAGAGTCACCAGCTCCAGACCTGGGACTGACAGCTCCAACCCAGGGTCCTCGGTTGCCCAAGAGCCTGGCCTGCCCCCTCACCAGAGACACAGAGAACCCTCCTGGGTCAGATTTTCCACCCCAGGACGTGGAACTGACGCCCACCCCACCCTAGCATCATCCCGGACCCAGCATCCCCTGTGGGCCAGAGGCTCCACACCAGGGCCTAGAACTCACTCTCACCAGGACTCAACAAGCTCTGCTGGCTGGGAGCCTGTCCTGACCTCCCCCAAACCAGAGATGCAGCACCCCCTTTTTTGTTTTGTTTTTTGTTTTTGAGACCGAGTCTCACTTTGTCGCCAGGCTGGAGAGCAGTGGCGCGATCTCGACTCACTGCAACCTCTGCCTGCCGGGTTCAAGCAATTCTCCTGCCTCAGCCTCCTGAGTAGCTGGGATTACAGGCACATGCCACCATGCCCAGCTAATTTTTGTATTTTTAGTAGAAACGGGGTTTCGCCATGTTGGCCAGGCTGGTCTCGATCTTCTGACCTCATGATCCACCCACCTTGGCCTCCCAAAGTGCTGGGATTACAGGTGTGAACCACTGCACCCTGCCCGCACCCCCTTCTTAATTGGAGACCCCACACCAGGGCCTGGGAGTGGCCTCATAGCACCTCCTGCCAGCCCAGAGGCTCCAGCCGGGGAATGAGTCCACTCTGGCATGAAAGCCCTCTGCTGGCCCAAGGTCTATGCCAAGGCGGAGGATTCATTCTCCACCCCAGCCCTGCATGTGGGACTCAGTCACCCTGCCAGCGAGAGCCACCTGTCCCGGGCTGGGGTTGGCCCTACTCAGGCCTAAATGTCCCCTGAGGCCTAGAGCCTCCATGCTGGCCTGGGCCCAACTCCCTCAGGGACACAGCACACCCTGCCTGCCCTGCTTATTTGACATCCAGAAGGGCACCCTGGGGCTCAGCTGTGGAACTTTTCTAGTGTGGAAATGAGTTCATTAAAAGTCGTGGCTGGGCACGGTGGCTCACGCCTGTAATCCCAGCACTTTGGGAGGCCGAGGCAGGTGGATCACGAGGTCAAGAGATTGAGACCATCCTGGCCAACATGGTGAAACCCCATCTCTACTAAAAATACAAAAATTAGGTGGGCATGGTGGCACACGCCTGTAGTCCCAGCTACTTGGGAGGCTGAGGCAGGAGAATCTCTTGAACCCAGGACATGGAGGTTGCAGTGAACCGAGATCATGCCACTGTACTCCAGCCTGGTGGCTCCAGAGCGAGACTCCGTCTCAAAAAAAAAAAAAAAGTCGTGGTTGGGCACAGTGGCTCACGGCTGCAATCACAGCACTTTGGGAGGCTGAGGTGGGTGGATGACTTGAGCCCAGGGGTTCGAGACCAGCCTGGGCAATGTGTGAAACTCCGTCTCTACTAAAAATACAAAAATTAGCCAGGCACGGCGGCACCTGCCTGTAGTCCCAGTTACTTGAGAGGCTGATGAGGGAGAATCACTTGAGCCCTGGAGGCAGAGGTTTCAGGGAGTCATGATTGCACCACTGCACTCCAGCCTGAGTGACAGAGGAAGACCCTGGCTAAAAAAAAAAAAAAAAAAAAGGAAAAAAAAAGTCATTTAAGAATCAAAGGATCTGCTAAGTCTAAGCACTATTTCGGGTTCTGTGGGCCCTACAAAAGTGGGCACAATTGGTGCTTCCCTCCAAAGAGTTCACAACTTAGCTGGGAAGTCAAAGTTAAATCCTATAATACAAGTAGTAAATAACAACAAATTAGTAACGCAAGTGATGTTCCAATGTGGGGCAATTCTGCTGCCTGCTTCCTGTTGTTAGTCTAAGATGGAATACAAAGAAGTAGCACGCACCACCTGGGCTAGTTTTCCCTCCTGTTTCCCCCAAAATAAGTAAATTAAATAACCTAGTGATGGGGACAGGATTTGGGGGAGGTGCAGGGAGGAGGAAAAACTGCTAATGTTGTGAGAGATTCTTATTCCCATCTCCCTGGACAGTCTAAAGGGTCACCGATTCCACAACTAAGAGCTAGTCAGGCCGGGTGTGGTGGCTCACACCTGTAATCCCAGCACTTTGGGAGGCCGAGGTGGGTAGATCACCTGAGTTCAGGAGTTCGAGACCAGCCTGGCCAACATGGTGAAACCCCATCTCTACTAAAAATACAAAAAATAGCCGGGCGTGGTGGTGCGCGCTGGTAGTCCCAGCTACTCAGGAGGCTGAGGCACGAGAATCACTTGAACCTGGGAGGCAGAGGTTGCAGGGAGCCAAGATCGCGCCACTGCACTCCAGCCTGGGTGACAGAGCGAGACTCCCTCTTTAAAAAAAAAAAAAAGGAGATGGTCATAGATGGCAGCCAAATTTCCCATCATCATTTCATCAGTTGCAGCCCTCTAGAGGTCAAAGGCAAATCCAAAGATTGACAAATTCATTTCCCTCTTCCACCTGATGAATGGATGCTCTGATCCAGGGTGGCCCTGTTCAGCCCTCTTGGCAGATGCCTTACCAGGCAAAACTGGCCCCTGGTCCCAGGCCCAACCCCAAAACACACTCAATGCTGCCCCCAACCCTTCTAGGCTTCTGAGCTGAGAAGAGCCGATATTTTAAATCCAAAATCCTGGTTGAAAAGTAGAAAACTAGACTGCATGGATACTAGGTGCAGTCAGGGGTTTGTGAGAACACAAATATATTTAATAAATTATGACATATCCAATGACAAAAGATTTGCAAACAACAAAGTACTTTGCAAATGGACATTATGGTAAATCAGGGTCACAGAACTTACTTAATAAAGGCTATTCATCAAAGATGTTTATAACTATAGTAGAACACACACAAGGTAATGAAGCAAACGGATTCCCAAAGCCCAGTTCTGGCTGACTTGGAACCTTCTCATGAGCTGCTCCTGCTGTCTAGAATGTTCCCTCCCCTCCTCTCCACTTGGCTGGTCCCAGTCATCTTTTGCTTCTTAGTTTCACTGTCACTTCTATGGAGAATGCTTCCCTGACACGCCCCAACAGGGCCATCCTCCTGTACTGATTAGGAAACTTGATTTCACTCTCAGAAACCTAGCTCTGCTATTGCTTACAGCAAGAAGGGCATTTTTTGAAGATCATAATTAGTAAACCAGGTGTACAATTAGGTCCAAATGCAGCTAACCCAGGCTCTGGAACAAGGCCATTGGTCCTCTATGTTGGTTCCCTTCTCAGGTCATCTTTCTCTACAAGGTAGCAAAGGGTGAAGCTGGGCACCAGCAGTCCTGGGCCTGTCACCTGCCTGCTTAACAACCCCAATGGACAAAGAGGATCTCTTTCCTCATTGTTTCAAAGAGAGCCCCATGGCAGAGTCTAATTAGCTCAGTTTGAGTCACACGTCTATCCCCAGGCCAATGACTGCAGGAATGGGGTAGAATATGTGACTTGGCCAGCCTAGGAATTGTGCCAATTGTGAGAAAACTTGGGAGCAGAGGCTGTGGAACAGCCTAGCATCTCAGGAAGCTGAAGCAAGAGAATCACTTGAGCCTAGGAGTTCAAGCCTGTAGGGTGCTATGATCACACCTATGAATAGCTACTGCACTCCAGCCTGGGCAATAGAGTGAGACCTGTGTCTGAAAACAAAATAAATTGTAAGATAACAGAAAATAAAGCCCTATTAAGACAAGGGGTCATGCCGGGCTCTTGTACTGCGGCAGCACCAACTCCAGCAGAGGGAAGGGGCTCAGTCAACACTCGGGTGGGTGCTGTCAGGCCTTCTCCCAACATTCCAGGGAAGGATGGGGTGAGCCAGGTGACCACTCTACCCTAGCAGCTCTCCAGACTCCATGGTGGAAGATGGAAGAAATAGTTAGGTGGCTCTGAGCCTGCTCACAGAGACTATTTTAGATGGGGGCCCCTTGCAAAAGCGCCACATCCTCTTCTTGCGTTTGCAGACAACACTCAGCTATTCAGACAACAGGAACTCCACGAGACTCGGGTAGAAAACAGCCAGAGTGAGGCTGGTGGCCAGGGGCCCACCTCAGCTTGGATTGGTGGGATCTGTTAGCAGGCACCTGCCTGAACTCCCAGACACCACTGTCCGTTCCCTGTGGACAGAGAGTATTGCTTCATTACATCACCATTGTAGATCAGAGGAGGAGGTGAAACCATTACTAACAGGAGTCATGGGAATGAGGGCTGATGCTTCCTGAGGGCTGCCTGTGGCTGGGCACTGCTCAGTCACTGCCTCAATCCTGACATGAATCCTGGGAGGGCGGGGTCTAGATAAGAGAGTGTTTGTTTGGTCACGTGTTGTAGATACCTACTTAATGTTGGCAAAGGGGAATCTATTGGTAAAAAAAAAGAATGTCTCATAGGTAGAACCAAAGGGCAGGAAATTCAATACCTCGCCAGCAACTGAACTGCACGTAACAATCACTCACTTTCCCACACATCCCGAGGCCACTTCCTTCCCCAGCTCAGCCGTGAGACCAGACCCGCTAAGGATGCTCAATCCAAACCCAAGTTCCAGGAGAGAGGAGCTGATTGGCCCAGCTGGGGTCAGTGGTCCACCCCTGGCCCAGTTGGGTCTGGCCAGGTGGGTGGGGTTATGTAGGAAGCTGAAGGCCTGAGGGACGCGTGACCAACTCAGCATTCCACTGGAGTCTATATGATCAAACAGCAAACTGTTTATCATGAATGCAAGATGTGAACAAGCTCACGACTGCTCTTGCAGACAGAAGGTTTCCTGGAGGCAATCACTCCCTGGGGCCAAGGCTATCTACTGCGACATCTAGAGCCTGTTGTTCGAGGAATGCAGTCTTACAAGCCTACTCTGGGCCAAGCAGCTGACCCCTTCTTCCACCCCAGTTCTCACTACCTCTTTTGCCTAATAAATACAGAGGGCTGTGTAAAGCTCAGAGCTCTTGTCCACTAGAGGCAAGGTGCCCCCTGACCCCTTCTTCCAAATATACTCTTTTGTCTCTTGCCTTTTATTTCCGTGTTCGCCCCCTTTGTTCAGTCGCCCTAGGTCGGTGCGGGTTACATAGTGGCGCCCCGAACAGTGACAGAATCGGGCTCACAACAGGGTTACATGGTACAAACACAACTGCTAGAGGCTACACTTGTGGGTCCAGTTCTCAGCAAAGGAGGGCTTAGCATAGGTGTACCCTGCATCCTCTATGGCTTGTATTAACTCCATGTGGCTTAGTGGGAGACACGAAGACACATTTCTAGTAAGTGGTGGGGCTGGAACTCACACAGGTCAGCCCGCTCGGAGCTCGTGTTTTAACCATGGTGCTACAAATTCTCTACTCAAACTTCTCTTTATACCTCCTCCCCACAGTGTTTTACATATATGCTTGATCTTGGGTTCAGTTCAATTCAATCCACATAGATTGTATATCTTTAGAGTACTGGGCCTTATGAGAAAAACAAAGATAAATAAGATCTACATGCTGGTCTCCAAGAGCTTCAGGGGTGTTTGGGGGCAGAGCTTTCAAGTCTCAACCAGCTCTTCCAGGAAACCAGCTGTGAGGAATGTTCCAGCCGGGGGTGCCTAACATGCTTTCTGAGTGTGCAGGTATTCATTTCAATTTGGAGCATCAGGCAAGTCCAAATAGAGAAGGCAAATATTTCAGTGACTTTAAATAGGGTCAGTTATGTCATTTTTTTGTTTGTTTATTTGTTTGTTTGTTTGTTTGAGACAAAGTCTAACTCTGTCGCCCAGCCTGGAGTGCAGTGGTGCAATCTCGACTCACTGCAATCTCCACCTCCCGGGTTCAAGTGATTCTCCTGCCTCAGCCTTCCAAGTAGCTGAGATTACAGGTGTGCCACTATGCCAGGCTAATTTTTGTATTTTTAGTAGAGACGGGGTTTCACCATGTTGGCCAGGCTGGTCTCGAACTCCTGACCTCAGGGGATCCACCCACCTCGGCCTTCCAGGGTGCTGGGATTACAGGCGTGAGCCACCGTGCCCAGACGATGTTATGTTTTTATGGAGATTTTGCTCATTATTTGTTACGGAGAATATGAGGCTCCCACATTCCCCCATGCCTTGGGCCTCCATACAGCTGAATCCTGTTCTGGTGTCCATGTCCTTGATATTGAAGAGATGTCCACAGAGATCCTTAGAAAGGCCAGGACAGATGTCTGGGTCATCACTCCACTATCTAAATGTGGGATCTTTCAGGCTGACTCCAGCAGAACAGGCAGCAGATCAGCTTCATGGTAGTTTTGGCCTTTTTTCTCACAAGTAGGGATTCAGGCCAATTAGAAGACCTCTAGATCTCTGTGTACTCAAAGGCTGGTATGAAACAGACACATTTTTGATAATGACCCATAAGGCAACCACACAGCCTTGAGGATCAGGTTAAAATGGAATAGTCAAATTCATAGAGACAGAAAGTAATATGGTAGTTGTCCAAGGCTGGGGGTATGGGAGTATGGTGAGTGACTGGTTAATAGGTACAGACTTTCAATCTTACAAGATATGAAGAGTTCTAGAGATGGATGGTGGTAATGATTGCACAACATGAGTGCACTTAATACTACATAACTATACCCTTAAAAATGACTAAGGTGGGCCGGGCGTGGTGGCTCATGCCTGTAATCCCAGCACTTTGGGAGGCCGAGGCAGGTGGATCACGAGGTCAGGAGATTGAGACCATTCTGGCTAACATGGTGAAACCCCGTCTCTACTAAAAATACAAAAAATTAGCCGGGCGCAGTGGCGGGCGCCTGTAGTCCCAGCTACTCGGGAGGCTGAGGCAGGAGACTGGCGTGAACCTGGGAGGCGGAGCTTGCAGTGAGCCGAGATCGTGCCACTGCACTCCAGCCTGGGTGACAGAGCGAGACTCTGTCTCAAAAAAAAAAAAAAAAAAAAAAAAAAAAAAAAAAAAAAAAAAAAAGACTAAGGTAACCTGGGCATGGCATACTTGTAGTCCCAGCTACTTAGGAGGCTGAGGCAAGAGGATCCTTTGAGCCCAGGAGTTCGAGACCAGCCTGGGCAATATAGTGGGATCCCATCTCTACCAAAAAAAAAAAGACTCAGATGGCAAATTTTATGTAACGTGTATTTTACCACAGTAATCAAAAATTGGTGAAAATATGAGATTATTGGGCCCACAGCTGATGTCTACTAGTGTGAGAGGCCTGGGTGCTGTCATTTCCTTAAACAAGTCTGTAAACCTTACAGATGACCTGATGAATGGGGAAATTGTGCCAGTAATCTGGTAAACAGTGACAAGCAAACAGCAAGCGCACGCACACACACACATCTCTTCTGCCCCCTAGTGAACATCTAGAATTCTAAACTCCATTTGCTTAAAATCTAAAGAGCAATGTACTATCATTTTACAATTCTTTAAATTGTTAAATCTCACAGGAAATATGTGCTCATTTTTTAAAAAATAAAATCAGGCCGGGTGCGGTGGCTCATGTCTGTAATCCCAGCACTTTGGGAGGCCGAGGCGGGCGGATCACGAGGTCAGGAGATTGAGACCATCCTGGCTAACATGGTGAAACCCCATCTCTACTAAAAATACAAAAAATTAGCCGGGCGTGGTGGCAGGCGCCTGTAGTCCCAGCTACTTGGGAGGCTGAGGCAGGAGAATGGCGTGAACCTGGCAGGCGGAGCTTGCAGTGAGCCGAGATCACGCCACTGCACTCCAGCCTGGGCAACAGAGCAAGACTTTGTCTCAAAATAAATAAATAAATAAATAAATAAATAAAATAAAAATAAATAAAAATAAAAATTAAAAATAAAATTAAAAATAAAATCAAACACATATATAAAATAAAAACTGGAAGTCCCACTTTCACTCATAAGAGTTAACAGTTTAATGTACATCTTTCCAGATTTTTCTCTATTAAAAATATATCCATGTACGCTTTTTTTTTTCTTTGAGACAGGGTCTTACTCTGTCTCCCAGGCTGGAGTGCAGTGGTGTGATCTTGGCTCACCGCAGCCTTGACCTTCTAGGCTCAAGCGATCCTCCTACCTCAGCCTCTTGAGTAGGTGGGACTACAGGTGTGCGCCACCATGCCTGGCTGATTTTTTAATTTTTTGTAGGGAGGGGGTCTCACTATGTTGCCTAGGCTGGTCTCAAACTCCTGGGCTCAAGGTGATCTTCTTTCCTCCGCCTTCCAAACTGCTGGGATTACAGGTGTCAGCCGCTGTGCCCAGCCCCATGCACACATTTATGGTGTTTTGTATGAATGAGTTTAAATGGTACACATCAGTTAGCAAGACAGAGGCTGGCTAAATGCTCACCAAATCTATTTTTGGGGCACACAGCTGGACTCGTCTCCCAGTTAGGTGTGGCCAGGTGCTCTGAACAATAGATGAGGGTGAAATAATGATTGCCACTTCCGTGCCCCACTCATAAATTTCTCCAGCACCTGATGGTTGACATTTTCCTTTCTCTTTCAGCTTTGATGATGTGTGGAGATAGAAGGAGCCTAGGTCCCTGAATGACTGTCTGGGGTAGAGCCGCCCCCTCCCAGTGGACCTACTTTGGGCTGTGACATCAGAAAGAAATGTAGCTTTACTGGATTTGTTATAGCAGTTCACCTATCCTGTCCAATGCAATCTAAGACTTGCATTTTTCATTAAGTATATTAATATATTGAACATCTTTCATGCTAGCAAGTATAAGCCTATTGGATATTTTAAGTCATTCAAGTGTATGAATGTATAAAAATGTATTTGATCATTCTCTGCTTTTTTTTTTTTTTTTGAGACTAAGTCTCACTCTATCGCCCAGGCTGGAGTACAGGGATGTGATCTCAGCTCACTGCAATCTCTGCCTCCCAGGTTCAAGCAGTTCTCTTGCCTCAGCCTCCCCAGTAGTTGGGATTACAGGCGTGCACCACCACGCTCAGCTAATTTTTGTATTTTTAGTAGAGATGGGGTTTCACTGTGTTGGCCGGGCTGGTCTCAAACTCCTGACCTCAAGTGATCTGCCTGGCTTGGCCTCCCAAAGTGCTGGGATTACAGGCATGAGCCACTGCGTCCAGCCTCTCATTCTCTTCTTGATGGATACTTATATTAAACTCCTGGGCCCAAGCGATCCTCCCATCTCAGCCTCCGGAGTAGCTGTGACCACAGGTGTGTGCTGCCGCACCCAGTTAATTTTTTAAAAAGTTTTTTTGGGGCTGGGGGTGGTGGCTTACTCCTGTAGTCCCAGCACTTTGGGAGGCTGAGGCAGGCAGATCACTTCAGGTCAGGAGTTCGAGACCAGCTTAGCCAACATGACGAAACCCCATCTCTACTAAAAATATTTAATATAAAAATTAGCCAGGTGTGGTGTCTCATGCCTGTAGTCCCAGCTACTTGGGAGTCCGAGGCACAAGAATCGTTCAAACCCAGGAGGGGTTCTCCTCCAGGGTTTTCTCTCAGGAAATGTCACCTCTTTCCACAGGTTACTCAATTCAGAAGCCTGGGCTTGGGATCCACTGTCACCAACACCTCGAGCCATTGGTCTGCCCTCCAGCCCCACCTCCACTCTCCTTGGGTGTCAGGCCTCGTGATCTTCTGCCTGAGTCACTCCTAATGGGGCTCCACCTCCTTTCTTCTCACAATTTCTTCTCCAAATTGTGGCCAGAGGGGTCTTCATGCTAAACCGACAGTGGTATCACTCTCCAGGTTAAAATGCCTTCAGGGCCAGGCGCGGTGGCTCCCGCCTGTAATCCCAGCACTTTGGGAGGCCAAGGCGGGTGGTTCATAAGGTCAGGAGTTCAAGACCAGCCTGACCAATACGGTGAAATCCCATCTCTACTAAAAATAAAAAAAATTAGCCTGGTGTGGTGGTATGCACCTGTAATCCCAGCTACTCGGAAGGCTGAGGCAGGAGAATTGCTTGAACCTGGGAGGCAGAGGTTGTAGTGAGCTGAGATCGCACCACTGCACTCCAGCCTGGGTGACAGAGAGTCCATCTTGGGGGGGAAAACAAGCTTTCAGATACTCCCCATCTTCACAGCACAGAGCCCAGTCCTATGGTGGTCTTCAGTCTCCTCTCTCCCACCAACCTCACGAGGCTCACGCTCTTCCTCCTGGTCATGCTTAACCAGTGGAGCTCTCTGTGCTGGGCCCACCCCCATCACCTTCCCATCTTCCATCATTGTCCCGATGGTCCCTCCTGTAGGGCTCACTTTAAAGGTAACCTTTGAGAAACCTATCATGTCATGCAGAAGGAGCAGCATTGGAGGAAAAAAGAAAGAACGAGAAACCTATCACTTCAGCTCATCACTCAACCAAAACAATATTTTATCAAGCAGAGTCTAATTCATGCCCAATAAACAGCATCCATTGAAAGTATACAACGTGATGTGTTTTGGCGGATGTCTACACCCATGAAATCACTGCTGTCAGTCAAGATGCAGAACATTTTCTTTCCTCCAAGGGTCTCCTTGTGCCCCTGGGTCCCTAAACCTTCTTCCACCACCAGCCCCAGACAACCACAGCGGTGTTTTCTGTCACTGTAGATGAGTTTGCATCTTTTAGAATGTGACATAATGGAACCATCCAGGTGTGTCCTTTTTTGGTTATATGTCAATTTTAGAATTTCTTTTTTTTTTTTTTTTGAGACGGAGTCTCACTCTGTCACCCAGGCTAGAGTGCATTGGTGTGATCTTGGCTCGCTGCAACCTCTACCTCCCCGGTTCAAGCAATTCTCCTGCCTCGGGCTTTTGGGTAGCTGGGACCACAGGTGTGCGCCACCATGCCCGGCTAATTTTTGTATTTTTAGTAGAGGCGGGGTTTCACCATGTTGGCCAGGTGTGTCTCGAACTCCTGACCTCAGGTTACCCCCTGCCTTGGCTTCCCAAAGTGCTGGGATTACAGGCGTGATCCACTGAGCATGGCCTGGAATTTCTTGGGTTGAGCATCTCCCCCAGCATAGCATAAGATACACAAGGACAGTGTCTGTCTTATGCACATCTGTGCACAGGGCCTGGTACATAGTAGGTGCTGAGTGAATACATGTTGAGTAGATCCGTAAATTCTCCACTCTTTGTTTATCGGGGGCAGGAGCTATTTGGATCAGGAAGATCTTGAGTCTTTTTAGCAAGCTGAGTGACAAGGCGCTTGCTAGCAGAAAAGTACCTTCTGGCTGGGTGGTGTGGCTCACCATGTAATCCCAGCACTTTGGGAGGCTGAAGTGGGAGGGTCATTTCAGCCCGGCAGTTTGAGACCAACCTGGGCAACATGGAGAGATCTCGTCCTACAACAAAGTTTAAAAATTGGCCAAGTGTAGTGGCACATACCTGTGGTCCTAGCTACTTGGGAAGCTGAGGCAGGAGGGTCTCGTGAGCACAGAAGGTCAAGGCTGCAGTAAGCGCTGATCACGCCACTGCACTCCAGCCTGGGTGACAGAGCAAGACTCTGTCTCAGAAACAAAACAAAACAAAACAAAACAAAACAAAACAAAACAGTATCTTCTTGGACATCCGTGTTTCAGGGGTCTAGTATCCCTGGAAACCCAGGCTTCCCCTCCCACTCACACCCCCTGTGGCAGCTGCTAGGCCCACAGTTCTCAGCATGAGGCGTCCTTTTTTTTTTTTTTTTTTTGAGACAGCATCTCGCTCTGTCACCCAGACTGGAGTGGAGTGCAGTGGCATGATCTCGGCTCACTGCACGCTCCACCTCCCTGGTTCATGCCATTCTCCTGCCTCAGCCTCCTGAGTAGCTCAGACTACAGGCACCTGCCACCACGCCCAGCTAATTTTTTGTATTTTTAGTAGAGACGGGGTTTCACCATGTTAGCCAGGATGGTCTCAATCTCCTGACCTTGTGATCCACCCACCTAGGCCTCCCAGAGTGTTGGGATTACAGGCGTAAGCCACTGCACCTGGCTGAGGCATCCTTTTGAAAATCAACTACTTTTTTTAATAATAAAAAAATTTACATTGTGGTAAAATACACATAACGTAAAATTTACTATCTTAACCCTTTGTTTTTTTTGAAGAGGCAGGGTCTCCCTCTGTCACCCAGTGGTGTGATCATGGTTCACTGCAGCCTCAAACTCCTGGGCTCAAGTGATCCTCCTGGCTCAGCCTCCAGAATAGCTGGGATTACAGACACGTGCCGCTGGGCCCAGCTATCTTAGCCATTTTTAAGTGTGCCCTCCAGTGGCATTAAGCACACTCACATTGTTATGCAACCATCACCACCATCCATCTCCAGAATGTTTTCATCATCTTAAACTGTAACTCTGTCCCCATGAAACACTGACTCCCCATTTTCCCCTTCCCCAGCTCCTGGCAACCTACATTCTATATCCTGTGTCTACCAATTTGACTATTCTAGCACCTCATATCAGTGGAATCATCCAGTATTTGTCCTTTTGTGACTGGCTTATTTCACTTAACACACATCCTCAAGGTTCTCCTGTGCTGCAGCATGCGTCACAGTGCCACTCCCTTTTCAAGGCTGAATAATATTCCTTTGTATGGATGAATGGACCACATTTTGTTTATCTATTTGGACACTCGGCTTTTGGCTACTGTAAATAATGCTGTTATGAATATGGGTGTATAAATATCTCTTTGAAACTTTACTTTCAATTCTTTTGGGTATATACACAGAAGTAGAATTACTGGATCGTATGATAATTCTATTTTTAATTAATTAATTTGTTTTTTGAGACGGAGTTTCACTCTTGTTGCCCAGACTGGAGTGCAATGGCACAATCTCAGCTCACCGCAACCTCCGCCAACTGGGTTCAAGCGATTTTCCTGCCTCGGCCTCCCAAGTAGCTGGGATTACAGGCACCACCACACCTGGCTAATTTTTTGTATTGAGTGGAGATGGGGTTTCGCCATGTTGGTCAGGCTGGTCTTGAACTCCTGACCTCAGGTGGTCCACCCACCTCAGCCTCCCAAAGGGCTGGGATTACAGGTGTGAGCCACTGTGCCCGACCTTAATTAATTAATGTATTGAGGCAGGGTCTCACTCTGTTGCTCAGGCTGGAATGCAGTGGCATGATCCTGGCTCACTGTAACCTCAACCTTCTAGGCTCAAGCGATCCTCCTGTCTCAGCCTCCTGAGTAGCTAGGACTGACTATAGGCATGTGCCACTACACCCAGCTAACTTTAAAATTTTTTAAATTTAAAAATTTCGTTATGTTGCCCGGGCTGGAGTATGTTGCCCAGGCTGGGTCTCAGCCTCCTGGGCTCAGGTGATCCTTCCACCTTGGCCTCCCAGAGTGATGAGATTACAGGCATGAGCCACCACGTCTGGCAGATTATTCTATTTTTAATTATTTCAGATACCACAGTACTGTTTTCTCAGCGGCTGCATCAATTTACATTTCCATCAACAGTGCATCAGGATTTCATTTTCTCCACATCCTCATCAACACTTTCTTTTCTTTTTTTTTTCTTTTTTTTTTTTTTTTTTATGAGACAGAGTCTTGCCCTGTTGCCCAGGCTGGAGTGCAGTGGCATGATCTCAGCTCACTACAACCTTTGCCTCCTGGGTTCGAATGATTTTCCTGCTTCAGCCTCCTGAGTAGCTGGGACTACAGGCATGTGCCACCACGCCCAGCTATTTTTTGCATTTTTAGTAGGGATGGGGTTTCACCATATTGGCCAGACTGGTCTCAAGCTCCTGACCTCCAGTGATCTACCCACCTCAGCCTCCCGAAGTGCTGGGATTACAGGCGTGAGCCACCGCGCCCAGCCTATTTTCTGCTGTTTTATAATAGCCATCCTAATGGATGTGAGGGAAAGCCGACTTCTGAGAACTGGCTTTTGTTTTGTTTTGTTTTGTTTTGTTTAGTTTAGTTTTGTGTTTTTTGAGATGGAGTCTTGCACTGTCGCCCAGCCTGGAGTGCAGCAGTGCGATCTTGGCTCACTGCAACCTCCGCCTCCTGGGTTCAAGTGATTCTCCTGCCTCAGCCTCCCAAGTAGCTGGGATTACAGGCAACGGCCCCTACGCCCGGCTAATTTTTTGTATTTTTAGGAGAGACAGGGTTTCACCATGTTGGCCAGGCTGGTCTCAAACTCCTGACCTCCAGTCATCTACCCACCTCAGCCTCCTGAAGTTCTGGGATTACAGGCGTGAGCCACTGCACCCAGCCTATTTTCTGCTGTTTTATAATAGCCATCCTAATGGATGTGAGGGAAAGCCAACTTCTGAGGACTGGCTTTTGTTTTGTTTTGTTCTTTGAGATGGAGTCTCGCTCTGTCACCCAGGCTGGAGTGCAGTGGCGCGATCTTGGCTCACTGCAACCTCCGCCTCCTGGGTTCAAGTGATTCTCCTGCCTCAGCCTCCCAAGTAGCTGGGATTACAGGCAACGGCCACCACACCTGGCTAATTTTTTGTATTTTTAGTAGAGACGGGGTTTCACCATGTTGGCCAGCCTGGTCTCAAATTCCTGACCTCATGATCCTCCCACCTCGGCCTCCCAAAGTGCTGGGATAACAGGCGTGAGCCACCACACCCGGCCGAGGACTGGCTTTTTACCTCTGCAATGTCTCCTCCCCCCAGAACCCTGGTCCCTTAAATCACACAAATCTCAATGCTGGGAAATCTCAGCTCTGTCTCAACAGCGATTCCTCAGCCTGAGAGCCATCAATGGAAGCCTGGGGCCGTCTGGACTTTTCAGTGTTAAATATGCATTCTCTCCATGCTTGTGAGAGCCTGTTCTAGACGCACCTGGCCGGGGGGCTGCCTGCTGACTCCAGCTCCTGCTTTGTTCCTCCCCCTGCCCCCACCACTGGGAATTCCAGAACAACAAGGCCTCTTGCTCACCTGGATAGCGAGGAGGGGCTGAGAAGACGCCTGGTTGCTGGCTCCGGTTGGCACCCAGCCTTGTTCTTCTCTCTTCTGCCAACTGCTTTTAATTTTATACTCTCTTGTCTTATTTTTATGAGCACTTGTGAGACATGCTTAATTGTTTGTCTTCTCCCAGAACAAGGAGGGTATAAATAAATAAATGAGAAATTCACAAGAGAGTGGGCTGGGCACAGTGGCTCACGCCTGTAATCCCAGCACTTTGGGAGGCCAAGGCGGGAGGATTGCTTGAGCCCAGGAGTTCGAGACCAGCCTGGGCAACATGGTGAAACCCCTTTTCTACTAAAAATACAAAAAACTAGCCAGGTGTTGTGGCGTGCGCCTGTAGTCCCAGCTACTTGGGAAGCTGTGGTGGGAGGATCATCTGAGCCCAGGAAGTCGAGGCTGCAATGAGCCATGATTGTGCCACTGTCCTCCAGCCTGGGAGACAGCAAGACCCTGTCTCAAAAAAAAAAAAAAAAAAGAGTGGTCTGTGGATATAACTAGCAAGGTCTCTTCTACACGCGGACTTAATAAAAAATCGACTCTTCAAAGTCTCCAGGATGTAACCACCACCAGCCTTACAGGTGACTTCACATCCCCTCTTCCTCACCCACCAGCCCCGATGTGGGTGGCATTAGGACCAGCTCTTCCTCCCCAGGGCCCTGCTGCAGTACAGTGAGGTCTTACTGAGTGCTGTGATGTCAGCTTTTGCTGTCACATGGTGGCGCTGTGGAGCCCTGCGTGGCTTTCGGCTCCCCACCTCCTCGCTCCGGCTGCTGTGAATGAACTGCAGGTGCTGTGTGTTTTCTGCTTCTCCCTTCCTCCTGGAGATTCTTTCCTGGGCTTTTTTTCCTGCTCCTATGCCACTGGCACCTTGTGGCCGCCCCCCCCCCCAACCACCCTCACCTTGTCACAGTAATACTTGTTACTGTGTTAGTTCTTTGTTTGTTTTTTAGAGATGGGGTCTTCCTATATTGCCCAGGCTGGACTCGAACTCTGGGGCTCAAGTGATCCTCCTGTCTACAGGTGCATGTCACCACACCTGGCTAATTTTTGTATTTTTTGTAGAGACAAGGTTTCAGCATGTTGCCCAGGCTGGTCTCGAACTCCTGGATTCAAGCCATCCACCCGGGTTGGCCTCCCAAAGTGCTGGGATTACAGGCATGGGCCATCGCACCTGGTGCTTTTTAGTGTTTGTATTGAATAATATTGTTATCGATTTTTTTCGGTTAACAGAAAAAGTTAGAAGGAGAAAGTAAAAACCACTCCGAATCCCACAGTTCTGTGATAACCACTGTTAACATTTTGGCAGAGAGGCTTTCAGACCAGTTTCCCAGAGTACGCTCCCTGGAACACTAGCCCTGAGAAATGCTCCTTAGGGGGAAAACGTGGGGAATCCCTTAGTCAAAAGATCCCGGGAAGAGCCGCATTCTTCTCATTGAGCATCACACATCAGCAAAGTAAAGGCACAGAGTTCAGCTTTGCCCAAATCAGTGAGCCCCTCAGAATCTTCCATGGGAACCCCTGGGATTGCAGCTTGTAAAATGCTATTTTAAGTTCTTTGCTATGAGTGGACCCCATGTATATGCACAAGGCACATTCTTAAAAAAAAAAAAAAAAAGGTTTGGCCAGGCGTGGTGGGCTCACGCCTGTAATCCCAGCACTTTGGGAGCCCGAGGAGGGTGGATCACCTGAGGTCAGGAGTTCGAGACCAGCCTGGCCAACATGGCGAAACCCCATCTCTACTAAAAATACAAAAAACAAAACTAGCCAGGCGTGATGGCACACACCTGTAATCCCAGCTACTTGAGAGGCTGAAGCAGAAGAATTGCTTGAACCCAGGAGGTGGGGGTTCTAGTGAGCCGAGATCGTGCCACTGCACTCCAGCCTAGATGACAGTGCGAGACTCCATCTCAAAAAAAAAAAAAAGTTTTACAAAAATTAGAATATACCAAATAACCCTCTTGTAATATTTTTTCTACTCAATATGTTGGCATTTTTTCATATTAATAAGTATAGCTGTATATCATCAATATAGTTTTAAAATTAATTTTTGATAGTACATGCACATGAATAGAGAACCCAGAAAGAGAGCTCTACGAGTATGCCCAGCTAATTTGTTGACAATGATGCAAAAAGAATGCAATAAAGTGGCTCATGCATGTAATCCCAGCACTCTGGAGGCTGAGGCAGGTGGATCACTTGAGCCCAGGAGAGTTCAAGACCAGCCTGGACAACATGGTGAAATCCTGTCTCTACTAAAAAAAAAAAAAGAAAAGAAAAAAGAAAAGATTAGCCAGGTGTGATGGCATGCATCTGTAGTCCCAGCTCTCGGGACATTGAGGTGGGAAGATCACCTGAGCCCAGGAGGCGGAGGTTGCAGTGAGCTGAGATCTCTCCACTGCACTTCAGCCTGGGTGACAGAGTGAGATCCTGTCTCAAAAAAAAAAAAAAAAAAAAAAAAAAAGAAAAAACAATAAAAAGGAACGAACTATGATCTATTGATACATGAAACAATCTGATGAATCTTCAGAGAATTATACTGAGTGAGAAGAGTCATCCTGTAAAGGTAATATATTGTATTTTTCCATTTATATATAATTCTTGAAATGACACAATTGTAGAAACGGGAAACAGATTAGTGGTTGCCAGCAGCTAAAGAGGGGGCAGGAGTGGGAGAGAAGTGGGGTGGCTAGAAAAGGAAACCAGGGCGGATAGTTGTGATGATCGAATGTTTTGGATCTTGACTGTATCAGTGTCAGTAGCCTGGTTGAGATAGCTTTCTATTGTCTTGCAAGCTGCTATCAATGGGTAAAGGGTACCAGAGATCTCTCTGTATTATTTCTTACAACTGCATGTGAATCTACAATTATCTCAAAGTAAAACTTATTTTAAAAAAATCACAAAAGTATTTAGATGATGAAAAGTACATTTCTTCCCCTCCCTGGGAGCAACCACTGTGCTCAGTCTCTCCATCCTTGCTTCTAAAAGCTGTGCTGTATTTCTCTGGGTGGCTGTGCCATATTTTATTGGATCAATGCCATATTGTTAGATGTTTAGGTTGTTCCTAATTTTCACCATTACAAACTGTATTATTATGAGCATCCTTGTATATATCTTTGCTAGAAGTGAGATTTCTGGGTGGAGAAATATGTATGTGTGAAATGCTGAAATGTTGATACATGTGGCCATATTGTCCTCTACAAAGATTGTATCAATTTACACTTTGCCTGAGCGGTTTATCTTCTGACTCTAACAAGCTATTAATACTTTTCTTCCCCACTAATCCACACTTTAAATTAAGAAAGGGTACCACCAATAAAAATCTTGGAGAAACCTTTCTCTGTAGTATTACACACAAACCAGGGAGTCGGGATGGGAAACAAAGGCATAGCTTCCGTATTTATCGAATTTCTAAAAGGCAAATACATCACCTCATCGCATAGACTTTTTTTTTTAAACAGTGAAAGGAAAACGCCATACACTTTACAAGATCAACCATGCCTAGTTTTGTTATAACATTTCCTTTAATCTTCACCTAAAAGAAGCCTTCTTGAAATCCTTTCTATCTTCACTTCCACTGCTCTGAAAAATAAACTCTGTAACCTCTTATTTCCTAGAGAGGAAAAAAGTTGATTTTCACAGTCTAACATGCCCAGCTTAGAACGAAAAAAATTGAACAGTCAATGCCAGACGGAGCATGAGCTCCATGGTGGGGAGCTGTGTTCTGGACCAGAAAGTTCTGGTTGTAACTCACTGCACTGTCACTTATGGGTTAGGGGATTTTGGGCAAGTTATTTAAATGCTCTTAAACCTGTGCTTTTGAGTGTAAAATGGGGATAATAATGGTGATTGACCTTGTAAGACAGGGAATATATGCTTCTACTACAGCTTCCAGGAAGGATGAGCCAGGTAGAGGTAGGGGTCTGCAGAACATCCAGGCAAGAGAAAGGTCAGGACTGGACAGTGGAGCTCCTGACGGCCACCCAGGGCCAGCCATCTAAGCCACTGTCACCAAAGCCACTATAAGCCAGACATTTACTAGCTGTGTGGCGTGCACCACGCCATGCTTCAGTTGCTTCCTCCTCTAAATGAAATTGATAGTAGTACCTGACTTCTAACTTGTTACAAAGCTGAGAAGGGAAAGTCTGCAAAGCACTTAGTTGAGTAAGCAATTAAGGGAGGGTGCAATCTGATGATTCATGGAGGCAGCTGCTCTTGCATTTGTATCAATAAAAAGGCTGCTACCTCCCAGACAGGAGAAGCAGGCAGAGGCAGTTTTGGCCAAAAGACTCCAAACCCCCAACTCTTTCCCTGACTCAAATAACCTTAATGCTCTTAGAGTCTGCCTTTCTGCAAACTCCACAAATCAGAATCTGCACACACAGCTTTTTTCCTTTAATTAAAATAGCTCTTATTGCTTTTTTTCATATCACAAAAGTTATAACACATTTATTGTAGAAAAATGCAAAAATACAGACAAGGAAAAAGAAGGGAGGAAGGGGAAGCTACAATCCTATTCTGTAGCTTCGAACTAGGAAATTAAGTGTGTTTCATAAAAGGAAGAGGTCTAGGAGGACCCTCTGGGGTTTTGAAAACAATGAGCAGAAGCCAGTATGCCTGGGACTTCTCTGTACCTGTACTTCACCAGCATTATCTCAGTGAGACCCTACAGCAATCCTAAGTCCACCTGATCACAGCCCTAAGTCCCCTCTGCTCAGAGCTGCTGCCAGCAATGAGCCCGGCACCCCTCCCCTTCCTTCGTTGTCTCTGGGTTTTTATTTCTAGGTTGTTCTTAAAGTTTTTCTTTGATTTTTTATTTTTTTTCGAGACAGAGTCTTGCTCTGTTGCCTAGGCTGGAGTGCAATGGTGTGAGCTTGGCTCACTGCAACCTCTGCCTCCTGGGTTCAGGCGATTCTCCAGCCTCAGCCTCCCAAGTAGCTGGGATTACAGGCGCATGCCACTGTGCCCGACTAATTTTTCTATTTTTAGTAGAGACGGGATTTCACCATGTTGGCCAGGCTGGTCTTGAGCTCCTGACCTCATGATCCACCTGCCTCGGCCTTCCAAAGTGCTGGGGTAACAGGCATGAGCCACTGTGCCTGGCCTGATTTTTTTTTTTTTTTTTTTGAGAGATGGGATCTTATTCTTTCACCCAGGCTTGAGTGAAGTGGCACAATCATAGCTCACGGCAGCCTCAAGGTCCTGGGCTCAAGTGATCCTCCTGCTTCAACCTCTCAAATACCTGGGACTACAGGTGCATGCCACCACGCCTGGCTAATTTTTTGTTTGTTTGTTTTAATGTTGTAGAAACGGAGTCTCACTATGTTGTCCAGACTGGTCTCAAACTCCTGATCTAAAATGATCCTCCCACCTTGGCCTCCCAAAGTGCTGGCATTACAGGCACGGGCTACCATGCCTGGCCATTTTTAAGGTTAGCAGACAAACAATAAAGCAGGATAGTCTTACATGTACAGCTTGGTGAGATTTTACCCCTAGATAAACACCATCCAGAATAAAATCTAGAACCTTCCCAGTATCCCCCTCCCCCACCCACCAAGGCACCCTTATACTGCTTCCAGTCAGAAGGCCTCACCCTGCTGGAGGTAACCATTATTCTGATGTGTATCGCCATAGATACCTTAGGCCTTTTTTTTTTTTTTTTTTTTTTTTTCGAGATGGAGTCTCACTCTGCTGCCCCAGCTGGAGTGCAGTGATGTGATCCCAACTCACTGCAACCTCCGCCTCCCGGGTTCAAGTGATTCTCCTGCTGCAGTCTCCCGAGTAGCTAGGATTCCCGGGCCCACCACCATGCCCAGCTAATTTGTTTTTTTTGTTTGTTTTTTTTTTGTTTGTTTTTTTTTGATGGAGTCTTGCTCTGTCGCTCAGGCTGGAGTGCAGTGGCATAATCTTGGCTCACTGCAAGCTCTGCCTCCTGGGTTCACACCATTCTCCTGCCTCAGGCTCCCGAGTAGCCAGGACTACAGGCACCCGCCACCAAGCCCAGCTAATTTTTTGCATTTTTAGTAGAGACGGGGTTTCACCGTGTTAGCCAGGATGGTCTCAAACTCCCAACCTCAGGTAATCTGCCCGCTTTGGCCTCCCAAAATGCTGGGCTTACAGATGTGAGCCACCACATCTGGCCCTTAGACCTGGTTTTGAACTTCATGTAAGTGGGAAGTTTGGGTCTAGCATCTTTTGCTCCATACTATGTCTGACATCTGCTTATGCTATTACCGTAGTTCTTTTTTTTTTTTTTTGAGACAGGGTCTCGTTCTGTTGCCCAGGTTGGAGTGCAGTGGTGCAATCATAGCTCACTGCAGCCTTGATCTCCTGGGCTCCAGCAATCCTCCCACCAGCCTCCTGACTAGCTGGGACCACATGTGCATGCCACCACACCTGGCTAATTGAAATGTTTTTATTTTATTTTTTTATAGAGACAGGCTGTCACTAGGTTGCAGGCAGGTCTCAAACTCCTGGCTTCAACTGATTCTCCTACCTTGGTCTCCCAAAGTGCTGGGATTACAGGAATGAGCCGCTGTGCCTGGCCAACATGTAGTTCTTTTTCACTGCAGTATAATATTTCATTATATGAACTATATATGACTACCACAATTTGTTCATCCAATCTACTCTTTTTTTTTTTTTTTTTTTGAGACAGGGTCTTTCTCTGTCATCCAGGCTGGAATGCAGTGGTGTGATTTAGGTTCAGTACAGCCTCCACCTCCTGGGCTCAAGTGATCCTCCCACCTAGGCCTTCCAAAGGGCTGGGATTACATGCATGGGCCACTATGCCTGGCCCATTCTGCTATTGATGAGCATTTGGGTTGCTTCCAGGTTTGGGTCATTACTAATACAGCAACCATAAACATCCCTGTGCCTGTCTTTTTTAAGTGTGTGTGTGTGTGTGTGTGTGTGTGTGTGTATGTCCAGATTTCCGTGTGCACACCCAGGCATGGAGCTGCTGGGTCTCAGGGCACATGTATATTTCACTTCAGCAGCCAAACATTTCCTGAGTCGTTGTACCAATTTACACTCCTGTGTGTTTCCTTGGCTTTAAAAACTTGCAATGATGATGTTGGTAGCTGCAAAACACACACCAGGAAAGAGTCCCAACATTTCCCTAAATCCCCACTCAGTGTGGCATTGAATTTGTAGGTGACAGGGTACACAGTTTGCACTGGAATCCTGCCTTGCTGTTTTCCTTCTCACCTATTTATGCTGCCTTCACATGATCCTGACACAGGAGCACACACACGCACTCACACACACGCACACACGCTTGCACACTTGGGCCAAGGCATCTACGTGGGGATTCCACGTTGCGCCTTGACCCAGCCACTGGGAGGGCGGCACTGGTTTCGCCCTGGCCCCGGCGCCTGGCTAGGCCTGTAGGCTGCCCCGGCAGTGGCTGCCATCTGTTCCAGGCGGGGCGGGGCCATCGTGTGGACGACGTGGGGTGTCCGCAGCGCCGGGGTGAGGAGGGGCTAGGATGGAACAGTGGCGGCCAAGGGCGCGCGGCCCTCTGGCGGGCCTGGCTGCCGGCGGAGTTCTGCCATGCGGCCACCAGAGGGCGGCACAGTCCCACAGAAGACAGCCCCGCCCGGCGCCTCCCAGGAGCCACCCGGGAGGACCTGAGAGCCAGCGGCGGACCTCGCTGGGAACTGGGTGGGTCGTGGGGAGCCCACGTTCCCCTCGCCTCACACCCTGCTGTGGTGGACTGAGCCCGGGGAAGGAAATCCAGAAACCACTTGGCTTCTGTCACTCACAAGCTCTGGGACGTTGGGAAAATGATTTGGCCTCTCTGTGCCTCAGTTTCTGCACCTGTAAAATGGCAACACCGTAATGATAATGGCCCACCCCCCTGGGGTCCTATCCCGAGGCTCAGTACCGATAACAGTGTTAGAACTATGATGACGGCCATTGCTGGGAACATTGCAGAGCTAAAAACTAAAATAAAAATAAAAAATAAAATAATGATGATGGCCAGGCATCCTGGTCCACGTCTGTAATCCCAGAACTTTGGGAGACCGAGGTAGGAGGATCACTTGAAGCCAGGCGTTTCAGACCAGCCTGGGCAACATGACCAGACCCCATCTCCTCAAACAATACAAAAATCAGCCAGATGTGGTGGCTCGGGCCTGTAATCCCAGCTACTCAACAGGCAGAAGTTGGAGGATCCCTTGAGCCTGGGAGGTCGAGGCTGCGGTGAGCCGTGATCACGCCACTGCACTCCAGCCTGGGCGACAGAAAAGACCCTGTCTCGAAATAATAAAATAATAATAATGATGATGATGATAATAATAATAACTATGGTCTATTGAGTGCTTACTTCATGCCAGACGCGGGGCTGGTGCTTCCAAAGCCTTCACTCATTTAATTCTCACAGCCACCCTCTGAAGATGTGAAGGCAGGTGGGATGGGAGAGCTTCAGCGTCGGTGCCATCTCCACCCTGAGCATGTCCCCAGCTGTCCTGCCCTCCCTGGGTGTGTCTTTCTCTTCTGTCTTCAGATCACAGCCCACCCCAGAGGGTACTGTGATTATCCCCACCAGACAGATGGGCAGACAGAGGGCAGAGGGGCAAGCCAGCCTGCCCCAGCTGTAGGAGCCAGGCTGGGGCTCCCCGACTCCACCCCACACCGTCTGGCCAGAGCACCTGGTCAGAGTTGCTGGACAACAGTCAGTGGGCATTGGTAAGGCCCGAGGCACCATGCAGATATGTGGCTGTCATCTCCCCGGGAGAAGTGAGCATGGAGTTGGCCGGCCTGGGGCTCCATTCCACCCCCTCAGCCACTGCTGCTTCCTCTGTAGTGTGAGGGGTAGAAATCAGTGCTTTGCCACCAGGTGCGGTGGCTCATACCTGTAATGCCAGCACTTTGGGTGGCCGAGCTGGGCGGATCACCTGAGGTCAGGAGTTTGAGACCAGCCTGACCAATATGATGAAACCCCATCTCTACTAAAAATACAAAAATTAGCCAGGTGTGGTGGTACACATCTGTAATCCCAGCTACTCAGGAGGCTGAGACGGGAGAATCGCTTCAACCTGGTAGGCAGAGGTTGCAGTGAGCCGAAATCGTGCCTTTGCACTCCAGCCTGGGCAACAAAAGTGAAACTCCGTCTCAAAAAAAAAAAATTTCTTTTGCATTTTTAGTTGAGACGGGGTTTCACTATGTTGGCCAGGCTGGTCTCGAAGTCCTGACCCCAAGTAATCTGCCTGCCTCGGCTTCCCAAAGTGTTGGGATCACAGGCATGAGCCACTGCCCAGTCTGCAATTTTCTTTTGAAGAAAATAGTCCTGATGGTAACCTTTTATTTTTATTTTTAATTAATTAATTATTTTTTTTGAGACAGGGACTCACTCTGTTGCCTGGGCTGGAGTGCAGTGGTGCAATCACACCTCACTATAGCTTCGACCTCCCGGGCCTAAGCATTCCTCCCACCTCAGCTTCCCAAGTAGCTGGGACCACAGGCCTCAGCCACCATGCCTGGCTCTGATGCTAAAATTAACCAAAAATAATGTTTAACGCCACCAGACTAGATAATTCCTGAGGCCCTTCCTAGTTCTAAATATTTTATGAAAACTTTCTTGAACCTATTTGTATTTTTGGCTGGTAAGTTCAATTTACCTTTACCCTACTGGGTCCAGACTTCCTCCTCCTCCTTGTCCTCCTCCTCCTTTTTTCCCTCCTCTTCCTCCTTCTCCACCTACCCTTTCCTCCTCTCTCCTCCTCCTCCTTCTCTTCTTCTATCTGAGAGATTATCTTTCTCAAGTTTTAGGCACTCACCATTCCAATCCCAGTTTTGGCATTCCCAGGTTTTTTGTTAAGTCTCTGTCCTACCCTGCTTAGCTCTGTTTCTGTGGCCTCACTTGTGCCTGTCCTTCCCGCTCAGTTTCCTTTCTGGATCAGCATTCTAGCTTTTCCCTCTGGAGTTTTCCATGAGACTACCCTTTACCATTATCTATCTGGTCCTTCCCTAGACAAGATCTGTGGCATTTCTCAAAGAAGACGGCAACTAGGAGACCACATGGCATTCTGGGAATGGGTCACCCGGGTCTGGGAGGAATGAGTTTGTTATTAACAAGTGAGAGAGAAAAGAGCTGTTCCCGTGACGAAAAGGAAAAAGAGCATCAAGTATAAATGCACGCTTTTTCATCACCATCTCCTGGTCTCTGCTTCCAGCCTTTTCTTTTGAATGTAGAGATAAATCCACTCTATTTTAATAAACTCCACATTTTATGCGGTTTTCAAGGTGTATTGGAAATAGGGTAAATTTTGATGCTAGCATATCTGAAAGCATTTTAAATAGCATCTATTCTGCTGGGGAATCAAGTAGTACGGCAAGAAACACTACTTTGCCTGTAAATAAACTACCTTCCATCCTAATCTGTAGCCCTGCTCTGAAGGAGCGCCTAACACTTTCTACACAACACGGGTGGAGATGTCCACATCTTCCAGAGGACTCAGTGTCCTTCACGATGACGTATCCCCTTCTGCTGCATAAGAACAAGATGATCAGTCAGCATCAGCTAATCAATCAATCAATCAATCATCAATCCAGGAATGTTCCTTCTCTGCCTAACATGGACCTCGTAATGTTACAAACATCGGGGAGGGGCAGGGGATAAGAAAACAAAGCCTCCCCCCGTAACTCCTGCTCCCAGGGCACAGAAACACATTGTGTCTTGAGAGCAACATCAGCTTCAGCTTTGGGTGCTGCCATGAAATGCAGCACGAACAGTGATAGAAGAGAGTTTAGAATAAAATCTGTATCCTTGCCCTGGCCCCCAAGGCTGTGCCTAGCCCCCCTTCCTCCTGGGTGTCTGCACCTATGCTCCCCATGCTCTTGCCGCGTAGCCCTCCTTCAGCTCCTGCTGGGCCGACCTCCTGCTCCCAGCCCTGCACACGTGGAGTCCCCACCTTTCAGCTCCTCTTCAACCCCTGTCTCTGCTTGGCGGGATCCCTCAGAGATTCCCAAAGGAAACCAGGTCCCAGCATTAATTCCCTTTTTCAGCACGCTTGATCAAAGTGGGTGATTACATCTTTTTTTTTTTTTTTTTTTTTTCAGTCAGAGTCTCGCTCTATCACCCAGGCTGGAGGGCAGTGGTTTGATCTCAGCTCACTGCAACCCCCACCTCTTGGGTTCAAGTGATTCTGCCTCAGCCTCCTGAGTAGCTGGGACTATAGATGCATGCCACCATGCCCAGCTAATTTTTGTATTTTTAGTAGAGACAGGGTTCACCATGTTGGCCAGGCTGGTCTCGAACTCCTGACCTCAGGTGATCCACCCACCTCGGCCTCCCAAAGTGCTAGGATTACAGGCGAGAGCCACCGTGACCGGCTGTGATTACATCGTGTTCATTTAATTTTGGCCTCCCTGGCTGGACTGTGAGTTCTGTGTCTGTCTGTGTCATGGTATCCTCAACGTCCAGCAACGTGTCTGCACCAGTGTCTTGTGAGTGCTGAATAAATGAGAGTGTGCACTAAGGTTTGATGAGCAGCCACAGGGGCAGAGCGTGGGTGCAGTGATCAGTTCTCCCGGGCAGGAACTGCCAGGCAATTATCCCAAGGGATAAATCCTGTGTCCAGCACAGCAATTGGCCCTGCAGGGATGTGGGGGAGAGGGAACAATGGTGGGCAGGGGGAGAATAAGACAAACCATGGCGGGGGTGGTGAAGGCCTGAGAAGGAGATGGAGCCATCACAGGTGTGCCAACTGCAGCTGTGTGCCAGGGAGAAAGAGATCAGTCCAGCTCCAGGCTTAGGGCAGGTCCTCTCTACAGCAGGGGCATCAGATAATTAATCCAGTTGATGTTATTGAGTGCCTACTATGTGCCAGGCACAAGCTCCGGATGCGTGGATACAGCTGTAGGCAAAGTCCCTGCTTTCATGGAGTATTCATTCCAGGCAGGAAAGATTACATGCAAGTAAATATCCATTTATCTCTGTTGATGAATATTTGGGGATTTTTTTCCCCAGCTTTTGGCTATGCCCAATTAAAAAACCTGTGGTTTATCCATTTCCTAGCAGAGCGCTTAGCAAAAACAAAAACAAAAACAAAAACAAAAACAAAAGGACTGAACTACAGGTACACACAACATAGAGGAATCTCAGAATAATGATGTTGTGTTCAGTGAAAGAAGCCAGACCAAGAAAAAAAAAAGAGTAGACAGGGCGCAGTGGTTCATATCTGTAATCCCAGCACTTTGGAATGAGGACAGATCACCTGATGTTAGGAGGTCGAGACCACCCTGGCCAACCATGGCCAACACAGTGAAACCCTGTCTCTACTGAAAGTACAAAAATTAGCTGGGTGTGGTGGCGGGCACCTGTAATCCCAGCTACTCAGGAGGCTGAGGCAGGAGAGTTGCTTGAACCAGGAAGGCAGAGGATGCAGTGAGCTGAGAAAAGAAAAAAAAATAGTACATATTGGAGAATTTTTTTTCGAGATAGAGTCTCACTCTATTGCTCAGGCTAGAGTGCAGTGGTGCGATCTCAGCCCACTTCAACTTCCACCTCCCGGGTTCAAGCGATTCTCCTGCCTCAGCCTCCTGAGTAGCTGGTGCTACAGGCGCATGCCACCATGTCTGGCTAATTTTTTTTTTTCGTATTTTTAGTAGAGATGGGGTTTCACCATGTTAGCCAGGATGGTCTCGATCTCCTGACCTCATGATCCACCCACCTCGGCCTCCCAAAATGCTGGGATTACAGGTGTGAGCCACCACGCCTGGCCTGGAGAATTTCGTTACATAAAATTCTAGTAATGCAAACTAAACTACAGTGATGAGAAGTGGCTCTGTGGTTGCCTGGGGACACTGGGGGCTAGAGGTTAGTACCTCCAGGGTACCACAGGGCGTGAGGAAATTTGGGGGGAAAATGGGTATTGTATTAGTTTACTAGGTCTACCATAACAAAGGACCACAGACTAGGGGGCTCAAATAACACAAATTCATCTTCTCACGGTTCTGGAGGCCAGAAGTCCGAGACGTCGACAGGATGGGTTCCCTTCGAGGGTAGTGAGGGAAGGCTCTGTCCAGGCCTCTCCCGGCTGGTAGACAGCTGTCCTCCCCTCGTCTTCCCTCTGTGTGTCTGCGTCCACATCTTCTCTTATTTTTTATTTTTATTTATTTATTTATTTATTTATTTTGAGACGGATTTTCTCTCTTGTTGCCCAGGCTAGAGTGCAATGGTGTGATCTCGGCTCACTGCAACCTCTGCCTCCTGGGTTCAAGTGATTCTCCTGCCTCATCCTCCCAAGTAGCTGGGATTACACGCACCTGCCACCACGTGTGATCTCGGCTCACTGCAACCTCTGCCTCCTGGGTTCAAGTGATTCTCCTGCCTCATCCTCCCAAGTAACTGGGATTACAGGCACCTGCCACCATGCCCAGCTAATTGTTTTGTATTTTTAATAGAGGCGGGGTTTCACCATGTTGGCCAGGATGGTCTCGAACTCCTGACCTCAGGTGATCCACCCGCCTCGGCCTCCCAGAGTGCTGGAATTACAGTGGTGAGCCACCGCACCCAGCCAAATCTTCTCTTCTTATGAGGATAGCAGTTCTCATTGGACTAGGCCCACCCAATTACCTCATTTAAAATGAATTAGCTCTGTAAAGAACCTGTCTCTAAATACACTCATATTCTGAGGTACTGGGGGTCAGGGCCTCAACAAATAAATGTTCAGAAGATCTCATTTCACTGCCTAACAGGCGTATTCACTATCTTGACCCTAGTGATGGTTTGACGGGTGTCTACATATGTCCCAAAGTATCAAATAGTGCACTTTAAACATGTGATGTTAATTACGCCTCAAAAAAGCTGTTAGGAATACAAGTCAATGAACATATCACCCATGCGGCAATGCTCCCTATGAAGGGAGAGGGCTTCCAGCACTGGAGAGGGCTGGTGGGAGGCTCCATCTTTCTCAGATGGGGAAGAGGCAGAGCATTGCCTGAAAGGGAACGGCAGGAGGGAAGGCCTCAAGGTGGGAGCCACGGGGCTCATTCAAGAATGGAAGGAAACCCAGAGAAGTCACATGGACAGGAGCAGTGGGGTCTTCTGGGGAGGTCAGAACTGGAGATAGACATTGGAGATTCATTTTCCATTCATAGTTTCTTTTCTTTTCTTTTTTTTTTTTTTTTGAGACAGAGTCTCACTCTGTCACCCGGGTTGGAGTGCAGTGGCATGATCACAGCTCACTGCAACCTCTGCCTCCTGGGTTCAAGTGATTCTCGTGCTTCAGCCTCCCGAGTTGCTGGGACTACAGGGGCATGCTACCACATCTGGCTAATTTTTGTATTTTTTTTTTTTTTTTTTTTAGTAGCGACAGGGTTTCATCATGTTGGCCAGACTGGTCTCGAACTCCTAACCTCAAGTGAGCTGCCTGCCTCAGCCTCCCAAACTGCTGGGATTAAAGGCAGCCCAGCCTGTTTCATATTTTGAATGATGAGAAGCACTTCCTAGGGAAGAGGGAGCAGCCTGAGGGCATCCTGGGCAGGGGTGGAGGTTTCCCAAAATGCCAGGGGAATTAGGTAATTCGTTCAGATACCACAAATACCTTAAGGGTTCTTACTCTTACTCCCATTTTGGCTAGAAGAACAAGAATAAGAAGAACTTTTCAAAACACCCATTTCCATAAATATATTTAAAGGCACACATAGACAAACCCAAAGAGAAGAAATATAGAGCTTATTAGAGGTGATGGTGACTTTAAAGAAAAACTCACCACTGCTTGTAGCAGGACTGGCAAAACGTTTCATCTTGCATTTGAACTCTGGCTCATTCACTTCTTCAACAAGTGTTTACGAAACACCTACTGTGGACCCAGCCACCATTCTAGGCTATGAATGAAATGGACAAAGTCGCTGACTGTGTGAGCTTCTTGGCTAGCTGGTCTGGAAGACAGGTTGAGACTGGCTGCCAGGAGGGCCCCCTTTAGCCAGGACTATCTTTATGGCTGTCGTCACAGTGTGATCACTAACAGCACCCTTTTCCTTGTTGAGACTCTGGCTTCAAGGTTGGTGGCAAGGCAGTTTTCCCATCCCTTTTAGCCCAGAAGAATGCTATAAAATGCAGTGCCCTCTTCAGAGCCTGGAAAGTCTAAAAATCTTATTACCTTAAATCCCTGTGATCAGTCACCAGATTTAGATTGTTCTATATTTAAGTGTTAATTTTGTTGATTGTATCCTTTAGACCCAAACTTGAAGAGGTCTGTCTCAGGGGAAAAAAATCCAATCAATTATAAATTGAAAACATTATTTTGAGGATAATGTCACGGGGAAGGAATTATGAACTGCATGTGGGAGATTGACCAAAATAGTCAGGGAGAAGATGTAAGGCATGTTTTTGATTTGTAGTATCTTTTTAAAAATTAACATTTGTTGCTTTTAAAAAATGGATCACCTGCTCTGTGCCAGACCCTGTGCTAGGTACTGGAGCATCACATTTAATTCTCTTAAAAGTCATCTGTGTTATGTATTTTTTATCAAAGGGGAGCCCATCAGGCTTGGAGGAAGAAGTGAGTGAGTGAGAATTTGAATCTGGTTTGCCAGGCTCAAAAGCGTGATCTTTTCCATGCACAACACAACCTCTTGAGCCTCGTGGGAAAGACTATATTTCCCAGGGAATATCTCACCTGCCCCCAAAACTTCAAGCCAGCAAGTCATCAATGATCGCCCCCTCTCAGGCACCGAGGACTTCTAGCCTCATTATTTCATCACCTACTAGCCCCTACTTGATAATAATAACCCCTAATGCCTGAGATGGAGCCTCCTTGCTCGCCAAGGTAACTCCTTTATGATGTGGAACTTCATTCATTCAGGCATTGGATGCCAGACGTATAGGGGTGCACAAGACAGATGTGGGCCCCAACCCCAGGGAGCCTATATCCCAGTGGGAGGGACAGATAGTTAAATGGAGAATCCCCTGTGAGGGCTGCTGGGATGCAGAAAGCACAGGTGCTGCAGGGCACGCAGCAAGAGCGGGAGTGCTTCCTGGAGGAGGTGACATTAAGACTGAGACCTAGAAGCTGGGGAAGACTTAGCTGGGGAAAGAGGAGCTGGGGGAGTATTCCACAGCATGTGCGCAAGCCTGGAGGAGTGAGAGAGCATGGAAGCTTCCAGAAGCAGACGGAAATTCAGGGAGGCTAGAATGTAGAGTGCAAGTGAGAGGGTAACAGGAAACAAGGCTGGAGGTGTTACTTTAAGAGTAATCGCTTGCCGGGCATGGCTCACGCCTGTAATCCCAGCACTTTGCGGGGCCAAGGCGGGTGGATCACTTGAGGTTAGGAGTTTGAGACCAGCCTGGACAACATGGTGAAATCCCGTCTCTACCAAAAAATACAAAAATCAGCCGGCCGTGGTGGTGCGTGTCTGTAGTCCCAGCTACTTGGGAGGCTGAGATAGGAGAATCGCTTGAACCTGGGAGACGGAGGTTATAGTGAGCCGAGATTGCAACAACTGCACTCCAGCTTGGAAGACAGAGTGAGACCCTATCTCAAAAAAAAAAAAAAAAAAAAAAAAGGACTCACGGATGATGGATCAGTGGGCCCTTCCAGTGAGTCAAGTACACTCATCATCTCATTGCTTCTTCCTGTCTGCCTATGAGGGAGTACTTTTATTATCCCCACTTTAGGGATATGATAACTGAGACCATGAGGTGGAGTAGCCTGCCTGAGGATTTAACCCAGGTGCGCTTGGCTCCAGAGCTGGCAGTCTCCACTTGGCCCTGTGGCAGGCCCTGGCTTCATCCTGAGGCACTGTACAGCAGATGTGCAGCCATGAGGCCGGCATGCCCAGCCTGCAGACCCCTGGCCCATGCCTGTTCTGTTCCTCCCACTTGGCTTGTGCTGAAGCTCCTGTGGTATCCCTGAGCTCCGCCCAAGCTGCAGCTCAACTCTGCAATGGCTTCTGGCCCTCTGTGGGGTCCAGTTCTTCTTTTCTGGACAGCAGAATCACAGCTGCACAAAGGTACTTGGAGGCCCTCTCCACCTCTGCCTGGAAGCAGGGCTGCTGCTGCACTGGAAGAATAACCCCCATCGAATGGGGTGTCCCCAGGGTCCTGCCTTTCTTCCCTGCCTTTCTCCGTGGCCAGGAGATCCTCTGGTAGGGCCGACGGGATGTGAAGGTGACCCCAGGCTGCCTGCAAGAGGACTCTTCCAAACAAAAGCCTGACCAACAAACAGCCATGCCAGCAGGGAATACAATCAATATTCCGAAGTCACAAAAACCGGCTTCAAAGCCAGCAGTGGCTGGGAAGCCAGAGTGAGGGGTTGTGGAAGGTTCTGCTCACTCCTGCTCTGTTGCCAGGGCCCAGTGGCGCTAGGGAGGGGAGTGGCAAAGGCGGATGGTAAAATGGTTAGGCTGGTGGAGCTGACATGGGGCCCTGGAATCAGAAACCCATTCCCTGTACACTGAGTACAAATTAACTCTGCAGCCTTGGGCACGTCTCCATCTCTCTGGGCTTCAAAAGAGGAGAAAAATGAAGAGGTTGAATAAAATGCTCTTTCTGGGGTCTGAAGAGATTACGTATTTCCCCTGAGGTCCCCCAACTGTGAAGCAGAGACTGTTCTCAAACTCAAGTCTGACTCCTGGGCCCACGCCAGCAGTCCACGGTCAGGCTAGATGGAGCCATGTCAGGAGCCGCCGCCGACATGCGGGCTGTGCTCAGAGCCCCGCCCAGCACTGGCTGGACCAGGTCTCTCTGATGAGGAAGACAAGGCATGGCTGGAGGCTCTCTGCAGGTGGAGAGTTGGAGGACAGCCTGGTCGGGGGGACAGAGTGGGTACTGGGGCTGACTCACCGCCATGCCAGCACCCTTCCTTGGGGAACCGCCCTTCCTGAGCTGGGCAAGTGGGAGCCTCTGAGGGGTCAGTCGCTGCCCAGGAGTTTGGCCGAGACATCCACCCTCTGTATGAATCCTGCCTTTTATGTTCTGCATTTCCATTGCTTTGACATCTTGGGGTCTTGCTGACTCTGGAGGGACTGCCCCCACCCAGGGCCAAGTCCCAGGGGTAATAAAGGGCTCACTTAGGAGCACGCCTTTCATATGAAAACCATGCAGTCTGGTGTTCACACCCCAATAGTCTCCTTTTCCTCACTCTGACACTCTGGGCCCCTGCCTACCTGCCCCAATCGCCCCAGGGCCAGGTATCAGACAACTAGGAACAGCCCCTATGCCCCAGAGAACCTGAAATTATTCAAGTGAGCTGACCCCAATCCTGCTCATTCCCATGGGAACCACAATAAAGGCTCTTGGCCACCCCTTCCCCTGGCTCCCTCTGCCTCTTGACTGACCTCGGTGTTTCCCTGTGTGGCCCTGTGTTTCCTGTTTGGCCCTGTGTGATGTGGTGAGTCCCCTCCTCTTGGGGTCTGTGGGTATAACAAACCTTCTTTTTTTTTTAGACGGAGTCTTGCTCTGTCGCCCAGGCTGGAGTGCAGTGGCGCGATCTCGGCTCACTGCAAGCTCCGCCTCCCGGGTTTACGCCATTCTCCTGCCTCAGCCTCCCAAGTAGCTGGGACTACAGGTGCCCGCCACCACGCTCGGCTATTTTTTTTTTTTTTTTTGTATTTTTAGTAGAGATGGGGTTTCACCTTGTTAGCCAGGATGGTCTCGATCTCCTGACCTCGTGATCGGCCTGCCTTGGCCTCCCAAAGTGCTGGGATTGCAGGCTTGAGCCACTGCGCCCGGCCAACAAACCTTCTTTCTAATGGCAGTCCCTTGATCTGTTAGCCTCACCATACCTGAATAATAATAAAACCTACATTTTAGAACGCCTTCATATATGAATGCCCGCGTCGGTCCCTCCTTGGATAGCCTGGGAGAAGAGCCTGCTCCTGGGGCGTTGATGTAGTGGAGGGAGCCCTGGATGAAGTCTAGGTGTCTGAGGATTTGAGTCCCACCCTTGGCTGTTTGGTGCCCCCTCGGCAGCCTCACTGTGAGGCAGGGCAGCTGGGCAGCCGGGCAGCCGGGCAGGGACTATGAGTTCCTTTGCTATATCAGAAACTGGAGTGACCTGTCCAAGGTGCTGAACTGGACTAGTCCACTCACCCTCTCCCACTCAGTTCTTTCTGACTCCCAGACCAGGGCTACAGGCCCTTATTGGGACACCTGTGGGAGTGACTTCCTACTCAGGACGAATGGTGTTGGGAATGCCCCTCCCCTCACTCGGAGGGTGGGGGTTCTCAGCTAAGAGTTCAGACTGTGCCCATAGCTGATTGGACGAGGTAAGCACATGACCAAGGAGGACCAATCCATTCACTCTCCCAGGTACTTGCAGGTGGGGCCAGGAAGGGTCTGTGGGTCCAGCTGGGGTTGGTGAGTGGCCCTTCTTCTCCCCTTGCTTTGGAGAATACAGGGGAATGAGTCAACGCCTCCAAGGGGGGTTCAGCAAAAGAAGAAGCCAGGAGCCTAGGGGTTTGATGTTTAGGCCTCAGATTCTGCTCTGTCCAGAGGCCTGGCTGCCTCTTGTTCCTGGGTAATGGAGGTCACTCTGGTAACTTTCAAAGTCCCCCTGCTCAAGGGCTCTGGCTCTTTGCCTGCACAGCCTCCTCTGCGGCACCCCAGGGCCCCACTCCCTCCCCTGCGGCTTCATGAAAGCCCTCATTTTACAGATGGCTTGAGACACAGACAGGTTAAGCTGCCTCCCCCAGGGTTTGGGGGCCCCAGGGCAGCTGGGGTGGCAGTTGTGGAAGGGGCACTGGAAAAGGAGTCGGGCTGTGGCTGGGAGCTGGCAGCTGCACCCTGTCCAACAGCTCAGGGCTCACCAGCCTTGCTGAGCCAGCACACCGGCGGAGACTGAGGGAAGCTGGGGCAGTTTGTGAGGTCTCAGGAGACTCCCAGTGGCAGAGAGCTGGCTGCCCCCAAGCTCCTTGCCTGGGGCCCAGGCAGTTTGCTGTGTCACTGCAACCACCCTGGCTTCTCCTGGGGAGAGAGGACAGACAGAACGGCAGCCAGGAGAAGGCAGGTTGGCCGGCCAGACCCTGGGGTGGGCTGGGAGGTCTCAGCTCTGTTTGAATGTGGCTACCTTTTAGGAGGCAAATCCCACCTGAGGCAGGGCCAGGTCACTGGCACTGCAGACTTAGGGAGCCAGGCCTCTTGCCCATGCATGTCACATCACAGCCCGTCTGTGATTCCCCCTTCCCGGCTTCTGTTTCCTCCAACCCTCTCCTCTGTGTTGAACTAAATACTTTTCAAAGGGAATCAATGCAGAGAGAGGGTTTTTTGTTTGTTTGTTTGTTTGTTTGTTTTTCAGAAGCAACACCAGGCTCTTTAATTTAAACTCTCCATGAGCTCTTCCATCCAGCGAGCTTTCCTGGCTCATCTGAAAGTTGGGCCCTATCCCTGACCTTGAGGGAGGGATGACCTCTGACCTGGGGGGAAGAATGACCTATACTTTTGGGGCTGTGGGGGCCTCCCTGCCACTTCCTCCTTCTGTTACGGTGGCATCACCTGTCCTTGCCACCTTCCCACCTGCCCCAGATTGCACACCTGCCCCCAGTGCAGCTCTGCCCCAGTGAGGAACTCTGCCCACTTGGCTGGTCCGTTCTGACAGAGGACTTTCTGTTTGCTGGGCAACCAGAGGCAGAGTGACCCTGGCCTTCTGGAGGGCCACAGCCTAGGGCTAGAAGGAGGAGTGACAGGAGGGCAACAGCTCATGTAGGTCACAGAGTGTGAGCTTGAAAGGGACTTGAGAGACCATTAGGTCCACTGCCCCTTCCCTGCTTCTCAGAAGGGGATTCCCCAAGACCAGCCTTGAAACCAGTAGACTAACTGATCAGTTGAATAATTTTAACACCCACCACTTACATGTTGGATGCTTACTGCATGGTATGCACTTCACTGGGTCCTATTATCTGTTAGCACCACAATGAGCCCATGAAGTGGGTGTCCTTTGTGCGGTTGAGAAAGTGGAGGCTACAGGAGGCTATGCCACTTTCCCAAGACCTAACCTCTGGTTAGCAAGAGAGAGAGTGGAACTTGAACCCAGGGATGGTAGATTCCCAAGTGCAAGTCTGAAGGCTGCCCCACCCAGCCCACCTCCTGAGAGATGAGAACACCCAGCCGTGGGGGCCTCATAAGAATTCAGCAAAGGAGCCATTCCTGGTGTCCCAGGCCAGCCCCAGCTCCCTCCCCTCCCTGAACAAGGACAGAATGCCTGCAGTTCCCCATGGAGTGGCAGGATGGCACATCCCTGTGGGGAGCCTGCAGCCTTGGGCCTCAGCCACTGGGTCTGTGCCAGCCCTACCACGGGCATCATTTGAGAATGTCAGCGAGGCCCTCACTCCCTGCAGCAGGCTTGCTGGCTCTTTATGCCAATATTTTTGTGGGACATCCACTCTGCCCAGATCTGTACTTGGTGCTGACCCCCTGTCCTTCAAGTGTCGTCTGTCCAGTCCAGAAAAGAGCCCAAGACCCATGACAATCCTTTTGGGATATAAAGGATCTAAGAAGGCAGCCAGCAGGAGCCCTGGAGACCATCTGATCTGTCCTGCCCATCTTTCAGACGGGGAGCCTGGGGCTCGGAAATAGGGTAGGACTTGCCCAGGGCCTCACAATCCACCATTGGGCAGGCCGGGATGTGAACCTCAGGCCTCAAGCGGTGCAGGACCCTGGACAGCTCCCAGGCTCTGAGAGACTCCAGGCCTGGGTTCATGGTGAAGCTTGGGCCTGGAGTCCCCACCCCAGAGGGGAGGGACTGCACACGTTTCCCACCTGGCCTTCTGGTGACCAGTCATAGGATGTGCAGTAGCAGAACAGCAGAGGTGACACTCCGAGAGCCAAGTCCCTTCCCCCGGGAGAAGTGGTACCAATGGTCAGACTGTGAGGAAAGGGATGTGACACCAAACCAGAGAGGTCAGGCGCAGTGGCTCATGCCTATAATCACAGTACTTTGGGAGGCCGAGGCGGGTGAGTCAACTGAAGTCAGGGGTTCGAGACCAGCCTGTCCAACATGGTGAAACCCCTTCTCTACTAAAAATACAAAAATTAGCCAGGCATGGTGATGTGCACCTGTAATCCCAGCTGCTTGGGAGGCTGAGGCAGGGAAATTGCTTGAACCTGGGAGGCGGTAGTTGCAGTGAGCTGAGATTGTGCCACTGCACTCTAGCCTGGGAGACAGAGAGAGACTACGTCTCAAAAAAAAAAAAAAAAAAAAAAAAGAAAGAAGAAGAAAAAAGAAAACAACAACAACAACAACACACACACAAAAAAACAGAGAGAGCCCAAAACAGTAGAAGCACCTCACAGCCCAGAGCAGGAATGCATCAGGTCAAAGGCTGCACCATGAAACTGATAACTGAGAACATAAGCGGTGCATTTCAGAGAGACTTGATTTTCTCCCTCTTCTTCCTCTTCCAGCCACTTATATTTCATTCCTTCAAGGAGGTACCTTCAGTTATCTAGAAAATGCACCATACGCCAGGGCACAGTGGCTCACACCTGTAGTCTCAGCATTTTGGGAGGCCAAGGCAGGAGAATTGCTTGAGCCCAGAAGTTTGAGACCAGCCTGGGCAACAAGGTGAAACCTCGTCTCTACAAAAAATACAAAAATTAGTGGAGTGTGATGGTGCCAGCTACTTGTGGAGGCTGAAGCCAGAGGATCCCTTGCACCCCAGAGGTTGAGGCTGCTGTGAGCTGTGTTCGTGCCACTGCACTCCAGCTTGGGTAAAAAACAAGACCGTGTCTCAAGAAAAGGAAAGAAAATGCACCATATGAGGCCTCTCTTTTCTCAAAGATGCCATGTTGTCTGAACACTTTTCACATCTGCAATTAAATGATTATGTGCTTAACACCTAACTCTTGCCAAACCACCAGTCCTACAAGGGCATGGGCCCCATCTGCCTCTTTTCCAGCTGCATCTGAGTGCCTGGCACAGGGCCTGCCCCAGAGTAGTTGCCTGATCAACTTATCTTGGGTGAAGGAGTGAATGGAGGAAACAGTGCAGTGTCCTTCTGATAGGCTCAGCAGCTTGAGGGGCAGCTGGGTGCCCGCTGCCCCTGGAGTTCTTGCAGCTCTCCAGGGCCATGAAGCTAGACATAGATGCAGTGTGTCAGCTCCCTAGACCTCATGCAGGGATGCCTGTTCAAACAGGGAATGCTGGGTTCTAGATCCCAGCACTCCTTCCCAGGGAGTGACCTTATTAGGCTGGTAGGGGATAAAAGATGACAAAGGGGCCAGGCAAAGTGGTACGTGCCTGTAATCCCAGCACTTTGGTAGGCTGAGGCAGGTAGCTCATTTGAGGTCAGGGGGTCAAGACCAGCCTAGCTAACATAGAGAAATCCCATCTCTGCTAAAAATACAAAAATTAGCCTGGCGTGGTAGTGCATGCCTGTAATCCCAGCTACTTGGGAGGCTGAGGCAGGAGGATCGCTTGAACCTGGGAGGCAGAGGTTTCAGTGAGCTCAGATTATACCACTGCACTCCAGCCTGGGTGACAGAGTAAGATTCCTTCTCAGAAAAAAAAAAAAAAAAGGGCCTCACCCTGACACTGGCATGAGGTCAGCCTGATTGGGTGTCAGTGCCTCTGCCCCAGCTTTCCCTGAGCTGCTCCTAGGGAGCGAAAGGGGGATTTGCTTCCTTCATGGGCTTCTCATGGCCTCTCAGTGAAGTCTGAGCTTTCTTATGGAACCTTCTGTCATTGGTTTTTTCCCACCCCTCTCCACTCACTGGTGACAAGTGTAGTCTTTGCAGGGAAGACAGCTGTGGGAGACAAAACTATGCTCCCCACCAAGATGTTCCTGTCCTAATCCCTGGAATCTTCGAATGTGTTCCCTGACGTGGCAAAAGAGACTTTGCAGATGTGATTAAATCAAGGGTTTTGAGGTGGGGAGATGATCCTGGATTATCTGAGTGAGCCCGATGGAATCACAAAGGTCAGAGCCAGAGAAGGAGGTGTGACAATGGAAGCAGAGGTCAGAAAGAGAGAGACAGGAAGAGGCTATGCTGCTGGCTTCAGAGATGGAAGAAGGGGCCAGGAGCCAAGGAATGCAGGCGGCCTGTAGAAGCGGTAGAAGGCAAGGAACAGATTCCTCCCTAGAGGCTCCAGAAGGAATGCAGTCTTGCCGACACCTCGATTTTAGGACTTTTGACCTCCAGAACTGTAACACATTCGTGTTGTTTTAAGCTACTGAGTTTGTGGGAATTTGTTAGGGCAGCAATGGGAAACAAATAGAACAACTATGCAACTTTGGATTTGCCTCTCGCTCTTTATTTTCTTTTTCTTTTTTTGAGACAGGGTCTCACTCTGTTGCCCAGGCAGGAGTGCAGTGGCACAATCATGACTTACTGCAGCCACACTCTCCTGGGCTCAAGCAATCCTCCCACCTCAACCTCCTGAGGAGCTGGGACCACAGGCATGCACCACCATGCCTGGCTAATTTTTAAATTTTCTGTAGAGATGAGGTCTTGCTACATTGTCCAGCCTAGTCCCGAACTCCTAGGTTCAAGTGATCCTCTCATCTTGGCCTCTCACAGCATTGGTATTACAGGCATGAGCCATTGTGCCTGGCCTTTGTTTCCATTTTATAGTGAGGCGATACACTGTAGGTTCCTGGTATGGGACCCCGTGGCTTCACAGGTGCCCTCAGTCTGGCTCTGCTGCTTTTGCAGATGTGTGACCCTGAGAAACTGCTTGACCCCTCTGAGTCTCTATTTCCTCACTGATAAAAGGGGAAGAGCAATCCTCACCCCGTTGCACTCTTGTGAAAGTCTGATGAGACAGAGTGTGCAGAGGGCTGAGAATAAACCAGATGTGTTGTGAGGACCCATACCTGGTTAGTGTTCTTTTTTTTTTTTTCTGAGATGGAGTCTCACTCTGTCGCCCAGGCTGGAGTGCAATGGCACGATCTCGGCTCACTGCAACCTCCCCATCCCAGGTTCAAGCGAGTATCCTGCCTCAGCCTCCCAAGTAGCTGGGATTACAGGTGTTTTCCACCATGCCTGGCTAATTTTTGTATTTTTGGTGGAGATGGGTTTTGACATGTTGGCCAGGCTGGCCTTGAACTCCTGACCTCAAGTGATCAGCCCCCTCTTGGCCTCCCAAAGTGCTGGGATTACAGGTGTGTGCCACTGCGCCCAGCCCAGGTTGATGTTCTTATGATGCGTCCCAGATCCAAACTCCTGTTGCTTGATCTGGAAAAAGTACTAAACTGTTTAAAGCCCGCAGAGCTGGGCAGCTGATCACAGACGTCGGCAAACTTCTCCAGGCCTCAGTTTCCTCATCAGCAAAGATGAGAGGTTGCATACTGTGGTTCTCAGGTTGCAGTCAGCCTGCAGACAGGTATTGTTTGGCCTGTGCCACGGTTTTAGAAAGTAAGAATTAGTTAACAGTGTTTGAAAATTGGGAAATATCAGCTGAGCGTGGTGGCTCATGGCTGTGACCCCAGCGCCCGGGCAGCCTGGGCAACATGGTGAAGCCCTGTCTCTATGAGAAATGCAAAAATTAGCTGAGCATGGTGGTGCGCACCTGTAGTCCCAGCTACTTGGGAGGCTGAGGTGAGAGAATCACTTGAGTGCCTGGGAGGTCAAGGCTGCAGTGAGCCGTGATAGTGCCACTCCAGCCTGGGCGACAAGAGCAAAACTCTGCCGCGCCCCCGCCCAAAAAAAAAAAAGAAAAGAAAAAGAAAATATGGCACATATACACCACGGAATATGACGCAGCCATTAAAAAAGAACATGTCTTTTGCGGGAACATGGGTGGAGCTGGAGACTATTATACTTAGCAAACTAAGGGTAACCAAATACCACATGTTCTCACTTATAAGTGGGAGTTAAATGATGAGAACTCATGAACACAAAGAAGGGAAAAACAGACACTGAGGTCTACTTGAGGGTAGAGGGTGGGCGGAGGGAGAGGAGCAGAAAAGATAACTGTTGGGTGCTGGGCTTCATACCTGGTTGATTTAGTAATTTGTACAACAAACCCCTGTGACACGAGTTTACCTAAGAAAACAAACCTTCACATGTACCCCCTAACCTAAAATAAGAGTTAAAAAAAAAAAAAAGAAGAAATGCAACTAACTGAAACACATCAGGCAAATCAATAGAAAAAAAAAACCACCAACTCTTGGAAGGAGGGCTTTCAAGGTTTCAAAACTCTTGCATGAAATTTCATGAACTTGATCCACAGGAGAGCTCCCTATGAGTCATTGAGTCTCATTTGAGACTCATTTCTAAGAAGCATGGGTTTTCTTTTTTGCTCCCCTGGAAGGCTGGAAGCAGTGAAGAGGGACTTCGTGGAGAGGAGACTTTGTAAACAGCACAACTGGACCACAGCCAGCGAGACCAGAAGCAGGATAGAGGGTGTATAAGAAGCGGCTGTGAGAACTGTAGCAGTAGAACCAGCTTGGGCCATCTAGTGTGGGGCACACACCCTCATGGGACTTGTGTTTTGACAAAGGAGTTAGACATTAAGCAAATCTAACTTGCTTAAATTTAAAGCCGTTATGAAAAGTGCTTCAGAGAAATGGCATCATTGAGAAATGAGAGACCACAGATTCATTGCTGGTTTATAGCTGATGATCACAGTGCACATAACTGAAATTTTTGAGAGCATATAACCCAGGGGTCACAAGCATGAATGCCTTTATGGGGGTGGACAGGTCATGTAAAGGAGAGAAACAAGAGGGTGTGGTAATAGGGAGTGTTGCAATGGCGTAATCTCGGCTCACTGCAGCCTCCGCCTCCCGGGTTCAAACAATTCTCCTGCCTCAGCCTCCCAAGGAGCTGGGATTACAGGCACCTGCTAACCATGCCTGGCTACGTTTTTGTTTTTTTTTTAAGTAGAGACAGGGTTTCACCATGTTGGCCAGGCTAGTCTCGAACTCCTGGCCTCAAGTGATCTGCCCGCCTCAGCCTCCTAAAGTGCTGGGATTACAGGTGTGAGCCACAATGCCCGACCAGGTACCACATTTTCTTGATCCAATTTGTCATTGATAAGCATTCGAGTTGGTTCCATGTCTTTGCTATTGTGAAGAGTGCTGAAATGAACGTTTGCACGCACATGTCTTTATGGTAGAATGACTTATATTCCTTTGGGTATATATCCAGTAGTAGGATGGCTGGGTTGAATGGTAGTTCTGTTTTTAGCTCTTTGAGGAATTGCCACACTGTTTTCCACAAGGGTTGAACTAATTAACACCAACAGTGTATAAAGATTCCCTTTTCTCCACAACCTCACCAGCATCTGTTATTTTTTGACTTTTTAATCACAGCCATTCTGATTGGTGTGAGATGGTATCTCACGGTGGTTTTGACTTGCATTTTTCTAATGATCAGTGATACTGAGTCTTTTTTTCATATGCTTGTTGGCTGCATGTATGTCTTCTTTTGGAAAGTGTCTGTTCATGTCCTTTGCCTACTTTTTTTTCTTTTGCCTCAAAAAATGATATTTATTCAAAGAAAAAAAATGACAAGACGTCCATCCCTTGGCTCCTTTCCTTCCCCTCTCCTGCTGCTCCTCAGCCCTCCAAGATTGAACCCTGGCTGGGGCTAGGGAGCAGGACAGCCCCTCAGATGAGGTCAGGAACATTGAGGGGAATTTCCTCAATGGAAGTGTTGTAGAAGTTCTCGATGTTTTGAAAAGTCCCCTTGTCTTCTTCTGTCACCATGTTAATAGCCACACCCTTACGGCCAAACCATCCATCTCGACTGATTCTGTGGATATAGTTTTCCCTGTTGGTGGGAAGGTCATGGTTGACTAAAGAAACCTGCTGCACATCAATGCCTCTGGCCTATGTCAAGAAAGACAACTCTTCAGCATGTGCGTGAGATGTATCTCAAAGGGAAGAGACGTAGGTATCCGTGTAGGCAGACAAGGAAGGCAGAGGAAATAAGCATCCCTGTTCCCCAAAGACCTTACTTTGCCCACTTTTTAATGGGGTTGCTTTTCCCTTGTAAATTTGTTTAAGTTCCTTATAGATGTTGGATATCAGACCTTTGTCAGATACATAGTTTGCAAATAGGTTTTCCCATTCTGTGGGTTGCCTGTTTACTCTGTTGTTAGTTTGTTTTGTTGTGCAGAAGCTCTTAAGCTTAATTAGATCCTACTTGCCAATTTTTGCTTTTGTGGCGATTGCTTTTGGTGTCTTTGCCATGAAATATTTGCCCATTCCTATGTCCAGGATGGTATTGCCTGGATTGTCTTCCAGGGTTTGTATAGTTTTGGGTTTTACATTTAAGTGGTTATTCCATCTTGATTTGATTTTTGTGTATGGTGTGAGGAAGGGGTCCAGTTTCAATCTTCTGCATATGGCTACCCAGTTATCCAAGCACCATTTATTGAATAGGGAGTCTTTTCCCCATTGCTTGTTTTTGTCAGCTTTGTCAAAGATCAGATGGTCCTAAGTGTACAGCCTTATTTCTGGGCTCTCTATTCTGCTCCATTGGTCTATGTGCCTGATTTTGTACTGGTACCATGCTGTTTTGGTTAGTGTAGCCCTGTAGTATACTTTGAAGTTGGGTAATATGATGTCTCCAGCTTTGCTCTTTTTGCTTAGGATTTCCTTGGCTGTTCAGGCTCTTTTTTCCTTCCATATGAATTTTAAAGTAGTTTTTTTTCTAGTTCTGTGAATACTGTCATTGGTAGTTTGATAGGAATAGCATTGAATCTGTAAATTGCTTTGGGCAGTATGACCATTTTAATGATATTTATTTCCTATCCAGGAGCATAGGATGTTTTCCCATTTGTTTGTGTCTTCTCTGATTTCTTGGAGCAGTGTTTTGTAATTCTCATTGTAGAGATCTTTTACCTCCCAGGTTAGCTGTATTCCTAAGTATTTTATTCTTTCTGTGGCGATTGTGAATGGGATTGCCTTCCTGATTTGGCTCTTGGCTTGGCTATCGCTTGTATAGAGGAATGCTAGTGATTTTTGTACATTGACTTTGTATCCTGAAACTGTGCTGAAGTTGTGTATCAGCTGAAGGAACTTTTGGGCCGTTGGTTTTGTTTGTTTGTTTGTTTGTTTGTTTGTTTTTGAGACAGGATCTCACTCTGTTGCCCAGGTTGGGGTGCAGTGATGCAATCATAGCTCACTGAAGCTTTCATCTCCTGGGTTCAAATGCTCCTCCTACCTCAGTCTCCCGAGTATCTGGAAGCACAGCTGTGTGCCACCAAGGCTGGCTAATTTTTGGATTTTTTTTGTAGAGATGGGGGGGTCTCCCTGTGTTGTCCAGGCTGGTCTTGGACTCCTGGGCTCAAGTTATGCTCCTGCCTTGGTTTCCCAAAGTGCTAGGATTACAGGCATGAGCTGCTGTGCCCAGCCTCAAGGATTTTTAGAAAAACAGACTTTATTTTTTAGAGAAGTTTTAGGTTCACAGAAAAACTGAGTGAAAGGTACAGAGATTTCTCATATACTCTCATATACCCCTGCACCTGCACTGCCTCCCCTCTATTAACATCCCCCATCAGAGCGGGACATCAGTTACAATGGATGAACCTCTGTTGACACATCGTTGCCACCCGGTGTCTGCAGTTTACATAGAGTTCTCTCCTGATGTTGGGCACCCTGTGCATCTGGACAAATGTCTAATGACACAGATCCACCACTGTAGCATCATACAGAGTTTCACTGGCCTAAAAACACTTCAGATGACTGAGGCAGGGGTCAGAGCTCTCTGGTTTCAGCACGACTCCTACCTTGCCCGCAAGGTTATGCCATAAAATAGCTGGCCTTGGAAAGAGCATAAAGAGGGAAACTGAGGCACATCCAAGGGAAAGCTGGTGAGGGGCACAAAATACCACCCCACTCCCCCGGCCCTGACCTCCCATTGCTGTTTCCAGGTCTCCCTCCCTGTTCTGGTTAGGACTGGGTCCCTCCAGCTACCGAAAATGACAGGGCAGGCAGAGGGCCTGCAGTTTGCAGGCGCTCCAGTGGCCCGGCAGCCCTGGGGAAGGGAAATGACAGTCTATCCCTTTAAACACAGATTAGCAGCTCTCTCTCGTGCTTGTCTTCCTTAAAAAGAGAACTTGTCAAGGTTTACATCAATAATAGATAATGGTGCATCACTGTGGCAGGTTCCAGCCGGAGGCTGTTTTGATATTTTCTAGAGAATTTGTCAGCAATCCGAAGTCAAGAACAGTGGGGGATGGGGAGGCAGGGGCTGAGACAGCGCCTTCATTAATTTTCCTCATTTGCATTCTTGCTGTTAAATAATGTATTGATCGCTCTGTAAGTCTTTAGCCCTCCCTCCTCGCCGAGCCGCCCCTCCTGGTCCTGGAGCCCTCCCCTCCATGAGGGATTAGCTTGTCACAGGCCTTTGACAGGGGGCAGAGGGGGCAGGGCTGGGATGTCTCGTCTCCATGAGGCTCCCAGATCCCCACTGGGCCTGTCACCTGGATCCTCATGGAGAGCATCTCCCTGCTGTCTGGAGTATCATTTTCTACCATTTAAGTCTTTATCATCAGCTTGTCCTAAACTAAGTGGTTTACAAATAAGCCCCCCTGACATTTTTGTGACATGAGGTTGGTGATTAAACCTATTTTACAGATGAGGAAACTGAGGCTCAGCGAGGTCAAGTGCCTTCCCCAGGTCGCATAGCCAGGAAATGGTGAAGCCGGACTTTGAACCTAGGAATGTCTGGCTCTAAAGCCAAAGCTCATTCTTTCTAAATCTGCAAATCTCATACCCCGCTGTGGCCCTGGGAGGCTTGCCCGTGCCAGTGGGGAAGGCACCTCTCTCTCCAACCAAGAGATCAAAAAGATGGGTGTGTGGGCTGGGTGCAGTGGCTCATGCCTGTAATACCAGCACTTTGGGAGGCCATAGTGGGAGGATCACTTGAGCCCAGGAGTTCAAGACCAGCCTGGGCAACATGGTGAAACCCTGTCTCTTTACAACAACAACAAAAATACAAAAAATTAGCCAGGTGTGGTGGCATGTGCACCTGCAGTCCCAGCTACTTGGGAGACTAAGGTGGGAGAATTGCCTGAGCCCAGGAAGCCAAGGCTGAAATGAGCTGTGATTGTGTCACTGCACTCCAGCCTGCGTGACAGAGTGAGACTCTGTCTCAAAAAAAAAAAAAAAAAAATAAGATGGGTGTGAGGTTTGGTTTTGGGGTGGAGACCAGGAGACCGAGGCTGAGGGATAGACAGTGTGTGTCACCCTAAGTGCAGAATTGAATTGACACCAGTGTGAGGAAGGGCTTGGGAGGCAGATTCAGGCTCGACCTCAGGAAGGATTTCCTAACCCTGGAGCTGCCTGCAGTTGGAATGTGACTCTCTTGTGAATAGCAAGCCCCTGTCACCAGGGATGGTTCAGAGAAGTTGGATGTCTGCCTGTCCGGTCACTTGTTTCCAGTGAAAAAAAACACCAATCGTTAGCTCTCTACCCCAACTGGAGATTGATTGATTCTGTCAGAATCCATCCATACAATGGATTCTTACATAGCCAGTAAAAATGATGTTGGAGGTACATTTTAAAACATGTATTTATTTAGAGACAAGGTCTGTCACCCAGGCTGGAGTGCAATGGCACAATCTTGGCTCACTGCAGCCTCAACCTCCTGGCCCAGGTGTTCCTCCCACCTCAGCCTCCTGAATAGCTGGGACTACAGGCACGCATCACCATGCCTAGCTAATTTTTTGTGGAGATGGGGTTTCATCATGTTGCTCAGGCTGGTCTCAAACTCCTGGGCTCAAGTCCACCCACCTTGGCCTCCCAAAGTGCTGGGATTACAGGTGTGATCCCACAGTTTTACCTGTGGGCAGGTAAAACTGTACCCACAAGGCCATTCATGAACAGGTGCCTGGAAGGACGGCAGGAAGGCGTGCTCTGGAATATCACCAGCAGGTGCCTTGGGATGGTGGGATTCAGGTGATTTTTCTTCTTTCTTTGTATTTTCCTACAGTTTCTCATTTCTGATGCCAGCATTTCCGGTGTCATTCTTAGGTAAGGAGATCTGCACATATGGGGGCTTTGGAGGGTCAAAAGGGAGTGAAAACAAGGCCCCCACAGGGACCTTGCCCCAAACGTCTGGCTAAAATCTGACATTACATCTCTGTGCTCCTCTTATGACCAGTCACCCTAAGCAACTCTTCTGTGCCTCAGTTTCCCCACCCTCCTTGTCAGTGAAGAGGATGGTCTGGCTGGGACTGTCTTTCACTCTTTACCAAGTCTGTAGCAAGCCTCCTGCTTGTGCCAGACCTTGGGGAGGGACCCGGGATCAGGCAGACACGGAGACAGCATCCTCGTGGTGTTGGGTGGGAGGGAGGCCTTGTACTTACCATTTCCTGAGGAGGAAATGAACCTCAGAGATGTTTAGTGCCTTACTCGAGGTCACACAGCCAGGAAAGGGTGGAGCCTGGGAGACAACTGTGGGTCCTGGGTTTGTGGGCTGGCGATGCCACCTCTCTGCCCCTCCTCAGTGCCAGGTGACATGATCTGTGTTCCCGAGGCCAGGCCGTGGACTGAGGGCCCTGCTAAAGTAACGGCCTTGGCGTTGTAGTCCTCGTTGGGAAAGAGAGGCGACCCTCACCACATTCAGGGTGAGTTCTCCCCCTCGGCCCAGAATGGTTTCACACTCTGCATTTGGCCATTTTCTTTTCAAAGCCCTGATTTCTGCTCTTTCCTGCTGTCGGGGGGCTTCCTTCTCTAATCTGCTTTCCGAAGCTAATGTCTGCCCCTCCCTGCAGCTCATCCCTGGTATTTGGGATCCCGCTAGGAGCCTCATTTTCAAATTAGCCTAGGGCTGTATGGTCTGAGCTGAAAATACTCTTTGCAGCTGAGAAGTACCCTGGAGGCTGCCCGGGCGCAGGGGGTGGGGTGGGGATGGATGAACTAACTCTGTGCTGGGGGACCCACTTAACTTGTGAAACCTCTGGGGCCACGCAGGGTCTGTCTGATGGGTCCATTCCTCTGAAGCACCAGGCTCAGTGCTTTACGCACAAAACCTCCCCTGGCCCCACTGACTCCTCAACAAAGCAGGCATGAGTATGACCCATTTCACAGATAAATAAACTGAGGTCTGGAGAGGGTAAGTGACTTGCTCAAGGTCACAAAGCAGAGTCAGAAATCGAACACAACTGTCTCATTTCTGAGCCTGAACTCTACGTAACGCCTGAGTCGGAGGGGGACACACACACCTGAGTCGGAGGAGGGAGGGGAGAAGAAACATGACAAAGAGAAGGGGGCAAGCCTGGCGGGAAGCCTGGTGGAGACTGCTGACCTGTCACTTCACGGGAGCCCCGAGGACCTGTGGGCTGACCAGTGCTTACACCTTCCATGAGCACCTCCGGGAGCTCAGCACAGCTGACAGCGAGTGACGGGCATGTTAGACATTGCGTTTATGAATCTCTGTAGATTTAATAGAGACAGGCATAAATAGGAGGTCGAAATGGAGTTTGTAGATACAAACAGGTATCTGGGCTGCAGCTACAGCTGTAAATATAAAGATGTGGCAATCATTTCCTCATTTGTCCATTCAGTAAACATCTCAGCCTCAGGAGGGAGGCTGGGCTCAGGGACATGCAGATGAAAAGGCACAGCAGCCACCTATAGCCACAAAGGGTGTCCTGCTGGGGATGCCGAGCAGCTGGACAGGTGGGTTCGAGCCAGCAGGTGCAGGAAGAGATGCTCACTGGGGGAGCGTGAAGGAGGAGCCCCCGACTCAGCTTGGGGTGGGTGTGGGAAGGACTCTCTGGAGGAGTGAGGCCAGGGTTGGGGGGGTCTTTTCATACCATACACACATGTGCATACATACAGATACACACATGTACAATGGAGGTATGATTAAGGCACAGTAAAATGCCCAGGTCACAGGTGTTCTTTTCAGCAAGTTGTATATACCCCTGTAACTCCCTCCCAGAACAAGACATAGACCATTTCCGTCACTGTCTAGTCAATACCCTCCTCTGCTGTTCTGATTTTTAATACCATAGATCACTTTTGTCTGCCCTAGGAATTTCTTTCTTTTCTTTCTTTCTCTTTCTTTCTTTCTTTTTTCTTTCCTTCTTTCTTTCTTTCCTTCTTTCCTTCTTTCTTTCTTCCTTCTTTCTTACTTTCCTTTCTTTCCTCTTTCTTTTTCTTTCTTTCTTTCTTTTCTTTCTTCCTTTTTCTCTCTCTCCCCTTCCTTCCTTCCCTCCCTCCCTTCTTTCTCTTTCTTTTTCTCTCTCTCCCCTTCCTTCCTTCCTTCCCTCCCTCCCTTTCTTTCTTTCCTTCCTTCCTTCCTTCCTTCCTTCCTTCCTTCTTCTTTTTTTGACAGGGTCTTGCTCTGCCACCCAGGCTGGAGTGTAGTGGTATGTAACCTTGGCTCACTGAAACCTCGAACTCCCATGCTCAAGCTATCCTCTCACTTCAGCCTCTTGAGTAGCTGGGACTACAGGCACACACTACCACACTTAGCTATTTAAAAAAAAATTTTGGAGGTGGAGATGGGGCCCCACTACATTGCCCAGGCTGGTCTTGAACTCCTGGCCTCAAGTGATCCTCAATTGGCCTCAGAAAGTGCTGGGGTTACAGGTGGGAGTCACTGTGCCCGGCCTGGGATTTCCTTTGAATGAACCATGCATACTCACTGAGCACATCTCAAGAGTCATCCATGTTGTGGTGTGAACCAGGAGCTTGTCCCTTTCTATACCCCATAATAAGGATGCACCACACTTGGTTTAACCATTTGTCTGTAGATGGACATTTGGAGTTATTCCTAGTTTCTAGTCAATATAAACAAAGCTGCTATGATCATTCCTAAGCAAGTCTTTTTGTGAACATGTGTGTGCATTTCCCTTGACTAAATACCTAGGAGTGGAGTTGCTGGGCTATAGGGTAGGTAGATGCTTAACCATGTAAGAAACTGCCCAGCAGTTCTCCACTGAAGGCGTGTAATCTTACGCTCCTGCAGGATGCATGCAAGTTCCGGTTGCTCCACATCCTTACCAACATTTGGTGATGTTGGTCTTTGGGATTGTAGCTATTCCACTGGTGCTGAATGGAGTCCTGGAGCATGAATTGGGGTTATCCACGAAACAGAGAGGGGCCAGAGAGAGGGCACTCCAGGCCTGGGGGTGAGAAAACCACAGGCAGGTGGGGGAAAAAAATAAAGAGGCTTTGGGGAAGGTGGGAGTGCTGGGCAGTCTGGAGGTGGGGTCAGTTGTGCCCAGCCAGGTCAGACACTCTGGCCTGTGGGGGTTTTCTCTGGAGCACCCCAGATGCCTTCTCTGGGTCCGGGCTCTGTGGGGGACCCCAATGTGGCCTGGGGTTTTGGCTCCTTTGGCAGTCAGTATTTCCCTTGGTTCCTACTGGGAGAGTCAGGGAGGCCCAAGACCGGTGACCGCATTTAGACAGGAGGGACTGATGTGGAGCTCTATGGCTGAACTGTGTAAGAAACGGCCCAACAGTTTCTCTGGTGCCTCCTGCTGCATGATGCTACCTTCCTGCTCTGGGACCCCACAACACTGCACCGTCCTGGGCTCCCCAAGGAGGCAAGAGAGTTAGGATCAGCGTCAAGTCTCAGCCAGACTCAGGCTGAGACCACACTCAAGAATACCAAAGTGCCATGGCTTGAGCGGTGGCTCCCCAAAGAAAAGTTCAAGTCCTAACCCCAAGTGAAGTCCTCACCCTTGTGGCTATGACCTTATTTGGAAGTACAGTCTTTGCTGGTGTCATTGGTTAAATTAAAATGAAGCTCTACTGGATTAGAGCGGTCCCTGAATCCAACGGCTGGTGTCCTGATGACAAAAAAGAAGAAACAGAGACACTAAGGGAAGACAGCAGCGGGGAGACAGAGCTAGAGATGGGAGGGGTGCAATCATGAGTTGAGACACACCCCAGCCACTGGAGAGCAGAGGCTGGAACGGATCCTCCCTCAGTGCCTCCAGGAGGAACCTGCTTGCCAACGCCTTGATTTTAGACTTGCGGCTTTTTTTTTTTTTTTTTTTTTTTTGAGAGAGAATCTCACTCTGTCACCCAGGCTGGAGTGCACTGACATGATCTTGGCTCACTGCAACCTCCGGGGCTCAAGCAATCCTCCCGCGTTAGCCTCCCAAGTAGCTGGGATTACAGGCATGTGCCACCATGCCCGGCTGATTTTTGTATTTTTAGTAGAGACAGGTTTTCGCCATGTTGGCAAGGCTGGTCTTGAACTCCTGGCCTCATGTGATCCGCCTGCCTTGGCCTAGGACTTTTGGCCTTCTGAACAGTGAAGAAATGGAGGTTGAGTTAAGCCACACAGTTTGAGGTAACGTGTTACAGTGGGCCTAGCACCTGAATACACGAAGCCAGGAGGGCCGCTGTGCCCTCTGCCCCATGCTTCCCTCTGGATCCATCCACTGGCATTCTTCTCTCCCTGGAGAATCACCTTCCAGCATCCTCTCCAATTTACTCCCTGACCCCTCCAAATCCCAGCCCCTGTGCCAGCTCCTTCACAGAGCTCCCCAACTGAAGTGAGACCCACGCAAGGCCTGTGTCCCCCTTGTCTGTGTGCAGAACCTGACACCCTGGGCCTCTCAACCAGCATTTGCTGGATGAATGAATGAATGAAAGAATGAATGAATGGATACTTGCACTCTGCAGCAGTTTGCAACCCCTCATGAGGTTCTGCTGCAGAACCATGTTTCTGCAAAGCAAACCTGACCCAGAAGGCACAAGTATGTGAGCTGGATTTGGGGCGACAGCTCTCCTCTCTACAATGGAGCACGGAGATCATTTTACTTCAGCCAACCCCGGCTGGGCTCTCCCCTGCGCAGGTGATCAGCAGGCAGCTTAATTGGCCTGGCAGAGCCGTGGGCTAAGCGGTGGGGAGGGCAAGCTTGCTCATTACTTCCCTGATCCGCTGGGACCTTCCAACCACAATGCAGGACCAGCAGCGATTTCTGCAGGGAGAGGCAGGAGCCTGCGGGGCCCCGGAGCACTCGACACCTGGAAAGGACCCAGGCCTGGGAGGTTCTGCACTGTGGCTGTAGGGCTTGCTGGCCACGGGTCTCCCATCCTGTCAGCGCACGGTCCTGGCTCTCCATGAGTGCAGGGGCTGGTCTGCTGGTTGCCGTGTCCTCAGTGCCCAGCCAGTGCGGGCCGAGGCAGGGCTGCTGCGTCACAGAGCCCCGGGGGCTCCTTCCACCTCAGCTTCTGTGTGAATGGCCCCCCTTGGACTTGTGCAGCTTGGCAGCCCTGGCTACCAGCACCCACCAGGAACTCAGTGAGCGTGCACGGCGGTGGAGGGCACAGGCCACGGTGCTCAGGTTCATAGTGCTGACCAGCAGGTCCAGAGGCCTGGGACACAAATGCTTTTTCCTTAATGCAAGCTTCCGGGTCCTCCTGAGCCCAGTCCAAATGCCAGCTCCTTCATGGTACTCCACTCAGGGCCAGTTTCCCCTCCTTCCTGCCCGCATACAAGCCCCTATCCCCACTTCCCACGAATGCCACTGTGATGGTAACTGTCACCAAGAGCTTGCTGCGTGCTTACTGCGTGCCGGGCACTGAGCCATGGCCCTGGGCGAGTGGCTGCATTCTATCCTCACTGCAACACGGTGGGGCGCATGCTATCATCCCATTTTAGAAATGCCAAAACTGAGGTCCTGAGAGTGAAACAGTCTGCCCAAGGTCATGCAGCTTGTAAGCCGCAGAGGCAAGAATCTGACCCAGGCCCCTCCAACCCAGCCCCACCTTCCAGCATGCTGAGCGCCACCGTGGCAGACGCCTGGAGTCTGTGCCTGCTGTGCCACCCTCGAACCCCTTGAGGGAAAGGAGAGGGTGCCCCAGTGTTCTCCCCAGGCTCCAAGCACAGAGGCCCACTTGGTGTTTGGAGAACAGAGGCTGTCGGGCTGCAGGACTAGGCTCCGGCCCCTCCCTCCCTTGTACTGTTTACTTATGATCTCTCTCTCGACGTTTCGCCCCCAAATGCCCAGAGCCTAGCACAGGGCCTGGCACAAGGAATGCCCAGTGAAAGTTGGTTACATTCAACCCAGTTGGAGGCACGAGCCCAGAAGTGGGAGTGACAGGGAAGGCTCCCCTGAGACCAACAGCGGCCTGACACCCCCTTCAGCCTCCGGGACCCCACCTGGGTCTTGGTCTGTTTTCCCTCTCTCTCTGCATGAGCACTGATGTCCTTCCAGGCTATGCTGGTTGCTGTGACAGTAGCCCCTTCCCCACACGGCAGGGTCTGTGACACCCTAGCCATGCCCACTGCAGCCTTCTCAGGAGAACTGGGAGGAGAGAGAGGGTTTTTTTATTTTTGTTTTTGTTTTTTGAGAAAGGGTCTTGTTCCGTCACGCAGGCTGGAGTGCAGTGGTGTGATCATGGCTCACTGCAGCTTCTGCCTCCCAGGCTCAAGTGATCCTCCTGCCTCAGCCTCCCAAGTAGCTGGGATTACAGGCATGCACCACCACACCTGGGTAATTTCTTTTATTTTTTTACTAAAAAAAATTTTTTTTGAGATGGAGTCTTACTCTGTCACCAAGGCTGGAGTGCAGTGGTGTGATCTTGGTTCACTGCAACCTCCGCCAACCGTGTTCAAGCAATTTTCCTGCTTCAGCCTCTCAAGTAGCTGGGATTACAGGCATGCACCAACATGTACAGCTAAATTTTGTATTTTAGTACATGTTGGCCAGGGTGATCACGAATTCCTGACATCTGGTGACCTGCCCACTTTGGACTCACAAAGTGCTGGGATTACAGGTGTGAGCCATCACGGTCAGCCTATTTTAAAATATTTTTTATTTGAGGTCTCACATGTTGCCCAGGTTGGTCTTGAACTCCCAGCCTCAAGTGATCTGCCTGCCTCGGCCTCCCAGAATGCTGGGATTACAGGTGTGAGCCATCATGCCCAGCATAAAGAGAGGTTTTTACGAGGTAGGAGCAGGAGACACCAGAACACATGAGAGTGTGTGAGGTGGCCATGGATGGCTGCTGACCCCCAGAGGGAGGGCAGGGAGAGGTGGGGTGGCTGAGGGTCAGCTGGTGGCCTCTGGAGCAGGCCACACTCCAGCCACGCTCCTGTTGGGCCCAGATGACCATGGAGGCATCCCCAGGGAATGTGGGGGACGGGGGTCTGGCAGCTCCTGGCAGCGGCCCCATTGGTGGGGACACTGACATTCTTCCAGGGTCGGAGGGAAGTACCCCAGGTCCGGACTGTGGGTAGAGGCCAGGACAGCAAAGGGGAGCAGGGTGAGGGGCCATGTGGGGGCTGCGGCTGAAACCGCTGTAGGGGCATGCATGATGCCCACTTCAGAAGCTCCTGGACACCTCTGGGCACCTGGTGTAGGTGAGGTGGGCAGGGTCCTGATGCCATGTGGGGGAGGCCGAGCCCGTGGGCATTAAGCATTCCCTAAAGGAGGAGGTTCTGGTTGAAGGTGTTCACATCCTTTGATTCTGAAACAGATGTGAGAGACGAGGAAGGGAAGGGGTAGAGCGATGGAGTGCCAGGGAGAAAGCCAGAGTGGAGGCACCTCCGGCTAATGAGTAGAGAGGCAGAGACACGGGAGAGGGCAGGGCGGGAAGAAAGGCAGAGATGAAACGTGTTGGAAGCACCGAGTTAATGCAACTACTAAGTGGTTCATATTTCCCAGCTAATAAGACCCCCTCTGCAGGGAGGAGGGGACGGGACAAGAAAGCACCGTGGTTCGAATGACTCAAGGCGCTGGAGCTAATGAAGTCACCGGGGACTCGGAATTCCTCGGATACGGCTCTGTGGCAATGCTATTTTAATTCAGTCTGAGGATGACAAAGGGAAGGGTGACAAAGGGAAGGGAAGTCTCCTGTTAACACGACAAGCTTGGGGTACAGGAATTGGGGGTTGAGGAGACAGGTACACTGCAAGGGGTTGTCTGACATGGGACAAAGGACTCAGGATGGACGCAGAGACAGGGAGGGGTGACACACGGTCCTGGGAGGCAGTGAGCACACCACAGATACACTCAGGGTGAACTGCACTCCTCGAACACAGCACAACGAAGCCCATCCGTCCATCAGCTAGTATTAATCCAGAGCCGCAGGCATGGGAAGGGCAGAGACCAGCCAGACTCAGGTCCCACGGGGCTGACCTCTCTGATTCCAGGCTGGAAGCAGCATCCTATTCTTTCAGCAGAAAGTACAGACTCCTCTGGGGAAGGGGGTCTTCCTCTGCCCACCTCTCAAGAAGCATCTGGCATTACCTCCTCCCTCCCCAATGTGCCAGTCCTCTGGGTCTTTCCTTCCTTCAGAACCTATTTCCTGCCTTGGGGCCCTTGCACCTGCTATTTCCTCAGCCTGGAATGCTCTCTGCTGCTAACTCATATACCTCCTTTAGCTTTCAGGCTTCTGATCAAATGTCGCTTCCTCTAGGGTGCTGTCCCTGATGCCTCAGACCAGGACAGGGCCTTGGACATTGTGTTAGTTTCCCGTGGCTGCTGTAACAAATGACCACAAAGCGGTTGCTTAAAACAATGGAAATTTATCCTCTCACAGTTCTGGAGGCCCAGAGTTCAAAATCAAGGTGTTGGGAGGGTTGGGTCCCTCTGGAGGCTCAGAGAGAATCTATTTCGTGCCTCTCCTGGCTTCAGGCAATCCCTAGTCTTGCTTGGCTTTTGGCTGCATGGCTCCAATCTCTACCTGTCTTCACACAATTCTTTTCTCCATGCATCTGTTTTCTTTTTAGTCTCTTAAAAGGACACTATCGTCGGGTTTAGGGTCCACTCCAATCCAGGATGATCTCATCTTCAGAGCCTTACCTTAATGACATCTGCAAAGACCCTTATTCCAAATAAAGTCACTGTCCTAGGCTATTCTTGCACTGCTATTAAGAAATACTTGAGACTGTAATTTATAAAGAAAAGAGGTTTAATTGGCTCACAGTTCCACAGGCTGTACAGGAAGCGTGGCTGGGGAGACCTCAGGAAACTTACAATCAAGGCAGAAGGTGAAGGGGAAGTAGGCAGATTTTAGATGGCCTGAGCAGGAGGAAGAGAGAGAAGGGGAGGTGCAACACGCTTTTTTTTTTTTTTTAGATGGAGTCTCACTCTGTTGCCCAGGCTGGAGTGCAGTGGTGCGATCTTGGCTCACTGCAACCTCCGCCTCCTGGGTTCAAGTGATTTTCCTGCCTCAGCTTCCCCAGTAGCTGGGATTACAGGCACATGCCACCATGCCCGGCTAATTTTTGTTTTACTATGTTGGCCAGGCTGGTCTCGAACTCCTGACCTCAAGTGATCTGCCTGCCTCAGCTTCCCAAAGTGCTGGGATTACAGGTGTGAGCCACCGTGGCTGGCCCAACACACTTTTAAACAACCAGATCTCTTGTTTAAAAACGTGGCACCCTCCCTTTCTCTCTCGCTCCCACTCTGCCATGTGAGACGCCTGCTCCCCCTTCACCTTCCTCTCTATGATTGGAAGCTTCCTGAGGCCTCCCTAGAAGCACATGCTGCTATGCTTCCTGTATAGCCCGCAGAACTGTAAGCCAATTAAATCTTTTTTTTTTTTTTCATAAAAAAACCCCAGTGTCTTGAGAACTCCATATCATGAGAACAGCACCCAGCGGATAGTGCTAAACCATTAGAAACTGCTCTCATGATCCAGTCGCCTCCCACCAGACCCCACCTCCAACAGGCCTGACCCAACTGGATTGGGTCATGGCCCTGCTGCATCCATGATGTCCAGCCAGGGCAGGTGCCTTGCAACTACTGCCGAGTGACTGATGGGACTGTTGGGCCCTTGGGAAGACTGGTGGGAGCAAGGGGGAAAGGACACACCCAGGGCCACCCCACCGAGGCTGTAGCTTTTGGTCCCACAGTGAAGAGCAGCCAGGAGGCCCCCCACCGACAGCCAGAACTGGAAGGGGCTTACAGGTCAGCCAGCTTAGTGCCTGTGTTAACAACTGGGGAGAACAAGACTCAGAGGAGGCCAGGCACGGTGGGTGGTTCACACCTGTAATCTCAGCACTTTGGGAAGCTGAGATGAGCAGATTACCTGAGGTCAGGAGTTTGAGATCAGCCTGGTCAACATGATGAAACCCCGCCTCTACTAAAAATACAAAAATTAACCAGGCGTGGTGGCATGCATTTGTAGTCCCAGCTACTCGGGAGGCTCAGGCAGGAGAATTGCTTGAATCCAGGAGGTGGAGGTTGCAGTGAGCCAAGATCGCACCACTGTACTACAGCCTGGGCGAAAGGGTGAGACTCTCTCTCAAAAAAAGAAAAAGACTCAGAGGAGACCAAGGGCCTCTCTGAAGGACACGGTGTGACCACATCACATCCTCAGCACTCTTCCTGTCCCCTTGCACTGTGTTCCCTGCCCGTAGCATGGATCTGAAACTTAGGGCCAATTCTCAGGACAGTATAGGGAAGGCATGGGTAGGAGCCCTGAGATGCCAAGGACGAGGTGCCGTCAGCTGGAGTCACTCCCACAAGCTTAGCCTTCAGAGGTTTCCTCTCAGTGTCTGCAAAGAACTCCAGTTTTCCTTAAATAGTTTCATTTTGCCTAATTATCCTCCAGCCGCAAAGCGAATAAGAGGCATGAGGGATTAAGGAGAATCAAGAGGAACAGGCATTAGGGCTGTGAGCTGGAAGTGGGGAGGATGGGGAAGCCAGGGCAATTGGAGAGTCGGGTCAAAGCATATACAAGTTGCACTCCGTTTGAGAAACAGTATGTCAGAGTGGCTAAGAGAGTAGGCTCTGCACTCAGACTGACCTGGGTTTGAGATCCATATGGCCACTGGCTAACTCAGGGACCTTGGGCAAGTTCCTTGACCTCTCTGAGCCTTATTCCACATTTGTAACTTCAGAATAATGATGTCTACTCCAAACATGGATTGTCAGGATTTACTGAGAGAATGGCACCATGCCTGGCTCTCAGTAAGGCTCAATAAACAATAATGATTATGCACAGAGGTCAGAGAGGGTAGAGGAACTTGGAAAGTTATAAAAAGGCTCAAAATCCCTGAGTTTGATTCTAAATGTCTTTGCAATCTAGTCCAGGAAGGCAGGGTCATGTCTGTCTTGTGACTACTGCACTGGTCCCAGCAACCAGCAAAGTTCCTGCCTATTGGAGGGCCTGCCTGGCTCCTGATTGAAAGGAAGAATCAATGAGTGGGTGAGTGAATGAAGGGCAACAGCCTTCCTTCTTTGCAGCTGCAGAGGCTGGGCAGTTATTGGGCCATGCAGGACTCAATCAGTCTGCCCTTTCTTGTTTTCTGGTGCCCTCCAGCCTTGACGCCATGTTTAGACCATTGATATTCACAGAATAATTTCCAGCATTGATTACTCAGATGGAACACCCTCCCTCCCAAGCTCCGCCGCCTTCCTCAGTCTTCCCCACCACAGGCGACTCCACCGAGTTTCCTGATTAATTCCCCTCCATAAACATTCTGATGAAGCCGCCAGCTCTCGCCAGGCAGCCTCCCAGAGCAAGGATTATTTCACAAAGCTGCTTTTCTCTTTGTGACCTGTGTTCATTAGCTGCTGCAAGGGTCACAGTCTGGGCTGCTTCAGTGGGGCCACCTCTGGGCAGGCAGTTCCCCTAGAGGAGAAGCTCTTCCCAGCCTGCCCAGGGTGGAGAAGGTCACCCCTGCCCAGACCCAGTGGCCTGGAAGCCGTGGGAAGTAGCACATTCCTGGCAAGGGAAGAGATGCTCTCAGTGGAGAAAATACTAGGTGGAGGCGCATGACACTTCTGATATTCAGCCATTTGCTGACCCATGAAAATGGCAATTCAATTTAATAGGACCCTCTGTGGTTGAGCCTAGAGAGAGGGAGGGGAAAAAGGAGTGAGGGGTCTGGAGTCAGAAACACAGGCAGTCCTGCTCTGTGTCTTCTCAGCTGTGTGGCTTGAGGAATGTGGCCTCATCCCTCTGGGCTGACTTGTCAAGTGTTGATAGCCACAGCACCGCCTTGCAGGGGGGTGTGTAGTTTCAGTGCAATCATTACATCACAGCCTGCTTCCGTGGCTGCTGCAACATCCCTGTGCCCTCAACAGCAGCTATTTTAGCAATAACGAGTGAGTTGGGGGCACTGGGATAGTGCAGCTGCCCACTGACTGGCTCCCCAGGTGCCTACCTTCACTTCTTCGGAGTCACTTCTCTGGCAAAGGCACCCAGGGGGTCCAGGAGACCTTGGACACAATGGATTTTAGTGGCAACCAGAGAGGTCCTCTATAGCCCACTTCCATGAGTGGATAAACATGGTGCCTGGCACAGACGGGATCCTCAACAAACTGAAATGAATGAGACAAGTGTATCAGCTGATGTCTTAGAACACAGAATTCAGCTTTGAGAAGTAAAAGATACAAAAAAAGTCATAGGAGGTTGGAGAGTGGGCATGGTGGGAGAGCAGCAGCCAGCTCCTGGGGGTGGGTTAGCAGGTGCTTTTATGGGGCCCTGGAAGTCACTGGCACTTTGAGCCTAAGGGTGTGGCGAGTGTCTGGGGAGCTGTCCGTGGTGCTGAAGCACAACCACTGGTGAGGGCAGCTGTCCTTTCAGTGCCTGTGCTCAGCGGAAGCCTGTCCCACTCCTTCAGGAATTCTGAGTCCAGAAAGGAAAGAAGCAGTGGAAAGGGAGGCAGAGAGTGAGAGGTGAGGCCTGCACAAAAGGTTATTCGTCAGACAATCACTGCCAGACTGGAGGAAGCACTTTTGTTTTCACATTATTGCAGTCACCAAACACTAATTCCCTCATGAGGGAAACATCGGCATCTCTCCCACCAACATGCTCCGAATGCCATCCTTTTTTCATTGCTGTGTAGTATTCCATCACATGAACTATACATAACTACCACAATTTGTTAACTCATTCTATTTTTTTTTTTTTGACAGACTCTTGCTCTCACTCAGGCTGGAGTGCAGTGGCACGATCACCGCTCACTGTAGCCTCAACTTCCTAGGCTCATGTGATCCCTCTGCCTCAGCCTCCTGTGTAGCTGGGGCACAGGCATGTACCATCATGCCCAGCTAATTTTTTTTTTGTAGAGATGGGGTCTCCTTATGTTTTCCTGGCTAGTCATGAACCCCTGGGCTCAAGCAGTCCTCCTGCCTTGGCCTCTCAAGATGCTGAGATTACAGGTATGAGCCACTGCACCTGGCCCCAATGCCATCATTATGGCAAAAGTCAAATCAATCTTGTGTCTCCAAATTTGTGATGTGCACCCACCCTCATTCCTCTTGTCTGGAACCTCTCTGCAGGTCACTGCCCACTGCTCCTTCCAGCTCCAGGCCTTTTGCCCTTCCTACTTTCCATCATCTCATCTGACCCATCCTTTAGAGCCTGTCTCCAGATTCTCCTCTTCCAGGAAGCCTCCCTTGACCACTTCAGCCCACTCTGCCTTCTTGCTCCTCTGACCACCTACTGAACTTGGAGCCAAGTTTAGCAAGCGCTGCTTTTCAAGATATTCTCCATAAGTGCTCTCTTTCTCCCCACTCAGTTGTGAGCTCTCAGGGGACCCAGTTCTTGCTTCTTTTACCTCCTTCCAGCAGAGCCAAGCCTGAATTCTGCATGAATATCAACATCAGCAGCAGTGGCATCAGCCACTGTGAATGAGCACTAAGGCTGTGTTGGGGCTGTGCTGCACTTCCTGTGCTTTATCTCACTGAAAACCCATGGTAACTCTGTGAAAGCAGATCCTATGATTACCACCATTATAATAGGAGGCTCAGAGGGACGAGGTAACTTGCCTAAAGCCATACATGCATGAGGGCTAGGGTTCAAGCAAAGGTCTGCCTGACCTCAGGGTCTAGTTCTTAACCAGCAGTCCATCTGATTCATAGCAGTGACCCATAATGGCAACACACATTCTGAAACCAGTCCCGCTCTGCTGTTTACTTATGTTGAGGCTGTACGCCTAAAGAACCAGCGCTAGAAGAATTGGGGATAGGAAGATTTTTTTTTTTAAAATCAGTACAGAGCAGAGAGCACTGCATTATTTTTCTGCCTCTAAGAACATTCTCATTACTTACAAATTACATTAATTTCTACAAACACTTATTGACACCCACTGCCTGCTGTGCACCCTGCGTTATGATGAGTACTGGATTAGACAGTCATAAATAAAACACACACTGGCACAGTCAGTCTGTGATAGAAGCTTTTAGAGAGAGAATTAGAAAAGGGCTCTGTGGCTCAGCCCCATCCTGGGGGCCCAGCCAATAGATGGCACCAGCTTCTATGCTTTTAGAAAGACCCTGGAGTGTCCAGAACACCGCTCAGACTCCTGCAGAGACATGAGGAACATGTGGGGCTGGGGCTCTGGAATTTTCAGGAGACAGTGAATCTTAGACACCTCTTACCTCTTGGCTGCTTTGCTTTGTCAGGTGGTTGGATAACATCAGATTGCCCAGGAAGCCAAACTGACCCACAGGATGGGTTTCTGTGTATGTGTGTGTGTGTGTGTGTGTATGTGTGTACATGTGTGCGTGTGTAGGGGGGTGAGGGGTGCACATGCATGCCTATACATTTCTGCATTCCTTCTCAATTGGAAATATATCAATGCTGACAAGGAACAAGGGTAGAAGCATGATATAATCACAAGGTTGCTGGAACATGGGTGCATGGTGGGGAAAATAAGTGAAAATCAATTTTCCCCTGGATCTGTGTGTGTGCGTGCATGTGTGTGTGTGTATAAAACTCCAGCCAGTGAGACAATGTTCACTCCTCTGAACAGCACTCAACGCTAATGCTGGGCAGAGCAGGGGCTTTCTGGGGAGCTCTTGGAATTGCAAGATTGGGATGAACAGGGATGGGAAGAAAGATTTATGAAAGGCCTGGTCAAGTTCTTTCCCCCTCCAGTCCCCAGAGAGGTCCCTCTGGGCAGCTTCTTGGTTTCAACTGGTCTCATCTTGGCCTGTACCAAGTAGCAGCCCCTCTGCTCTGAGACCCCCCCCTCCCACCCTCCTGAGCTCCACCCTGCATCCTCTTCCCTACATCTTTCCCAGAGGGGCTGTCATCGTGTCAAAAAGCCCAGTGATTTTAAAAGAAACTTTCTCTCCTTGTGCTTTGATTCTGCCGCGGTTTCCCCCGGTCTGCTAGAGAACAAAGGGCATGATTGAGTGGAAATGCGCCCCCAGCGTCTGCCTTGATTCCAGGCTCCTGTTGCTGGAGAGAATTTTGATCTCTGGTGTAGTGGCTTCCTCTTCTCCCTGCTGTGAGGGAAGAGTCAACGTCCCCATGTGCTTCCTGCGAGAAAGAAGGACCTCTCAGTCACTGCAACTCAAAAGCAAGATCCTTTCACCCACTCAACAAATATTGACACCTGCTGAATGCCAGACACCATCATAGTTGAGTGGAGTTAAGCAGTTGTCAAGTCTTTAGACAAAAACTTTGGCCCTTGTCTTATTCCATTTTTTGCTGATATACCAGAATACTGGAGACTGGGTAGTTCATAAAAAGCAGAGGTTTCTTTTTTACAGTCTGGAGACTGGGCAATCCAAGGTCAAGGGGCTGCATCTGGTGAAGGCCTTCTTGCTGTGTCATGTCATCCCATAGGTGGAAGGGCAGGAGGGCACATGCAAGACAAAGAGTGGAAGAGCCCCTATGACCTAATCACCTCTTAAAGGCCCCACCTCTCAACACTGTTGCATTGGGGATTAAATTTCCAACACACTAACCCAGGGGGACAGCAGCCCTCATGAAACTTGTGCTCTAGTGGAGAGTACAGTGGCTAGAGAGATACAGGGGCATATCCAGGCTCTACCATTTGCCAACTGTAAGACCTTGAGCAAATTAATTAACATCTCTCAGGCTCAGCTTTTCCATCTTCAAAAGGGAGAGAACAAGAGCATATTAGTTATCTGTTGCTACAATAATGCTGCATAACAAACAACCCCAAATTCTAGTGGCCTGCAACAGTAAGCATTTGCTTCTCATGCATCTGCAGTCAGCTAGGGGAGAAGGATCACGGGTCTTATAGCTTTGTAGGCATTGGCTCGGCTCACTCCCACGTTTGAGAGTCAGCCAGCTGTTGGCTGGGATGACTCGGGTGACTTGGTTCTGCTCCATGTCTCTTTCATCTTCCATCAGGTTAGCCTGGGTGTATTATCCTGGCGATGACAGAGGTGCAAGAATGAGAGCCAGCCCCATTACATACATGATTTTTGAGCCTTTGCTTGTATTAGTTTCTAACATCCCATTGGACAATGGAAGCCTCTTGGAGGATTCCAGAGTGAGAGTGCAAGGAAACTACAAATTCACACGGCAAAGAAGTGAATACAAGGAGGGATGAAGCATCAGTTCCATTTTTAAAGTCTACCATGGACTTTCCTCCTGGGGCTGTTGGGGGATAAAGGAGAATGGCATAAAGTCCTTGGCTCAGCTCCTAGTTCATAGCAAGGGCTACATCGGGAGCTAACTTAAAAAGAACAGAGGTCTTTGGGTGAATGAGAGCAAGGTTCAGGTAGGTCTTTTTCACTGTTATATCCCCAGTATAATAACTGCTGAATGAATGAGCTGACCACACAGTGAGTTGTTCTTGAGATCAAGGTGGCTGATTCCAGCAATTGTTCCATCCTACCTTCTGGAGGCTAATGGTTTCCCCTAGAAGGCCTTGGATGGAGCCATTCTTTGTCCACTATGGGGCTTCTTAGCCCTCCCAGAACTCGATATTTGGGTGAGAGGAATAGCTCCAGGAGCATACTGGGAGAGCATTCTCACTGTCAAAACTTCCAAAGAATGAGGGGGGAAGCTTCCTATCTGGGAGTGATTGTCGTATGGACCAGAGGTAGGAGGAGGGAGCAGGTGACCACTCAGATCCTTGTGCACACAAAGAACTACATTTCCCATCTTCCTTGGCAGTGAGATGAGGCCACATCACTGAGTTCTGGCCAGTGGGATGTGGGTGGAAGGGATCTATGCCACTTTCAGGCCTGTTCCCCCACCAAACCTCCTGCATAATCTCCCATAGCTCTCTCTTTCCCGGTCTTCTCATCAGATGCACAGGGTCCAGAGAGGAACTCCAAGGCTCTAGGACAGGGGTCAGAAAACTGAGGCTTACAGGCCAAATCCAACTCTCTGCCTGTATTTGTAAATAAAGCTTTATTGGAACACAGTCATGCCCATTCATTTCTAGGTTGTTTATGGCTGCTTTTGCACCACAATGGTAGAAATCATTAGTTGTCACTGAGTGGCCTGAGAAGCCTAAGATATTTCCCATCTGGTCCTTTAGGGAGAAAGCTTGTTGACTCCTGCCCTGGGGGATGGTGGAGCCACCACCCAGGATGGTAAGGAGCCTGGGGCCCTGGATGACTGTGTGGAGTACGGGCTCCTTCCCAAGAGCCTGCGCTGGACAGTGACACAGCAAGAAGGAAGCTTTTACTGTGCTGACGCACTGAGATTTGGGAGCTGATTGTTTTAGCAGTCAGTCTACCCTGGATACACACTGCCCAAGGAGCTCTGACTCTGGGATGAGCAGAAACATGGCTTCCTATTCATCTTCATCCTCTCTGTGCCCTGCACACCTAGGAAGCTGACTTGTCTCCAGGCTAGGGCTCATGCAAGAACCAGTTGGACATCCCATAGTCGCTCGGACCTGGTGGCCTATCTGCCACCAGGGTGACTGCCATCTGGGTGAGGTCACTTTGACAGAGTGGTAGGGGTCCTTCTCTCCTCATAGGAGGATAAAGCAATAAGAAGACCAGAGCCAGGAACAGGAAGCCCCTGGGAAGCCCAGGCTGGTGCCAGTCTGGTGGTTCTGGTGAGGCAGCCTTGCTCTCAGACCAACCATTTTAGGAAACTTGAGCTTGAGAGTTTGTTGATTAATGGCTGTGCAATCCTAGATAAGTTACTTAACTCTCCCTCCCCAAGCTTCAGTTTTCTTATCTGTGAAATGTGATCAAGAGTGCCTATATCCTAGAGTTGCTGGTAATAGCAAGATCTTCAGCAGCAAGGGATGCCCCCACTCTAGAGTGCCATTTACATGCACAGTGCCATTTCTCTCTTACTCTTATTCTCCATGTTCTGGGCCCTGGAGCCATGTCCCTCCCCAGGAAACCCCCCTGCCTGCAGCCCTAGCTTCCCAGGCATGGCCCTGACACCTGGCACAGCCACCTGCACCTGGTGCTCACCTGCACTGGTTTCTCTCTTGAGATTTCGACCAAGAGGAATTGAGGGGGAGGGGGAGCTCAGAGGGTGCAAGGCAGCCCTGGAGCCAGGGGCCATGCTGGGCCACATGCCAGAGGAGCAAAGAGAAGAATCCAGCTGTTAGATGAGGGAAGTCGCCCCATGGAGAGGAACATCCTGGTCTCCAGGATACAGGCTGCCCAGTGGAACTTTCTCTGCCCAGTGGAACGTTCTACATTTGCACCGGCGGCCAGGTGGGGGTGAGCTCTCTTAGGCTCGGTCTTGGTTTATGACACGTGGCTACTGAGTACTTGAAATGTAACTAGTACCACAGAGGAACTGGACAGTAAACTTTATTTACTTGAAATAAATTTAAATTGGACTTAGTTTTGTTTTTTGAGACGGAGTCTCCCTTTGTTGCCTAGGCTGGAGTGCAGTGGCGTGATTTCAGCTCACTGCAACCTCTGCCTCCCAGGTTCAATCGATTCTCCTGCCTCAGCCTCCTCACTAGCTGGGATTACAGGCACCTGCCTGACAAATTTTTGTATTTTTAGTAGAGACAGAGTTTCATCATGTTGGTCAGGCTGGCCTTGAACTCCTGACCTCAAGAGATCCACCCGCCTCAGCCTCCCAAAGTGTTGGGATTACAGGCGTGAGCCACTGCGCCTGGCTGGACTTAGTTTCAATTCAAAGTGGCTAGTGGCTGCCATCTCGATCAACATACAGTGAGTGCTTCCTAGTCAACCTCTCAAGGCCCTAGATACACTTGGGGTCTTTCCTGCCCTTATGCCAGGAGCTGTTTCGCCTTTACAAGCCCACCTCCTTTGACTTGAGCCACCCTCAGTGCGGTTGCTTCTGAAACCTGGAGGTTTAGGGCTGAGGTCAGCCCCAGCCTGGGTTCCTGGGGCTTGGCAAGGCTGCAGTGTTGTGTGTGTGTGCATGCATGCATGTGCACATGTGTGTACCTGCGGTGGGAGAGAATGGGCAGATCATGACAGAGGGAGCCAGGCAGGCACGATGGAGATGCAAGCCAGACACACGCTTTCCCCTTGGTGGGTGTGGCCTTGAACCTCAGCGTTTGCCTGCAGTTTCCGCTACACGAAGCTCTCAACAGCAGAATGTTTGAAATGAGCTGTTCTGGGAATGTGTTTCCCAGGCCATGCATTCCCGAAGCAGCATTATTTATCCTGTTCCTTCTCAGACCCACTTTTCATTTTGCCTCCCGATCTGGCAGCTCCAGAGGTGTCAAAAAGAACAGGTGGAAGAGGAAGGGATTCTCAGATTTGCAGGACACGGCGGCACGCAGGGGCTATGCTACCACCGACTGGAGCAGAGTCACGAGAGCTCAAGCGCTCATGGTGCCACTGGTTTGCTAGGTGACCTTGGGCAGGTCAATGAACCCCTCTGGGTCTCCGTGTTCCCATCTGTTGAGAGGGTTAAGTGAGGCCTAGGACAGGCCTGTGAGGAAGCGAGGGGCTGGTGTCATGGGTGTCATGCCACACATCTCCTGCTGAGCCCAGAGACACCAGGAACTTGCTTCCAGGGAACAAACATGGACTAAGTCACAACTGCCATAAGCTGGTAGCTTCTCACTTGGAGAGCGAAGGAACTCCTCGGTTAAATAAGATCTGAAGCCAAAGCGAATGCATGAAGGGGAAAAGGCAGTGGGGTGGTGAGGAGGGGCTGAGGAGCCAGGGCACCTCCCAGCACTGTGGGGAGACCTAGCCTCTGGCCAGGACCACTGTGGGGCTCTTGGGAAGAGGATTTGGAGGTCCAGAGTCCATGTGCCCCTGCCCCCACCCTAACTTGGCTAAACTGTTGGCATATTCTGTAACGCTGTTGGAGCCTCGGCTTTCTCATCTGCAAAATGAGGATGATGACAGCAGCTGGGTCCTGTGAGGGCAGCTGGGACAATTCAGTGTGCTATTGTATCTGAAGCCTGGCACACAGTAGGTGTGCAAAAAATAACTCCAGCTGGTGCAGAGAAGAGGGCTGTTCAGAGAGGAGACTGGGATGATGGGACCTGCCTATACCTGTTTTAAATAAAATTTTTTGGTCTTTTTTCTTTATGCAAGCCATTCATTCCACAAGCTTATACCTTTTTAAGTGCAGCCTCTAGGCCGAGAGAGAGCAGAGTAGCCTGAGGGGGAGAGGTGCCCAGAGTAAAAGCCCCTCTCCTGGCTGTGACCTTTGGCGACCCTTCCCCTGCAGGGCCCTGGAGCTCACCTCTAAAGGGAGGGGTCGAGCCAGCACACCTGGAGGTCCCTCCAGTCTGAAGGTTTCCATAGGTCCCCTCCCCGCCTCCCCCACCTCCCTGCTCTAAGAGGGAGCCTGGAGGAGAGCGCCGGTGGGGGAGGAGGCTTCTGGCTTCCTTCCACCCAGCCTTGCCCTGGGGTTCCCGAGTACCTTGAATTCATTAGCGGCTGCAGCTCTGAGCGTTGATTAAAAAGACGCTGGTTTTTTTAATTCCTTCTCTTTTCCCCTTGGTTCTTTCCCGGAGCAGTGATTTCAATTTGCAGCCGGCTCCCTCTGGGATGGAGGGGAGGGTGGGGCTGGGAGCTTGGCCGTGACTAGCTGGGGGTGGGGGCGGGGGTGGGGACCTGGGCAACCTCTCTTCCCTTTCTCTGCTCCTCTCCTCCCTTCTTCTCCTCCACGCCCCTGGCTCCCCCTATACTCCCCCTCCCTCAGTTGCAGGCCAGGATTTGACACACCTGCAGTGCACATTGATTGCCTGATTAAGGGAAGATTGATTGGTCCCTGCTGTCATTAGCATATAGTTAGCGGTGACCCCTCTGCTTGGCCTCCAGCCTGCGCTGACCTGAATGGCTCCAACAGCTCAACAGGAAATGGGAACTCGGCGAGAGGAGGGGCTGGCCTGGCCTGGTCTGGCTGTCAGCCCTGGGCCAATAGGGGACCCCTAGGGCCCTGGACCTTCCAAGGGGATCAGTGGACTATCTTCCTTTCTTCTGAATGGGGAGGTTGAATGCAACGCTTTCTAAGTGAGAAGAGAGTTGTGCAGCCTTACCTCCCCAAACCTGCACCATCTTTTCCCAACCCTCCCAGCTCCTCCGCACACCTTGGACTTGAAGCGCCTTTAAGCCGAGCTTTCCTCTCCTTCTCGGAGACTTTTTTTTTTTTTTTTTTTTAAAGAGACAGGGTCTTGCTTTATTGCCCAGGCTGGAGTGAAATGGAGTGAACACGGCTCACTGCAGCCTCAATCTTCTGGGCTTAGGTGATCCTCCTGCCTCAGCCTCCTGCGTAGCTGGGACTGCAGGCGTGTGCCACCACACCATCTAATTTTTAAGTTTTTTGTAGAGACTGGCTCTTGCCAAGTTTCCCAGGCTGGTCTCAAACTCCTGGGCTCAAGTGATCCTCCCGCCTCAGCCTCCCAAACCGCTGGCATTACAGGCGTGAGCCACCGCACCCAGCTTCTCTGGGAGACTCTTGCTTTCAAAGCACATTCACTCTGGTTTCCCACAGGGAGAAGCAGCCAGCTGCTGGGTGTGTCAGGAGGTCCAGGTCCTCTCTTGGGCTCTCATAGCTCCTCCCTAGGCCACTCGCTGCAGGACTTGGGATTTTTTTGTTGAATGATTGTCTCCCCTTTGAGTCGCTGAGGGCGGGGAACCTGCTGTATCTGTATCTGTGGCCCAGCACAAGCACCAGGGGTTAGAGTGCATATCTCCCCCTCCCTCCCCATTTCCAGGGGAAAACTATTTTGAAACTGTCAAGAGTACGTAAAACTAGCTCTAAACACTGAAAGGGAGCCACAGTTCTATTTGCTTGGTGGCTGCAAAAGGTCTAGTTTTTTCCTAAAGCAAAACCCAGCAATGCCACTGCTCTGCGAGGGGTCGGGTGGATGACCCCAGAGCGCCGGGTCCAGCTGAATCTCCCAGCCACGCCTGCTGGGACGGTGAGGTCGCTGCAGGTGGGAGCTCCTGCGTGGGGCTCATTCATTCTCTGTCCTCAGAACCCCACCCTGTGCAGATCCTGTGGCTGGGGCCTGGAGCGGGGGCACACCTTGAACACAAGCTTTAGGGTCATGTTTGAATCTGGTTCAGTCACTTAGCAGCTTTGTCACCTTCTGCAAGCTCACCACCTCTCTGAGCCTGATTTTCCTCCTCTCTGAAATAGGATGACAATAACTATCCTAGAAGGATTGCTAAACGCTTTGAGATAATCTATGTGCACAGCACATAGTAGGCACAAAGAAAAGGGAAAAGGAAGACTAACGTTTGATGTTTTCATGCTGCCATATTATGGTTTGCTTATTGGCCTCCTGAAAGCATGTTATTTGAAAACAAATATAAAGGATATTATAAGCTCTATCACCACATCGGAGACGCCTCATTCATCCCAGCACCACTGCTGGTGCCTGCACAGTGTCAGGGACATGGCAGGTGTGCAAGAGATGTTGGGTGAGTTGATGGATTTTGGACTCAAGGTGCTCTGGGGCCCTGCGCAGCGCCCCTTGACAGGGTGCCTGGCTCAGCCCTGTGGGCTGAGATCCCTTGGCCAGGGCTTTTAGAGGATGACAACGATGGATGAAGTCAAGCCTAGGCAACCCCTCCAGCAACTCTGAAGGGAGATTCTCCACCTGGCTACAGTGAGGGGAGCGATGGGCCCGTGGATGGCAGTGGGGGACCCACAAAGGGGTTGGGAAGGAGATAAGGTCTGGTGAGCATCCTTTGGTCAACAAGAGACAAACTGTACCCACTGGGCTGAGCAGATGTCCATGTCCCCAGCCACATGCTGAAATCCTGGGGAGGTGGAGCTCCATGACACCAGTAGCCTCCTGGGCAAGGTCACTTTGAGCTCAGGCCATGGGTGGCCCCGTGAGGATGGCCGTGGGACACCCTTTGATCTGGTCCAGCCTGCTGGTGGGCACACAGGAAACCTCAGGACCCAGGAAGCAGCAGTTCTCGGGTATAGGAATGGGGTTGGAGGGTACCCTGCTGCAATGCCCAGGATATAGCAGCCTCTGGCAGGGCCAGGCAGAGCCAGGCGGTGCGAGCCAGGGGGGCGAGGCAGTCCCAGCTGGCTGGGCCAGAGAAGCCTTCCTGCGAAGTCGCAGCCCTTTGAAACTGACTAATAAGGTTTTCTTCCCTTTCTAAGTTGAATGAGTCAGGAGCTTCATATAGGATCCCATCTGTCTGCTCCATCCCTGCCAGTTGGATTCTAGGCCTCTAGCCAATTAAAAAACCCAAACTAGCTTAGTGGGAATCTGCTTGACTGGTTTGGTGAGAGCTCTGTTTTCCCTCGGTGGAACAGAGGCCTCTTGGCTGCCCTTCTGGGTCGTGCCTGAGAAGGAGTCTGGAATCCTGCAGCCAAGGAGCCGGGATGGCTTGAATTAGGACCAGGAGGTGGCAAGCTGCAAGGAGATGGAGCCCAGCTACACAGAGCAAAGACGTCGTTCCCCAGGCTGTTCATCGCTGGAGCCCACCGCACTCTGGGTCTCAGTGCTTGGCCAGGCGTCGGGGAAACTCAGCTTGACCGGGATGTCTCCCCCGCGGTGCTCCAGGCCCTCGAGGACTCAGTGCTGACCGTACCTGGAATGAATGAACATGTGCCAGGCGGGGGCAGGGGGATCTCATCACCAGAGCTGGTCACATACGGGCTTTCAGTCCCTCGCTCACACCACAGCTGGCCGGTTGCATGGGACAAGGCCCCGGGATTCCCTGAGGCTGAATGAGCTGGAGCTGCCGGAGGTGTGGGCAGGACGGAGGGTGGGTGGCCTGTGTGTCACTGGGATTAGGCTTCCTGGGCCATCACCTGCTTCTCCTAGGAGAGGGGTGACAGCGTGAGGCTCAGCAGGGCAAGTGCCACCCAGAGGCCAGATGCAGCAAAAGAGTAAGCAAAATCCCTTGAGGGTAGGGTGGGAAGAGTTGCTGTAAAACCTGTGCACTTTGCTCAGACAGGACTGTTACAGCTATGAGGAGAAACGAAGGTGTCTGCAGCCAGCCCGCAGCAGAGCAGACGAGCTCTTGAGCAGGCACCTGCTCCTGTTAGGGGTGGACCCTTGGTAGCAAAGAGACAACAGCTGTCAACAAAATAAATGAGGGCTGGATGTAGTGGCTCACACTGGTAATCCTAGCATTTTGGGAGGCTGAGGCGGGCAACATAGTGAATATTCATCTCTAAAACAAAACAAAACAGAACAAAACAAAAAAGGAGGTGGGTATGGGACCGTGCATTTTGGGGCCATTTAGTGCAGGAGAAGCACTGGGCAGAACATGTAGCTATTAATGAATGTGCTTATCATGTCAACGCCTCCCCACATGCAATAGCCCATAAATTCTGTTTTTCTTTTTTCTTTTTTTTTTTTTTGAGATGGAGTCCTGCTCTGTTGCCCAGGCTGGAGTGCAGTGGCACAATCTCAGCTCACTGCAACCTCTGGCTCTCAGGTTCAAGCGATTCTCCTGCCTCAGACTCCCAAGTAGCGGGGATTACAGTCTCCTGCCACCATGCCCAGCTAATGTTTTTGTATTTTTTAGTAGAGATAGGGTTTCACCATGTTGGCCAGGATGGTCTCGAACTCCTGACCTCAGGTGATCCGCCCGCCTTGGCCTCCAAAGTGCCGAGATTACAGGCATGAGCCACTGCGCCTGGCCAATTGCCAATAAATTCCAATGTTTTTAGGATCAGGCCCGCCATCCTCACCACGTTCCATCATAGCCTCATCTCATGCCTCCCTGTCTGGAGCCACTCTGACCTGGTTCCCGGAGCCCTCCGTGCTCTGCCTCCAACCCCGAGGGCCTTTGCACTCACAGTCCTTTCTGCACAGTGCTCTCTCCTCCCTTACCTCAGCTGCTGGCCTCTCTCTATGGACACCCTGGGGATCGGATGTCAACCCCAGCCCTCCCTGACCCCGGGGCCGGTCCACGCTGCTTCATCCTGGGTTGTCACCAATGCTCACCCCTTTCCCTCAGGGCGAGCTTTGAGCCTTGAATGCCACCCGGTCTCTCTAAGATTGCTTGATTCATGCCTCGTCTGCCCCACCTGACTGTAGGACCCACTGGAACAGGGATGTCGTCCCCCTTTGTCACTGTTTTACCCTGAGCCCAGCACAAGGCTTGGCTCATAGAGGCTCCCACGAAACTGTTCTCACCTGAGAGTGACCCCGAAAAGTTCAGGACACTGGCATGGAAAAGGCGACTGCTTCTCACGAGGCCAGAGTCCCTGACTTGGAATTCAGCAGTTTAGAGAGGGTTTCCAGACCCAGCCTGAATTCACATTTTCACTCTGGCGCCATTGGCTGGCTTAGCGGGGACCTTGAGAAAGCTGAGTTAGCTCTCCGAGCAGGTGTTGTCACCTATTCCTTGGACAGGGCAGGGGGAGGAGTCGCTGAGATGACACAGCACACAGAGCCCTTGGCACAGATCCTGGCACAGGGGGTGCTTAGTGGCCGGTGGTGGGGGAGGCAGGGCAGCGGTTCTGAGGCCTGGACACCTCTCATCTCTGGCTAGGGGTCAGGTGAGGAATTTTCCCTGGCTGCCCCAAAGCAGCAGCTGCCCGGAGCTGGCAGGGCGGGTGAGGCCCTGCAGAGACCTGGAAGGCGTTCGGGCCACGGGCTGCAGGCACGGTTGGCAGCAGCGGCTCCGCTCCAGCCTGGTGACCTCTGCGAGGAGCTGCCTCTGCTCCCCTCTGGCCACTCTCTGTCCACAGCCAGTACAGCCTTCAGGAAGAACGAGGAGGACTGGAGTCCCCACAGGACGTCAAGCCCTCCCTGTGCCCGGGCTGCCGGCACCTGCCCTGAGCTTCCGCAAGACTGCCCTTTTCCCCTCATCAGACCCCGATAAGATACCCAGCTGCACGTTAACCAGCCGCACTGTGTCCAGTGGCTCACAGCACTGGAGACTCAGTTTCCCCAACCCTCATCTGTAAAGTGGAGATAAGAATTCCTGCTGGATGCAACGAGAAGATGTTTATAAAATTGCCTGGCACAAAATAAGTCCTTAATAACGCTAGTTCCCTTCTCTGTTCCCTGTACCAGCTGCTTTTCCCCTGAAGTGCTCTGTCCCCTCCATTGTAGAAGCAGAAGTCTCTCCCTAGTTTTGGGAACGGATTTCAAACTCCTTCCCACAGAAGAGTTGAGGCACACAGTGGGTTCTCCCCAGTGGGAGGCGGTATTCATTAAAGAGTAGGCTTCGGCCAAAGATATCAGGCAATGATGGTGATATTTCAGGCATTGAGATTTTGAGGCTGGGGCTGCTCTGCCCGTGAGTCACTGGCCTCTGACAAAGGATGAGGTGGCAGGAGGAGGTAGCCAGACCATGCGATGAGGCGTTCAGTCCCAGCTTCTCCACTGCCTAGCGGTGTGACCTTGGCTGGGTCTCCTGACCTCTCTGAGCTTCCTGGTCTGTAACATGTGGGTAATAATCAGTGGTAATTCCCACCTCCCAGGGGTGTGCTGGGGATTACGTGGGCTCTTCCTGCAGCACAGGGCTGACCCATGGCAAGAGTTCAGGGCGTCACAGGTCCTGCCGTTGTTTGAGACGGAGTCTCACTCTGTCACCCAGGCTGGAGTGCAGTGGCAAGACCTCAGCTCACCGCAACCTCCGCCTCCCAGGTTCGAGCCATTGTCCTACCTCAGCCTCCTGAATAGTTAGGATTACAGATGTGTGCCATCATACCCAGCTAGTTTTTGTATTTTTAGTAGAGACGGGGTTTCACCATGTTAGCCAGGCTGGTCTTGAACTCCTGACCTGAGGTGATCTGCCCGCCTTGGCCTCCCAAAGTGCTGGGATTACAGGCGTGAGACACCGCACCCAGCCCTGCTGTTGTTTTTCTTTTCATCACTGACAGTTGGCAGTGTGTTTGGCCAATTCATCAGCCCCAAACCCTCCTCCCCAGCAGCACAGCTGAGGGAACGCAGCTCAAGGCTTGGGGAGGTGCAGACATTTCCAGAATGCTAACAACCTGATTTCTTTGAGAGCACACCTCATGTTTGGCCTTGGACTGGCTAGCTGTGTTGGTGGCTGGGTGGGCTTCCAGCTTGGGGAGGGAGGCCCCGTGAGGCCGAGGGACCCCAGCAAGACCACTGTGTCCCAGAACCTCTGTTTGTTCATAAGTGAAGCTGCTGTCTCTCTGGGCTGCCTGGCGCTCTCGAGGGCCTGGCCAGTGAGAACAGAGAAGCCCAGGCCACAGCATCAGGGATGGGGCTGGAAGTGGAGAGGGCTGTGAGTGGGAGGCCTTTGGACATGCAGCGTCTCAAGGCCATGGGAGGGTAGGGTTTCCTGGACCTGCCCGCAGGGGAAGTGACCCTGGCCGACCTGCCCGCAGGGGAAGTGACCCTGGCCACCCTGCCGCTCAGTGTGGGCGCTCCTGGCACTTCCCCAGAGGTAGCTTCTTAGTGCTGTTAGGTGGAGGGTGCTGGGAAGCCGGTCCAGGCCCCCCAAGCACAGACTGAATGGGTTGCCTGGTTCCCCAGGTTCCTGAACTGGGGGCAGTGGGGCCACCTGGGTTGATACCTGGGAGGAGGGACCCCCCTGCTGCCAGACCCCAATAAGGGGAGCAGGGCTCCGCCAAGACAGCTGAGAGCGCCAGGCTGGAGTGGGACTCTGAGACAGAACTGGGCAAGAAAGCATCTCTGTCCCCAGCTCTCCTGCCCACAGGAAGCAGAAAGGCAAGAAAGCCCCAGTGATGTGGAAGAGGCAGGCAGGAAGGTGGGGGAGACCCCTGCCCTGGCCAAGGCATGAGTGAGGGAGGGGGGTGGCTGTGTCCCCATCACACTCCATCATAGCCAGGGAACAAGCTCTCCCCATGAAAGCTCCGGGCTTCCTCTCCCCTCCCTGGATACCATTTTCCCATGGGGTTTGCTGCCATCCTGGTGGGAAAAGTAATTAGGTGACCAAGTACCCAAAAGTAATTAGGTGATCCCATCCCAGGTGGAGCTCACCCCTCTTCCTCCAGGAAGCCTTCCTGGATTACCCTCACCCCCACTGAGCACCCTTTATCCCTCTGGGGCCCAGTCGCCCCTCAGGCGGTTGCCATGGGATCCTGTGGAGACACAGGGGAAGGGGTCAGTTCACATCCATGGAACAGCAAGCCCTTCACGGCGACCCACTCAGCACCGTGAACTCAGAACCATCCAGTTCTAAGTTCCTAGCAGCATCCAGGTAGCTTCCCAAGTTCCCAGTCAGCATCCACCAAGGGACCAGCCCTTCCTCTGCATGAGTCAGCTGTACTGAGGACAGGGAAGGGTGGGCAGAGGGTGGGAAGAAGCTTTGAATCTTTCTCTTTGGCTGATTCAGCAGCATCAATGACATGAGATGGCTCTTCAGTAGGCTACAGTTAGAAAACGGCAATGCGGGTCAGCCATGGTGGCTCACGCCTGTAATCCCAGAACTTTGGGAGGCTGAGGCGGGTAATCACTTGAGGTCAAGAGTTCGAGACCAGCCTGGCCAACATGGTGAAACCCTATCTCTACTGAAAATACAAAAATTAGCTGGGCGTGTTGGCACGTGCATGTAGTCCCAGCTACTCAGAAGGCTGAGGCAGGAGAATCGCTTGAACCTGGGAGGCAGAGGTTGCAGTGAGCCGAGATCGCACCACTGCACTCCAGCCTGAGCAACAGAGCAAGACTCCATCTCAAAAAAAAAAAAAAAAAGAAAAAAGAAAGAAAACAGCAACATTGCATAGCATTTTTCGAGCACTTCTTGCAGGCCAGGGACAAGGCTAAGTGCATTCTGTGCATGCCCTCCCTGCGTTCTGACCGCATCTTTGAGATCACTTACTGTTCCCACTGTTTGGTCATGGAATGGGAGGCTGAGAGGCTCGGAAATGGCCCGGGGTCTCGCGGCTGTAGCAGGAGCTGGTGCTTGTCAAAGGCTACCTGTGCCCCTGAGAGGGGAGAGCACTTGAGCCCAATTTAATAACCAGTCTCTCTCCTACATTCATCCCCATTCTACAGATCAGAAAACAGGGGTTTTGAGTTCAACAATCACCTGGAGATATCACGAGGAACCAGGGGCTGATATGGAGCTACAGCCCAGGTTCCTGATTCTAAATCTGGTCCTCCTTCTACCCTAAATATTTCCCTGACTCACTCCCATCAGTCATTCTCGCTGCCGTGGGCTAAGAAGGATTCAGAAGCCATGCTGGGGATCGATGGGAATGAGCACGGGGATGGATTAGCAATGCCTGCCAAGGGCGTGGGCAGGGGAGTGGCAGACTGCCTGCTACACGTTGCCATCCTGCATGATACCCTGCTGGCCTGGAGCTGATTGACGCTTTCCTGCCCCAGCAGTTGAGAAGTCCATTTATTTCCCTCCAGGGGCCTCACAGACCCATTTACCCCAGAGCTGTGGGTCTGGGGGATTCAAAGAGAGACCTGGTGACTGTGACAGCCTCTGGAAACCTGAGTCGACATTGTCTGCTGGGCATTAGTGGTGATGCCCCAGGTGCTCAAGCCTCTCTGCACTCTAGGTCTTAGACTGAGCCACTGGAGGGAGGAAGCTGGGGTTTTTAGTAAACCTTTCTGGAGAATGTCTTTTGGAGCTGGTCTGTATTAACCTGGAAGAATTCCCCTGGGCTCTGAATCCAGAGGCGGGGGTTTGGGGGGCATTTGGAATCTACTGTATCATTTTCCTAAGAGCCAAGTGAAACGCAAGCTCCAGCTGCCGCTGGCTCCCAAACCGCAAGCTCGGGCTCGTTCTGTAGCTTGAAGTTGCAGTAATAAATTTTCCCCTGTGAAACCTGCGGAGGCGCTTCTCATCTACTCTCCGTGGTTGCAGCCCAGGTTGTTGCAATAGTAAGCGCATACTGCATGTGAGTTGCAGAAAGAAGGGAACAGATGGTGAACACAACATTGCACCTGGGTACTAGTTAGTTGTGTTGACCACGTGGGTTATAAAGACTTCATCTCAGAAGTCACTTTGCTACTTCTGTTGGATATTGGACATTATCGTACAGGTTTGAGGAATGGTGAGTTCACAGACTTCATCCAGAGTGGTGAAATCTAGAAGCAGAAATGAACTAAAGAGTGAGAAAGGAGAGCGATGGTAATGACAGTCAGAGTGCTAGGTGCCGTGTGCCGAGGGCTGTGCGAGGCTCGGTGCTGAGTGATGCTTTGTGAATATTCCAGTTAATGTCCACGACAACCCCATCAATGGGGGCTTAGGCCTATGCTGCAGATAAGGGAGTGGAGGTCCAGAGAGGTTATATAACTTGCCAGGGTCACACAGCCAGTAAGAGGCAGAGCTGAGATTTGTGCAGCTGGCTTCTAAAGTCCCATCAGCAATGGGTTGGGCTGCCCGACTTTGCTGTGCAGAGCCTGCAGTGCCAGCCTGTGTCAGCAGAGAGCCTGGAGAGGCCCTCTCTCCCTGGAGGGGCATGGGCTGGGCAGGGCTTCCCAGTGGCTTCCCTCTGCTGGTCTTGGAACTGGACCCTGAGCCAGGGTGAGAGCCAGCTTTCCCCAGGAGGTTTTAGATTTCTGAATTGTCAGAACCCTTATTCATTTATTTATTTTTTGCGATGGAGTCTCGCTCTGTCACCCAGGCTAGAGTGGAGTGCAGGGGTGCCATCTCGGCTCACTGCAACCTCTGTCTCCCGGGTTCCAGCAATTCTCCTGCCTCAGCCACCTGAGTAGCTGGGATTACAGGCGTGCACCACCACGCCCGGCTAATTTTTGTATTTTTACTAGAGATGGGATTTCACCATCTTGGCCAGTCTGGTCTTGAACTCCTGACCTTGGTGATCCACCCACCTCCACCTCCCAAAGTGCTGGGATTACAAGCGTGAGCCACCGTGCCTGGACCAGAATCTTTATAATGTGGCAAACAACAATGGCACCTGGATCTACTGGCGGCACAGTGGCGTCTGGCTTCTTGGCACGATTCCAAATCACAGCTGGGAACAAAGACGTCCTACTGGAGGCCTCTTGGGGCCAGGAGAAGGGGTCTTGGAGATAACCCAAGTCACAGGTCACAATGTCAACTGAGTGGCGTATGGTAAGCCACAGCCACGCCCCATCTTTTTGTCCCCAAATGTTTGTGTTTACTTTTATTTACGTATAACTGACATAATAGGAAATATGTATTTGTTCTCTGCCCTGGCTCTTGGCTCCTGGCACAGAGCTTCTAAAACCCTCGTAATTTCCTGAGTGATGAAGTGATGGCAGCATCTTTTGTTAATAATATTTAATAATATTTGGTCTTGTCCCCGGTTCCTGATCCAAGAGCTTCTAAGACCCTTGGCATCTCTGGAGTGATGAGTGTCTTTTTATATGCTAATGAGATGACTGGTGGCTGGGGGCCCCTAGATAGCTTCAGGGTGGGGGCTGGTGGCCACAGGAACCAACCGTGAAATTGGAGGGCTGGAACATTCAGCCCCCTCATCTCTGAGGAAGGGAGAGGGGCTGGAGATTGAGTTAATCTCCAATCCTCATTCACGCCAATGGAATGGAACCTCTATAAAAACACTCAACACCGGGGTTTGGAGACCTGGGTTGGTGAACACACGGAAATGCTGGGAGGTTGCCGTGCCCAGAGCGGGCATGGAAGCTGTGTGCTCCTCGCCCATGTCTTGCCAGATGCAGCTCTTCCAACTGGCTGGTCCTGAGTCGTGTCCTTTATAAAAACTGGTAAATGTAAATGAATGTTGCCCTGAGTTTTATGAACCATTCTAGCAAATTATTGAACACGAAAGGGGGTTGTGGGAACCCCCAATTTATAGTCAGTGGTTCAAAAGTACAGGAGGCCCCAACTTGGCCTCTGATGTGGGGTGCAGTCTGTAGGATTGTGGGGTCTGCGCTAACTCTGGGCAGCTAGTGTCAGAATCCAGTTAAATTGCAGGACACCTGGTCGATGTCTGCCAAGAACTAAAGAACTGGTTGGTGTGGGGCAACCACACCAGACATCAAACCACATGTGATGTCTGAAATGTTGGGAGGATTTAGAAAGACAACTATTTCCCTTTAATAACACACGCAGTAAATTGCCTGTAAGTGTCCAGAGTATATGAATGAGTGAGTGCCCATGAATGGATGGATTTTCACAAACTGGTCCCATGGAACCAGCACCTTTGAAGGCCCCTCGTGTCTGTGTCTGTGCTTTGTATAAATGGGATGACACACGTGTACCCTTTGGTGTCTGGCTTCTATTTCTCAGCATACATTCGGGAGACTCATCCACGTTGCTGTGTGTTGAGGTAGATGATTAATTTTCCTTGCCGTACAGTATTCCAATGCGTGAGAATACTACACTCTGCCCATTCTACTATTGTTGGGCTTCTGGGTAATTATAAACAGTGCTGCTATGAACATTCTGGTGCATGGCTTTTGTTTTCCAAAGTGTTGTTCTCATTTTCCTCCCACCAGTAGTGTAAGAGAGGTGCATTGCTCCACATCCTCACCAACTTGTATTATTATTTTCTATCTTTTTTGTTTTAGCTTTTCTGGTGGGTGTGTATTGACATTGCACTGTGGCTTGTATTTGCATTTCCCTGTTGGCTAATGAAGCTGAGCCTCTTGTCATATGGGGTATTTTTCGGTTCATTTGGGAACCCTGTTGGCCTCTCTGCCTATCCAGGCCCATTTATCTCCTGGGATGTCTGTCTTTTTCTTACTGGTTTGTAGGCACGTTATAAGTATGAATCCTTATATTGCATTAATTACACTGTACAGATGACCTTTTCACTCTCTTAGTAGGTTCTTCTGATGAATAAACATTCTTACTATAGTCCAATTTATTTTTTTTATGGTTAGTTTTGTGTCCTATTTAACACATCTTTGCCAAGTCCAAGATCACAAAAGTGTAATGCTTTATTGTAAATGCTTTATTGTTTGTATTTCACATTTAGATCTAGAATCCACCTGGAATGGATATTTTGTTATTTGTGAGATATGTTTGTTTTGTTTTGTCATAGAGACAGGATCTTGCTCTGTTGCCCAGGCGAGAGTGCAGTGGCATGATCACAGCTCATTGCAGCCTTGACCTCCTGTGCTCAAGCAATCCTCCTGCCTCAGCCTCCAGAGTAGCTGAGACTACAAGCACCCACCACCGCGCCTGGATAATTTTTAAACTTTTTAGAGATGGTATCTCACTGTGTTACCCAGGCTGGCCTCAAACCCCTGGCTCCAAGCAATCTTCCTGCCTCAGCCTCCCAAAGTGCTGGGATTACAGGTATGAGCCACCATGCTTCGCCTTGTGAGGTATGTTTTTGAGATGACCCTCTTTTCCCCATTTATGGCTGGGTTGCCCTGTTGAGTACACTGTGGGGAGGGGAGGTCTCTTTCTGGATTCCCTCTGTTCTATCGGTCAGTTTGTCTATTCTTGTGCCAATCCCACACTGTCCTAATTACTGTGGCGTTTTTTTTTTCTTCTGATGTCTTGTAGTGTGAGTCTTTCAGCCTTGTTCTTTGTTCTCAAGATCTTCTTGGCTATTCTTGGCCCAAAGCTTTTCTATATGAATTTTAGGCTCAGCTCGTCAATTTCCATGAGAAAGAAACCTCCTGGGATTTTGATTGAAATTGCATTGAATTTAGATATTCATTAGGGGAAAGCGATATGTTTACAGTATTGTAGTTTTCCAATCCGTGAACATGGTATATACCTCTATTTGTTTAGATCTTTGTTAATTTATCTCAATGGCATTTTGCAGTTTTTAGTGTAGGTTGCACGTCTTCATTAGACTTCTTTCTACTCTCAAACCTACAGCTAATTTGCAAGAATGGAACAATGAAGACTCCTAGACCTACTCACCTGCCTTAAAGATATGCTATTGTCCCCCAGAGAGGTGGCAAAATGGTTTGTATTTTTGTCTTAAGCCTTGGACTTTTAAAATCCTGGATTTTGATGTGTGTGCAGAAGAGAACTAAGATAGCGTGCTTGAGACCGCTCTCCTTTAAAAGGCCTGCTTGCAAGAGTAGCCTCTGACTGGCATCTGGGAACTTGGATCTTGAGAGAGTTGCCACCATTCTCTAACTTTGCTGTGCTGCTTTGCTGTGCCTGAACTGTTTGCACACAAAATGGGGTTTATGCAGAACACCTGCTTGCCCTCTGGAGGTCTGGAATTTTGTTTCATGCTAGATAGAGAATGCTATGTGACCAGATCTCCATAAAAACCCCAGGCACTGAGTCTCTAATGAGCTTCCCTGGTAGACGACACTTCGACTGTGCTGCTACAACACGTTGCAGGAGGAATTGCTCCCATGAGACTGCCCTGGGAAGGAACCCTTGGAAACTGGCACCTTCTTGCCTGGGACTTTGTCCAATGCACCTTTCCCTTTGCTGATTTTATTTTGTGTCCTTTTGCTGTAATAAGTCATAGTTGTGATACAAAGAGTATGCTAAGTCCTGTGAGTCCCAGTGAATCACTGAACAGGAGGTAGGGGTGGTGTTATGGACCCTTGACACAGTGTGAAAGCTCCAGATGTTTTATGTTGATTCAAAATGAAAACTTCTGAAGCTCACATGAATCGTGTCTGTAGGCCAGACATGGCCTACGAGCAGGCACTTTGGGGCTTCAGAGTGAGCTCGAGCCCCTCACTGGACAGGGATCAAGTGAGGCCTAAGGTGGGACTTGCCCCCTCCCAGGTGCCCAAGCTGGAAAGAGGGTCTGGGCTTCCCAGGCCAGAGCTGCTTTCAGGAGAATGTACCTGGTGGAAGAAGTGGTGGAAGGAAGGAAATCATGTCTTGGTTTCTGATGGGAGAAGGTTTTCAATCTATGTTGTGTGAAAAAGCAGTTGGTACAGAGACTCTGTACCCATAACATGATTTTATTTCATAGATAGGATCTCTATATCTCAGCCTTAGAAACAGGGAAATTCTGACGCATGCTACAACCTGGACGAAGCTTGAGGACATGATGCTGAGTGAAATAAGGCAGTCACAAAAGACAAATGCTGCAGAATTCCACTTCTATGTGGTCCCTAGAGTTGTCAAATCCATAGAGGCAGAATGGAGGTTGCTAGGGGATGGGGAGGGGGAATGAGGAGTGAGTGCTTGATAGGACAGAGTTTCAGTTTAGAAGATGAAAGCGTTCTGGAGATGGACGGTGGTGATGGCTGCAAACAATATACACCTAAAAATGGTTTAAATGGTAACTTTTATGTTATATATATTTTACCACAGTTAAAACATAGCAAGATAAAATAGGATGTCTCTCTGTTCACATCGCTATGGTCCTGGGAAGACACAGACCAAGGTGCTCATGGTCATCATCTGTGGATGGAGGGATTGTGGGGGAGAGTTTTCTTTTTGTTTATTTGGTTTTAGAGATGGGGGGCTTGCTATGCTGGCCAGGTTGGTCTTGAACTTCCGGCCTCAAATGATCCTCCTGCTTCAACCTCTCAAAGTGCTGGGATTACAGGTGTGAACCACCGTGCCCAGCCTGGGAGATAGTTTTCTTTCTGCTTTTCTATTTTCCATATTTTTTTTTTTGGCATGCAATATATATTATGTTTTAATGTTGAAAAAAAAATTTTTTTTTTTTTGAGATGGAGTCTAGCTCTGTTGCTCAGGCTGGACTACGGTGGCACAATCTCGGCTCACTGCAACCTCTGCTTCCTGGGTTGAAGCAATTCTCCTGCCTCAGCCTCCCGAGTAGCTGGGATTACAGACGCACGCCACCATGACCGGCTAATTTTTTGTATTTTTAGTAGAGACAGGGTTTCACCATGTTGGCCAGGCTGGTCTTGAACTCCTGACCTCAAGTGATCCACCCACCTTGGCCTCCCAAAGTGCTGGGATTACAGGCATGAGCCACCGCGCCCGGCCTGAAAAAATTTAAATACAGAAAAGCACGGAGAATAACAAAACATTTATGTATGTACTAAATTTGCAGTTTGGAAAAAATTTATTAACAATAAATAGTATGAGAAAAAAAATCAATGTCGTCAACCAGAAACATTGGGGAAAAAAAAGACAACCTAATTGTTTTGCAGAAACACCTCCAGCCACACTCCAGTTGGAAAATATCATAGAATTGGGCCTGGGCCTCTTCCCAGGTACCTGTTTCTGGCCAGGCAGCGGCCACCTCAGTCACATCAGGAGAACTGCATGGATTCCCGATCCACCAGGACCTCTGAATCTGAATTCCTGGGGAGGCCCAGATGCTGTCCTTTGCAAACTCTAGGTCGTTCCGCTGTTTTGCGGGGCTTGTGAACCACCTCCTGGGGTTCTGAGAAACTGAGTTTGACACGCCTTTCTCTACCCGATGGTGGCTCTGTTCTGTGCTCCTTGGTCTAGCGTGGGTCATGGTCTGCGCCTCAAGGTCTGAGTGTGAACCAGGTCCCAAGACTCTGCCTATGGCTGCACCCCAGGAGATGGAGCTGGGGGGCGACATGGAAAAGAGGGGGATGGGTGTGACTTGCTAGGAGAATCCCAAGTGACCATCACCTCCAACAGTGCAGCGGAAAGCTGGGTTGCAGGTGGAAGGGAAGTGCCTTCACCTGTTGTGCTTATTATCCCTGTGCTTTTGAGGGAGAGAGTGTGGCTCAGGCCGGCTGAGTGACTTGTGCAAGGTCACCCAGCTAGTCGTGTGTGCAGGACTGTGACCTGAGGGCGTCCCTTAGGGGCTGCAGTCTCCTCTTGGCCATCTGGAAGGGTGTGCTCGGGGTTCTAGGGGGCAGATGGGGCAGGGTCCCTGCAGCCCTGTCTCTGAGATGATGGACTGTGCACGTGGCCACCCCCACAGCCCCGGAGCCTCCCTTGAACTCTTCTCTGCACCCTGCTGAAGAAGCATCTCCTGGGGACGGTGGCAGCCAGGGGAGTGGCAGAGGAAGAGAGGACGGGTAGGCCCCATCTCCCTGTCCCAGGTCTGGAAATGACGCCCGCGCCCCAAGCCCTTCTCTCCTGCCCAGCTTCGTCTGTGTCGTCTGTGTCGTAGAAAGGCCTGCTCAGAATTCACAGCGGCTCAGGGGCTCATGAATTATGTACGGCTCCAGATCAATCCGTCAGCGCTCTGTCAGGGAGGAATCAAAGGCCCCGCGGCCGGCAGACAGCTCTTTCTGCGTGGGGCCGCCGCGGAGAGCCCGGCGCCGGCGAGTTGGTGGAGCCCCGTGGGCGCTCGGCTCCCCGTCCCTTCCGAATGCCCCGTCTCTCTGTTTCTCTGCCAGACGCAGATTTGACAAATGTCTTTAAAGGCGGGGTGGGGGTAACAACAAAAAGCCCTGGCCCGTGTGTTTTGAGCGCGTTCCAAGGTGCTCGGCGTGAATAATTGATGCCAGCGCCACTTTTGTCATGGGAAGGTCACCCTGGGTGCGGTACAGTCTCCGCCACCACAACAGCACAAGCTTCCTGCAGCACTGATGAGACGGCCCCTCCTCGGCCAGGCCACCATTCTGGGGCTGGGCAAGCTGGCCATGAAGGGATGGCGACCTTGCTCCTGAGAAGGGGCGTCCTGCTCTGCTCTGTCCGGGCCTCCAGGCCCAGAAGCGAGGGTTGAGGGGGGAGCCGCGGGGAGCCGCAGGGAGCAGCCTGTGGCTCCTGGGCACCGCTGCCTTCTGGGAGGAGCTGGAGGTGGTTGAGATGCTTGGGCTGGCTGTGCACCAGCGTCCCGGAGCTGCTGTGACAGATGAGTGCGAGCTGGGCTGCTGAACACAGGGTCATCCCACAGCTCTGCGACCGGAGGGCTGGAGTTAAGGCGCCCGTGGCGATGGCTCCTACTGGAGCTTAGAGGGAGACTCTGCTGGCCTCTGTCCCGGTGTCTGCTGCCTGTGGGCTCTCCTCGCTGTTCTTTGATCCTGTCCCTGTCTCTGCCCTCAGGTGGCCTCTTCCTCTGTGTCTCTGTATCCTCTCCTCTTCTTATGAGGACACCTGTCATTGTCATCCCAGCCCAGTCCAGGATGATTGCATCTGAAGATACTCATCTTAATGACATCTTTGAAGACCTTCATTTCAAATAAGGACAATTCTGAGGGTCTGGGTGGACCTATCTTTTGGGGGCCACCATCTAACCCACTACGGCGGGAGACGCAGCAGCACGGGCCACAATAGGGACAGGGCCACCCAGGCCTGATGGCCGCTGCGACCTTCTCATCTCAGGGCACGGCTGGGCCCACACCCCGACCCAGGACAGAGGCAGGCACCCCCGAAAGAACGCCCCCCAGAACTGCTCCTGCCTGGCTTCCGATGGCACCAGGGTCCCCACCTCCCCCTCAGCTGCTCTGAGTTGGAGAGGAGGTTGTGGTGCCCCTTTAGCAGATGGGCAAAGTGAAACCCAGACAGGGAGGTGATTTTCTCCGGGTTCCAGGGAGGGGCTGGCGGGGCAAAGATCAGCGGCCACGTGACTCAGGTAGGTGCACGTCCTCCTGCGCCAGGCTGCCAAGCTGTGCTTGGGCCCCTCTGTGCTCCCCCGGTCTGTAGGGCATTATCTGCTTCTAGCTGGCCCCTCCCACCCCAGCCTCATCTCTCCCCACCCACACTCTCCAGGCCAGCCTCACCGGCATGCCAATCCACGGGTCTCAATCCTGCTGCACATTTGGGTCCCCAACTTTGGACATTCAGGTCTCATTTGAGTGAGGTGGGAGCAGGTGTGAACTGTTAGACTCTCTCTAAGTGATTTTAATGCGCTCCTACGGACCCCACACTCCTTCTGGCACAGGCTCTTCTCTCTGTCTGAGATCTACTGGTTTTGGTCCTGACATCTGCTCGGTGGTCACTTTCCCAGGGAGGCTGCCCCAATCTCCCTGACAGGGCCTTGACTACCTGTTTAATGCAGCATATCTTACTCTCGCTGGATACAGCCCAGCTGGAACGTTCATTTCTGTATGTAATTCTTCGTTTTGTGTCATCCTCTTTGTATCAGGTAGAATGCCTTAGGCTGTAATAGAATATCCGGGGAAAAGTGGCTTTAATAATAGGAGCTTATTTTTCTCACATAATAAGAGGTTTGGGCCAGGCACGGCGGCCCTGTAATCTCAGCACTTTGGGAGGCCGAGGCAAGAGGATCACTGAGGTCAGGAGTGTGAGACCAGCCTGGCCAACATGGTGAAATCCCATCTCTACTAAAAATATTTTAAAAATTAGCTGGATATGGTGGTAGGCACCTGTAGTCCCAGTTACTCAGGAGGCTGAGGCAGGAGAATAACTTGAACCCTGGGAGGTGGAGGTTGCAGTGAGCCCAGTAAGTGCCACTGCGCTCCAGCCTGGGCAACTGAGCAAGACTCTGTCTCAAAAAAAAAAAAAGAGAAAAAAAGAAAAGAGACTTGATTCAGCAGCTCAGTAACAGCAGCAAGGAGCTAGCATTTTACTACGCTCAACTTCACCAGCATAATGGCAAGGCCTCAACTCATGGTGACAACATGGCTGCCACAGCTCCAAGCATCACATCACACAATAATAAGGTCTACAAGGAAGGAGGGGAAAATGCTACTCCCAACTCTTCTTGTTGGAGATGCAAAGCTTTCCCAGATCCCCCCAGCAGACCTCAGGTCCTAATGGATAGAGCTGGGCCACCTGCCCATGCCCACATGCAAAGAAGTCTGAGGAGGCAGGTATTTCCCAACTTTATCTTCTATTTGGGAGCAGTGCTCTGATAACAAGGAACTCAGGGAGGGTCGTGTCTCATGGGTGGGTCACCCAAAGCGTCTCAGTCTCCCTGACTATGGTGTAAACTTCATGAGGGGAGGAACTAGGTCTAAATTTGCTCCCATATAACCCCAGTGCCTGGCAAGTACCTGGTGCTCACCAGATGTGGGCTGAATTAGTTCCCTGGCACACAGCTGATTCTCCAATCAGCCTTGAGCTCCTTTAGAGCAGGGGCTCCTCTGCTCATGTTCGTAGCACCCCCACCTCCCCCATCCCTCCCTACACACAACAGGGGGCTATAGCTGCAGTCCTGCTGCAAGCGGGGTGCTAAGAGAGGGCACAAGAAAGTGCCCACTCCGATGGACTCCTTAAGCTTCTGTGGTTCTGACACGAGCAAGTCTCCCCTCTAGGATAAGTCAGGGTTTTTCTGCCAGCAGCCAAAAGTAACTCTGGCTAATTTCGGGAAGGATAAAGAAGGATTTATGGAAGGAATGAGGCTCACTTAATCAAAAGCAAAGGTGAACACTTCACATCCATTAGGATGGCTCTTATGAAAACAAAACAGAAAAACACAAGTGCTGATGGGGATCTGAGGAAATGGAAAGCCTCGTGCACCGTTGGTGGGAATGCAAAACGAAGCAGGCATGGTGGAAACCAGCATGGAGGTTCCTCAGAAATGAAACAAGGAATGATCACGTGATCCAGCAATTCCATTTCTGGGTGTACACTCAAGAGAACTGAAAACAGAAATTCAAAAAGATATTTGTACACCCATGTTCACAGCAGCATTCTTCATAATAGCTAAGACGTGGAAGCAGCCAAGTGCCCATTGCTGGGTGAATGGTAGATGAGGTGTGTTCCATCCATACCACAGAATATGACTCAGCCTTAAAAAGGAAGGTGATTCTGACACAGGCTACAACACGGCGGAACCTCGAGGCCATTATAGTCAGTGAAATCAGCCAGTCACAAAAGGGCAAATACTGGCAGATTCACTTCTACAAAGTACCTGGAAAAGTCAAGTCCATAGAGACAGAAAGTCCAATGGAGGCTGCCGGGGGCTGGGGGAGGGGGAAGGGGAGTGAGTGTTTCATGGGGACAGAGCTGCATTTGGGACGATGAAGGAGTTCTGGAGATGGATGGGTGATGGCTGCACAATGCAAATGTGCTTAATGCCACTGACTTGCACACTTAGACATGGCTAAAATGATGAATTTTATGTTATGCCTGTTTTACCACAGTCAAAAATTAAATTAAAAAACAAAAAGCACAGTGAAGAATGCGGGGGTGGAAGGGCAGGTGGGGCAGCACGGCAGCCTGGGGAGCAGGAGCGGGGCCAGGTTCTTCCAGGCTCCTCTGCTTGGAGCAACGCTCCAGCTCTGGCTCAGTGTCTGCCCAGGACACTCAGCCCAGGAGCTGGCATTCTAGGGCAGGGGTCCAGCCAGCATGATGTGGGGCAGGGGGAGGACAAACGGCGCTTCAGGGACGTTCACAAGGCCCTGCACAAGTCACCTGGGAACTGGGGGACGGCTGCGTGGTCCCGACCTCTTCTGTCCGCTGTAAGGGAACTAAGATGCCTCCTCCCCTCTGCACACCGCAGGGTGGTGAGTGGGGATCTGGAGTTGCAACCTGACGGACTCAATCTCATGTGACAGCGTGAACCACTAACATGGAGGCCGTGGCCGCAGTGCAGTGGGGAGGGGTCTGCTGGGTGTGGCTGCCCAGGCGCCTCTGGGACTGAGCACTACTGGTCTAGTGGTGTAAGGAGGTGGATCTGGGGATGGGGGCGCTTGGCCAGGCTGCCCCGGCTGGAGATCCCACTGACAGCCTGAAGGGTGGAAGACTTGGAAAGTCCTCTGAGAAGCTCGCCTAACGGCGATGCTCCACTCGATTCCAAGATTGCTTCCGTTTTGCTGGGAAGAGGTTGATCATTAAATTTTATGCGCTGCTTTTGATGTCTGCTCCGAGGATGTCGGTTTCAGCATTCCGGCTCCTCCAAGGGAGGCCTCGGCAAAGTTGGCTTCCAGACGTTGGTTCCCGCCAGCAAAACCATCCATCATCGCGTGCGAATGGCTGGCCTCCTAAAAGCCATGTTATGAGAAGATGCCAATAAGTGTACTTACATTCGCCGTGCCCATCAGGGCAGCCTTGCAGAGGCATCTGCTGAATCTGGACTTTCACTCAACAGCCCGGTCTGCTCCTCCGTCCCTCCTCATCGATTGCAGGTTGAGTCCATCTTTGGTAACCAATCACCCAGGGGTTGGTAGGCATTTTTTTTTTTTTAATTTTCTGTATGAGGTTTAATTAAACCAAGGTGTGCCTGACCCTGTCAAATCATATAAAAAAAAGGCCTCTTTGCTGTATGAGGAAAAACATCAGCATAAATTATTGATTAATCCTCATTCAAACTAATCTATCAATGACTTTCTCTGGCTTGGTGGACCTGGGGAGCTCTTAGATGTTTCCATGCAAACGGCATCTGAAAGCTCCATTTCAAAGTGATCTGAGGCCCATTTAAAGCAGTCAGCAGCCAGTGGGAGCTGCCCCTGAAATTCTGAAGTGCGACCGTTCACTCTGGCCTCAGTTCAATGGTGCCTAGATGTGTCCTGTCTGGGCAGTGAGTTCCATCTGGTCCCTACGCCTGGGGGTGGGGAGTTCACAGTTCAGTGGGGGGCAGAGGAGATGACAAAGACAGACACATACAAAAGACATGCTGATATACTTTGGTGAGGGCTAGATACTGTATGATACAGGCATACTATGCACTGTATGATACAGGCATACAGTGCGTAAACCTCTAATCATACAGAAACCTCTTGTAATCATACAGAGGTCTAATGTTTAAACAGAATGGACGAAGAGAGCAGAGCAGCTTATGTGGATACATTTGAGAATTAAAGGAAATAGGCAAAGTATTTTAAAAACACAACTTACCAAAGCTGTCACAAGAAAAAAAAAACATATCCATTAAGGAAATTGAGCCCCAAATTAGGAACGATCGGGCAAAGAAAACTCCAGGCCTAGATGACTTCCCTGGTGAATTCCACCAAACACTGAAGGAAGAAAGGATCCCAGTCTTACATCAAATCTCCCAGAGAAGACAGAAAGCAGGAACACTGTCTAACTCATGTTATGAGTCTAGCAAAACTTTAATGCTAAATTCTGATGAAGACATTACAACAAAGAAACATCATGGGTCAACTCTTCCCATGAAAATGGATGTGAAAATCCTTAAAAAATATTAGCAAGTCAAATAAAACAATATCACAACCAAGTGGGATTTATTTCAAAATGCAAGGTTGGCTTAACAGTCAAAAATCAATCACATGGCCGGGCATAGTGGCTCATGCCTGTAATCCCAGCACTTTGGGAGGCTGAGGCGGGAGGATCACTAGAGGTCAGGAGTTTGAGACCAGCCTGGCCAACATGGTGAAACCCCGTCTCTACTATACAAAAAAATTAGCTGGGTGTGGTGGTAGATGCCTGTAATCCCAGCTACTTGGGAGGCTGAGGCAGGAGAATCGCTGGAACCTGGGAGGCGGAGGTTGTAGTGACCCAAGATCGCACCACTGCACTTCAGCCTGGGTGACAGAATGAGACTTTGTCTCAAAAAAGAAAAAAAAAAAAATCACAGACCAGGGTCAGAGGCTCACGCCTATAATCCTAACACTTTGGGAGGCCGAGGTGGGAGGATTGCTTGAACCCTCCAGGTTGGAGAGCAGCCTGGGAAACATAGTGAGACCCTGCCTTTACTAAAAATAAAAAAAAACTTAGCTGGACATGGTGGTGCACACCCATAGTCCTAGTTACTTGGGAGGCTGAGGCAGGAGAATCACTTGAGCCCAGGAGTTTGAGGCTGCAGTAAGCTGTGTTTATGCCACTGCACTCTAGTCTGGGTGATAGTGAGACCTTGTCTCAATAAAAAAATAAAAAACAAAAAACATAATAAAAAGAAAAATTGGCTAGGTGCAGTGGTTCACTCCTGTAACCCCAGAACTTTGGGAGGCTGAAGTGGGAGGATCAGTTGAGGCCAGGAGTTTAAGGCCAGTTTGGGCAACATAGTGAGATCTTGTCTCTATATAAAAAATTTAAAAAAAGAAAAATCATATGATCATCTTTATCGATGCAGAAAAATTATTTGATGGCGTAGGCATTTATTTAAAAAGATGTAGGCCGGGCGCAGTGGCTCACGCCTGTAATCCCAACAGTTTGGGAGGCCGAGGCGGGCGGATCACCTGAGGTCAGGAGTTTAAGACCAGCCTGGCCAACATGGTGAAACCCCATCTCTACTAAAAATACAAAAATTAGCCGAGCGTGGTGGAGGATGCCTGTAATCCCAGTTACTCTGGAGGCTGAGGCAGGAGAATTGCTTGAACCCAGGAGGTGGAGGTTGCAGTGAGCCAAGATTGTGCCACTGCACTCCAGCCTGGGCGACAGAGTAAGACTGTGTCCCAACCCCCCCAAAAAAGATGTAAACATATGCTTATTGACATTAAAAGAAGCTCATGATATGCCAGCAAGTAAAAGAGCCAGTCAGAAGATGGCATATAATATCATCCCATTTTCTTGTAATAAAAAAAATCTGTATCTGTCTCTGAAAGGGTTTACCTCAAAATAGTAATTGTGCTTATTATCTCTGGGTGCTGAAAAATTTTTATTTCTTCTTTGTATTATTCTTTATTTCTTGCTTTTTAAAATAGTGAACATGTATTATTGATGTAATAGTTTTTTAAAAACAACTTATTAAAAGAAGAACGTTATAGCCCATTTTTCTGCCCTGGAAATTCACTAGAGAAAAGCACGAAGAGAAATTCCAACAACTGACAGGGCTCTTATTTGTAGGCCACGGAAATAGTTTCCAGCTGATTTAAGCAGAAAATGAATTCATTCCAAGGGCACTGGGACTCCCAGAACCTCTGGAGGCCAGAGGACCCAGCTCGGAGCCCGTGAGGCTGGGAGGGAAGAATGGGCTCCAGCGGAAGTGGTTGGTGAAGACACCACTGCCATCGCTGCCCGGCCTGAGCTGTGTGGGGGTTTCTCCCCTCCGCTGCCACCAGGCAGCACCACCCCTCGGGCACCGCCATGTGCCTTGGTGTCCAGGGTCGCCACCCATCCCAGAACGGTTCCCCTCGGTCCCTGGTTCCCAGCACGTGCCTTGGTGGAGGCGGGGGCAGCGGCTGCCAATGGCCGTCTGGGATACATGTGCACATTGGCCACGTTTGGCTGTGACAGCAGAAGGCGGGCTCTGCCTCAGAAGGAGAGGTCTCCGCAGGCCCGGAAGTAGGTTCAGGAGCTGAATGACCAAACCACAGGACACCCTTGGCCCTTCTGCACTAAGACTAGCGTTGGCGAACTACAGCTTATGGGCCTGATCCAGCCCGCTGCCTGCTTTCTGTACAGCCCACAAGCTAACAATGGGTTTTACATTTGATAACAATCAAACGAAGAATGGTATGTCTTGAAATGTGAAAATTTTATGTAATTAACATTTCAGTGTCTATAAAGTTTTATTGGCACATAGCCCCATTCACTGTGTATCTATTGTCTATGGTTGCTTTTGCACCATGAAGGCAGAGTTGAGCGATTGTGAGAGAGACCTGCAAAGCCACAAATCCTGACCAGTGGGCTCCCTGCAGAAAGTCTGTGGACCCATGACTGAGAGTGATGATTCTCTCTAGCTGTGTCTGCACTCTGTTGGTTGCTCTTGGTTCATAAGGACCCGGGATATCTTGTGAGTCTCCTGCTCAGGATGAGACTAAAGGGTGGTAGAATATGCCACCCTCAAATATGCCTCTTTGACATAAGGGTTATTTTGAGCTAAAGGCACTTAAAGAAATAGCAGGTGCATCGGGCGCAGTGGCTCACACCTGTAATCCCAGGGGGTGGGAGGCTGAGGTGGGCAGATTGCTTGAGGTCAGAAGTTCGAGACCAGCCTGGCCAATACGGTGAAACCCCCTCTCTACTAAAAATACAAAAATTAGCTGGGTGTGGTGGTGTGCACCTGTAATCCCAGCTACGCAGCAGACTGAGGCAGGAGAATCACTTGAACCCGGGAGACAGTGGTTGCAGTGAGCTGAGATCGCACCACTGCACTCCAGCCTGGGTGACAGAGCAAGACTACATCTCAAAAAAAAAAGAAAGAAAGAAAGAAAGAAAGAAAGAAAGAAAGAAAGAAAGAAAGAAAGAAAGAAAGAGCCGAGGAAAAGAAATAGCAGCAGTGACTAAAGTACTCTGACTTCTGCTTTTTCTTCCTAAAAGTAGGAGATAAAACCCCTGCATAGAAGATGTCCTCTCTATACCAGAGAGGAAGTAACATTCTTATCACCAGAGATGGGGAGTCGAGGCAGAGAAAGATCTGTGCAGACACACGTGGTTAAACTGATCCTTATCTTCCTACTTTTCCACCATAAACTACCTTAGCCCAAGCCCCTTTGTCTTGTCACATTTTCCTAATTTACTATGTTGTCCAGTTTAGTTCATAAATATTCCACTCTGCCTGCTGCTTTATGTGTTCATTTCCTTATGAGGGCACTAGGTCCTGTAAAACATACATGAAAGCAATATGTATGTTTTTCACTTGTTAATCTGTTTTTTTTTTTTTTGATGGAGCCCCTGCTGAGAGCCTGGAAGGGTAGGAGGAAAGGACTTGGTCTTCCCCTGTGTGGTGTAAGATGGCTTCTCAGAGTCCAGAGAAAGATCTTCACCAGCACATCTCAGCTAAGTCTCATGGTCTCTGCTTCTCCTTCATCACCTTATCAGAACTCTTGCACCCACCCGCTTCCTGCCCCTGTTCTCTAGAGCTTTCTGTGTCAGCTTCCAGCTCTGCACCCGAAGGCTGTGAGCTCTTGCTTGCCCCAGCCCCACGCAACCCACACTGCACACTGTGATTGCTCTCTGCCTCTTTTCAGCTCATCTCTGGCTGGCGTAGACTCTGGTTGGACCAGTCTCCCCAGGCAAAGCTTCTCATGCCAGGTACCTTTGTGGGCCAGTGACCAGCCTCTTTTTGTTCCCTCAGCTGTGGACAACAGGGGAGCCATGGGATGCATGGCATGGGCACCTGGGGCTACCCATACGTGGGGGATGTTTCCTTTTGCAGGTGCTACGGGACTGGCAGGTACCAGTAGCAAACCACACAGTGATGCAGACCAGCCATGCCCGCTGCCCACATGCTCAGAGGTACTTAGAGGAGGGGAGGATGGCCATTCAGGGCTGCCAGTGATGTGTCAAGCATCCTTTTCACGTACTCCTCGCCTCAACCTTGGGAGGGAGACCCATGGACTGTCCAAGCCTATCTCCCTTCCCTCCAGGCACACAGCTGGATGGCATTTCCTAGCATCCTTTGCAGTTCGGTGGAGCCATGTGCTGAATTCTGGCCATGAAGTGTGCATGGAAGTGAAATACACCTGGGTCTCTGAGTCACTATGTGGAGCTGAGCCCTTCCTGGCCTAGGTCTCTGAATCACTGTATGGAGCAGGGCCCTTCTTGGCCTGGGTCTCTGAGTCATTGCGTGAAGCAGAACCCCTCCTGGCCTGGGTCTCTGGGTCACTGTATGGAGTCGAGCCTCTTGTGGCATGGGTGTCTGAGTCACTGTGTGGAGCAGAGCCCATCCTGACCTGGGTCTCTGAGTCACTGTGTGGAGCAGAGCCCCTCATGGCCTGGGTCTCTGAGTCATTGTGTGAAGCAGAACCCCTCATGGCCTGGGTGTCTGAGTCACTGTGTGGAGCTGAGCCCCTCATGGCCTGGGTCTCTGGGTCACTGTATGGAGTTGAGCCTCTTGTGGCATGGGTGTCTGAGTCACTGTGTGGAGCAGAGCCCCTCCTGGACTGGGTCTCTGAGTCACTGTGTGGAGCCCTTCCTGACTGCTGATTGTACTTTTCATAAGTGTGGTAAAGATGGTCACAAATTCTGTGAACTTCTCCCATTGAAATGAGGAGGTCTATATCTCCTCCCTTTAAATCTGGGTGGGCCTGTTACTGCTTCAAGCAATAGGATATGGTGGAACTGACTCTCTCCATTTCTGGGCCCACTTCTGCCTCCTGTCTCTTGGAGCACACTTGGAGGTCTGAGCTGCCATATGAAGAGTCTGACCACCTTGTTGGGTGGGGAGGAATCAGGACCAATAATTCGGTGCCTCTCAGGAGGCTCGGTCACCACTGACCAGGAAGGTGGCTTCAGGCTAAAGGAGAAATCCCGTGGGGCTCCTGTGAGGCTCTACTCTGACTAATACTTTAGTTCCTGTGTGATGGTCACTAATACGTTAGTTCCCACCATGGGTATTTTGTCCCTTCTCCTTCTTTGACGTGGCTGAGTTCTCCTCACACAGGGGCAGTGAGCTGTGGCCCTCTGCCTGGTCCCAGGAGGCCCTGGGACCCCTGAGCGTCGTGGCTCAGAGCTCAGCTCCCCTCCTGGGAGGTGGAGCTGCCTTTCTCCGAGGCCATGAGCTGGGCCCTCCACACCCCCCGGGGCACGTTCTAGCTACTGCCTTCCTCGCAGCCTTTGATCACCTAAGGATTTCCAGTCCTGCCCACTGCCACTCAGCCATCGCAGGCCCAGCGGCCTCGGGGAAGATGAAAGGTGTCGCCCACCTCGCTCCTCCTGCACAAAAGCAGGATCAATTAAAAACTTTCTATCCACGGAGCCGGAAGACTTGTCAGAGGAAGCTTCGGAGAGAAAATCAGGCTCCAGAGGGAGACGCAGTCCTTAAAAGTAAAGGTATTTTTAGCTGGAAAGTTTAGCAGAAGAAAGGCTGCGTCAGGCCCGAGCGGACCCGTCATCCGTCACAGGCCGGCCTCAGAAAGTGGGGAAGAAACCCCAGAAAGGCTTGAAAAGCCGTCCTTCCACGTGGGCGGGCGCCTCCCGGGCTGCCGGGGGATGTGCGAAAGTCATTGCGGCTCAGGGCTGTGCAGCCCCACCTTCAGCTTTTCCAAGTGTAAACGGAGCCTTTCTGCCTTGAACAGCTGTGTTTTCCCTTTACTTGGAGCGGATGCAAAGTTCGGAGGCTGTCCGGGGCCCTCCTCTCTCCCCCTCCCCCAGACGCTCAGCCTTAGGCCTTCTGCAGGGTGTGGAGCCTGCGGGATCCTGGGCCTTTAATGGGGGCTCCAGACCCTCCCTCCACAGCCACACAACTTTGCCAGTGATGCTGGGAGCCGGGAGAGGGCCTGGGGTTTGTGCAAGCCAGATTCAGACTCACGCGATCTCCCCAACTCCGGCCCGGGGACTTGGGGCTTCTCTGTCCTCTCTCCTCCCTGCACACCCAGCCTCTGGGAAGGCGCAGGCCAGCTGCACGGTGTTGGAATTCCACCTCCTCTGCTGAAGGAGGTGCTGGGTGTGCCAGGCACGTGGGGCCCTCGGGTGTCCACAGCTTCTGGGACCCCCCTGATAGTTTCCCACGGATTTTCCCAACTCTGACTTCTCTTGGTCAAACCCTACTTATGTTTCCAGGCTCATTTCAAATGCCACAACCTCCAAGAAGCCCTCTTGGATGTCCAGACAAGGGCACACGCTCCCCCTTCTGAATTCCCTATGGCCTTCTGTCTCTTCCTTCCTGGTACCCTCCTGACCCCACCTGACAGGACGTGTCCTGAAGGAAGAAGCAACGCAGCTCTGGAGCACGCAACCCTGGGGTGGAATCCGCCTCCTCTACTTTTTTTTTTTTTTTTGAGACAGGGAGTCGCTCTGTCGCCCAGACTGAAGTGCAGTGGCACGATCACGGCTTACTGCAGTCGGCCTCCTGGGCTAAAGCAACCCGCCTGCCTCAGCCTCCCAAAGCGCTGGGACTATAGGCGTGAGCCACAGCGCCCGGCCTACGCCTCCTCTACTTCTTAGCTTGTGATCTGGGGCAAGTTTCTTATCCACTCCAAGCGTCAGTTTCTCTATCAGTGAAAGGAAAAAATAACACAGTCTTCCCTCCTGGGTTCCTGTGAGGATTCAGTGAAGCGAGAGTGATCTACACGTGGGAAGCCCTAACCCCGTCCTCGTCCTCGGTAGCGTGGTGCTCGTCCTCCTGGGAGGAGCCCGGCGAGGCCCTGTGGCTGAGACTCGGGCACCTGGCTCTGCTCTGGCCCCCCTAGAAGACCCTGACGCCTAGTCTCTGGATTCAGACCTCGCCTGCAAAAACAACGTGACCACATCAGCTCAGCCTGCACCACCAACTGCTCTGAGATGAGGCGTGAGGTTCCCTTTGGAGGTAACTCTGGGGAAACGAGAGTGGCGGCCGGTGTCACAGGGCCACCTGCACATGCCCTGAGGATCACCGCACCTGCCCGGAGCTGGCTGGATGTTTTGGAGGACCCAGGACACAGCAGGCGAGCGCTGGCACCCACAGACCCCCTTTCTCTCATTTCACGTCCCTGGGCTGCAGAGGGAAGGACCCTCTGGCCTGGGCAACATAGTGAGACCCCATCTCTACAAAAAAATTAAAAAATTAGCCGGGCATGGTGATGCATGCCTGTAGTCCCAGCTACTCGGGAGGCTGGGGCGGGAGGATCACTTGAGCCTGGGAGGTCAAGGCTGCAGTGAGCCATGATTGCACCACTGCACTCCAGCCCGGGTGACAGAGCAAGACCCTGTCTCCACCACCAAAAAAAAGGCCCTCGTTAGTTTACTTGGGAGGAGCTGGGCCTGCCGTGAGCTGGGCAGGCATAGGCCCTGTCCTGGTGCTCACTGTTCTGGGGTGGGGGAGCAGATGAACAGGTATAAATTCTACTATGGGGGGGTATGGGCTCTGATGGCCATGGGGGGCGGGTGTCTAATCATGGACTGCTTCCCGGAGGAAGGTGCATTTGAGTCTGACACATGTGCAGTTAGTGGGAAAGTGGGATGGGCTGGATGATCTGAGCCCTGTTGGGGAGAAGCAGGAGCTGGAGCAGCCTGGCATCTTTGAGCATCTGAGGTCCAGCCTAGGACCCGTCAGGGCATAGCCAGGAGCAGGGGCAGGGGCAGGGATTGGCAGGACGGAGACCAGGTCAGGCTGGGCGGTGCCCCTGTCTGCATTGTGGCTGCTGCAGGCTGATGGCGGGAAGAGGCAGTGGGACTCGAGTGGCCACTGGGAGGCAGGGCAGGGGTGCTCAGGTGAAACATGGCAGCAGCCCTCTCTGGAGTTACAACCGAGGGCTGGAGACAGGCAAGGGATTCTGGAGAGTACAAGGAGCCAGACTGCTCGTGACATGTGGGGTCTGGGGAAGGGACGGGAGCGGGGGCCTGGGCTCCATGTCTCTATTGCCCTCCTGCCTTCCTGGCCCGGCCAGGGGAGCCTGGGCTGGGGCTGATCGTGACCTTGCCAGTCTGTGCCTGGGCTTGCGGACTGTTAGCCCGGGAACAGCCTGCACATCTTGAGTGTCTGTCAGCTTTTTCTGGGAGAAAGATTCCCAAGCAAGCCCTGGACACCCCCAGAATGTACAAGTCTCTGCTCTGTTCCCAGCTCCTGCTGTCTCCCCCAAAACACACAGCCCTCTGCTCTGTTCTCAGCTCTGGGTGTCCCCTCTGCTCCTGCCATCCCCCACCCTCACCTTAGATCAATCACTGTCCTGAGCTTCTCTAAACACTCCGTGTTGCTTCGAAGGGCGTGGGACCTCACTTCTCAGCAGTGTGACTCGAGTTTGCCCCTGGACATCTCCGTTTCCTCCTCTGGGAAGTGGGCTCACGGCAGTCCCGTCCCCATGCAGGGCTGCTGTGCAGATGGAATGGGAGGAGCAAGGCAGGCCCTGGGTCAGCGCCTGGCTCTGGACTTATCAGGACCATAAATAGGGTTCCTGGTGGTCGCTGTTTTATTCGTGGACTGCTGGCTTACGAGCTGCCCTGAGTGACGCGTGGGGTGACGCTGCCAACACCTGGCTACAGAGGTCCCTTCAGGGAGGACAGGAGAGCCTTGTGGTGAGGAAGCCTCTTTGGAAAGTGAGACTCAGTCATCAGAGCTCACCGTGCAGATGACAGGCTTCCGGGGCTGGACCTGGGGCGGGGGGGGGGGGCGTCAGGCGGACCCCCATCCCCAAGGGGCCCAGCTCGTCCTGAGGGGGCAGCCACGGCCCCTTTTCCAAGCTCCCCCAAGGATCCGCGGGTGGCCTCAGCCCCGCCCACCTCACCCTCTCTCCCGGCCTGACCCTTCCCCACTCCTCAGCCTCTGGTTCTGCTCTCAGCAGATGCCCCTGCTCAGCCTTCCAGAGCCCCTCCCATATTAGCGTCTTCCTGGGAGCACTGCTGTGCAGCTCCATGCCCGTCCCACCTTCTAGGCCAGAATTCATTCATTCATTCAGTCGTTCAGCACCACTGCCTGAGGGCTTACCTTGAGCAGGTCCCACGCTGGCTGACACCAGCACGCCGGAGGCCCCGGGCTGAACACACAGCGCCACCCACCGAGCCTGAGCAACGTTTGCTGCCGTCAGTGAAGCCCCCAGGCAGGGAGGCCACTGCAGGGAGGACTGAGCGGGCCTCGAGGGAGTGAGTGGCTGGGAACAGAGGGGTGCAGCCTTCCCAGGGAGGGGACAGGGTGTGGAGAGGGAGAGGGGGCTGGGGAGAGGTGAGCAGGCGTCTCCCGCTGTCTGAGGAGCTGGAACCTGGTCCGATCCAGAGGGCACCCTGGCATGGTCCGACCCAGGGGGTGCTTCTGCCGTGGGCTTCGAGAGGGCAGGGAGAGGGGAGGGGAGCTGCAGATCCCCTGGCTCCAGGCCATAAGGACCTGATCTCAGGTGGGGCTGGGGGGCACTGAGCAAACTGAGAACCACTCCCAGGCCTGGGTGAGGGAGCCAGGAGTCTGGGGTCTGGCCTGCCCAGCGTCCACAGCCCACTTTGCCAGGGAGGCCCAGGGCTGGTGAGGACCCAGCCGAGGTCCTGCCGCCACCCCAGCTGCAGCTGAGCTTGGAGAGGAAACCAGGTGCCGCTCGGGGACGTCGCTGCTCTAACTGCCCGCAAGGGGTGCTTCCGGGGCAGGCCTGGCCAGGACAGGGCGAGGAGGCCTCTCTGGAGGTCATGGGGACCCTGTGTCTTCTCTTCCTTCACACGCCTGGGCCTGCGACCTCACAGAGGCCACAGCATGCCCTGTCCGTCCTCACCAGCTGCAAGCAGGAGGCGGCCTGGCCGTAACACCGGCCTGGGAAGGCCGAGCACATTTGAGCAGCCTCATGGAAAGTTCTGGGGTTTATGACAACAGATTATCTGGTGGTGACAGCAGATCTGGGATGGTGCTTCCTGCCCACCGCCTTCTCTCTCTTTGAAAACAAAACCACCCACACATTTTGAAAGCTGGGCCCCTATGGTGGGTTCAGGATAGAGCCAACCCTGAACTCATGGGGAGACTTGTCCCACAGAAATGACGAAGATTCTTCCAGGAACAGACTCAGCCTTCTCTTTCCACCTGAGGGACACTCAGTCTCAGCCTGGAAACCAAAGATGGGGCTGGGCGGGTGCTGCGGTTTAGGCTGAATCATCGTCATAGCTGTGACCAATTGTAACAACAACAAAAACAGCAGCAGCAGCAGCAGCAGCTCATTTTTCTCTAACAGGCTTGTTGCATCTGCACTAAGTCAAGGTATCATTCCTGTCAAGGAGGCTTCCAGCCTGTGCTTGTTTGCTTCTCTTGATGGGGACCTCACTACCTCGGGCAGCTATGTATGTCCCCCAGGCGTGTGTCCAGTGTCCTGCTGGGGGCGCTGGCCCCCAATGTGCCCCTTTTGCTTTCAGACAGCCAGGACGTTGGGCTGCAACAGCCTAAACTGGCTCTGGCGTCTTACACAGCAGAGGAACTGGAGGGAGAGCTGAAGCTATTGGAATCCACGGGGAGGCAGGGAATGGTGGAAGCCACAGCCAGTGGGGCAGCTGGAACCACAGCCCAGAGCCAAGCTAAATGTGCACTCTCAATGATCTCCATTTGCCCAAAATTCGAAACCAGAAGGAAGCATTTGATTGGCTGAGCCAGGCACAGGCCCCGCCCTGGCTGCTAAGGGTAGAGGTGGCGGGAAGGGGAGGAGAGGAAGGGGAAAGGAAGGGCCAGGACTGCCTCCAGCAGGGTAAGCTGGGACCCCAGGCAACCACCACAGCCACCCTTTTCCTCCCCATTTACTGAGCTCACCGCAGGCCAGGCCACCAGGCCAAGTTGGATAATGTTTTATGTGATACCGCCTCATCCCGGGGTGTTTCCTCTCAGCACCATAACCACGCACACCCCATAATAAGCAGTGGGCTAGCTGGAGAGGCAGGAAATTGCCTTTGGGGTCCCATTGTAGGATCATCCCTTGTGGGTTTCGCCCTTTTATGGTGTCAGCCTCCCTGCCGGTGCTTCCCTGAGAGGGTCTCAGCAAACCAACATCTTGGTACCAACGATGGCGCAGAACAACTCTGTCCTTTTCTCCTTTGGCATCAAAAGACAAAACAAACCCAAATGACATCCATCCCAGAAGCTGCTCCCAGTTTCACTGGACAATGAGGAAGGGAAACGGGAAGGAAAGTAGGGTAGGACTGGCTGGGCCGATGTGCGGACTAGGAAGCAGAAACTCTCCTGAGGGAGGAAGCCAGGCCACCGGACAGGGCCAAGGTCTGTTCCCTAGGACGACAGAGCACACAGCACCTCAGTTTCATCTTTCAAGTCCCATTATTTGGCTGGGTGTGGTGGCACGCACCTGTGGTCCCAGCTACTCAGGAGGCTTAGGTAGGAGGATCGCTCGAGGCCAGGAGATGGAGGCTGCAGTGATCTGAGATTGTGCCCTGCACTCCAGCCTGGGCAATAGAGTGAGACCCCAACTCTAAAAAAAAAATTCCACAAATTCCACTATTTAGCCTGAGAGGCAGTGCAGCAATGGTTATGAACATGGGCCCCGCAGCCAGAAAGATCTGCGCAAACCTCCAGCTGTGTGACTGTGGGCGAGCAACTGAACCTCTCTGAGCCTGTTGTCTCATCTGCAAAACAATCCCGGGGCATTGCGGTGAGGGTGAAGTTGGGTCACGTAGATGAGTGGTGCTGCCCAGATCATCTTTGGGAAGGACCTGCTGCCCAGCTGCAGGGCGTGGTCACCAGACAGTCTCGGCTCTCAGTTCCTTCAGGGTGGGCTGCAGAGACCCGCCTCGCCCAGGCCATGCCTGGGGTCCTGCTGGGCTGGCGGAGGGCTCCTGGGACTGCGTGTCAGTTCAGCTCCTCCGTCTGCCCAGTCCTGCCACCTCCCCTGGCAGGCATCTTCATCCATCCTCAGCACCCGCCACCCCAGGAGCCAGCCTGCAGAGCCAAGCATGCGGCAAGCCCTCTGTCTACATCCTGTGACTACATTATTATTATGAAGCCTGCCCTAATGCACATATTAGGCTGGAAGACAAGTAGATGAATTCAAAATTGGGAAGAAGTGAAAAGCCAGAGGCAGGAGGGGCTTGGGGTATTTGCCCTCAAAACGACTGAGACCCCAACAGCCCCAGAGCCGGGTGAGCCCGAGTAATGGACATACATTGAGGGAAGAGAAAAAGCCGAGAAAAAAGCGGTTTGAACGGGGGGTGATGTCACCGGTTACACGCGTGGTTTCTGATGGTTTAACGCGGGCCCTGGAGATATTTGCAGAACCTGCACTCAAATGCCAGCTTCTTGCTCGCGATGTCACCGCCCATCCCGGTTCACGGGGGCAGGTGACGACGTCTCACACTCCCCAGCATGCACACCCGCGTGAATCAGGGCTTGGGGGAGTGGGAACTCGGACCAGAATATCTTGGTATTTAGTAACACAGGAAAGGACACGGATGGGAAGCTGCGGCTAAATGCCTAGCGAGAGCCGCTCACGGCGGGCTGATGGGATGTTTTAAGTAAATTCCACGCAGCCATCCCATGAACCCCTTGAAACTGGCCATGGAGGAGCTCGCTTGGTGATGGTCAGGGCACACATCGGAGGCTTCTCAGGGGGCAGGAGGGTGGGGACGGGCTCTGGGCCACGTCTGGGTAGAATGCGGTCATCTGGGGGTGTCATCAACGTGGGTTTGGTGGAAATCGCCTGTGGGGAGATGACTCCAGGAAGAGCCCGGGAAGCAGCTGTGGACCTCTGGCGGGTCTGGCGGGACCTCTGGCGGGTTCTCTGCTTCTGTGTTGTGTCCTAGAAAAGCAGGGGTGATGTGGAATATATCCCACCGCTGGCTGTGGCACCGGAGCCAGCCCAGGAGCCTCCCTTCTCCAAGAGGGGCTTGGAGGGGAGCCGTGGCACCCCACAAGGACTATCCTGCTGGCTGGCTGCAGAGGAGTTGCATTCTAATTTCCATTAGAAATTGATGGGGAGTGGCCTGGGGTGGCTGGGAATGGATGGGGCTGGAGGGCAGGAGTGTGGAGAGGGCTGGAAGGAGTCATGGGGATGGAAGTGGGAGCCAGGCATTGCACTGGGTGAGGGAGGCCGGGCCGCCTGCCCCCGAGACGCCCCTCCTGACAGGCTGGCTGCGGGAGAGGCTTTTCTTGTCCGTGGTGTGCAACTTCCTCTGCAGGCCTCTGCGCTGCCGCCTGGCAGTTTTACGAACCTTGTACCTGTCTTAAAAGGCTCCAAAGGCCCCAGAGGCCTCTGAGGAAACTGGTGCGCCCTTTTTTGAGATGGAGTCTCGCTCTGTGGCCCAGGCTGGAGTGCAGTGGCATGATCTTGGCTCACTGCAACCTCCAATTCCTGGGTTCAAGCGATTCTCCTGCCTCTGCCTCCTGAGTAGCTGGGACTACAGGCGCCCGCCACCATGCCCAGCTAATTTTTGTATTTTTAGTAGAGATGTGGTTTCACCATGTTGGCCTGGCTGGTCTCCAGCTCCTGACCTCAGGTGATCCGCCTGCCTTGGCCTCCCAAAGTGTTGGGATGTCAGGCGTGAGCCACCGCACCTGGCCTGGTGTGCCTTCTGTATGCCTGTTTACCCTCTTCTGCCCCCTCAGAGCCAGCATGAGAGGGTGGCTGGTTCCTGGAGCATTAAACGCTTCAGGAGGACCCAGATGTCATCAGGTGAGGAATGTCTAACCTATGGAGGTGTTTAAAGCTGAGTCCGTGAACCTCACATATCCTCATCTCCTTTCACCGACTGTTCACATTTTCCACGTTTGTGCACCTGCCTGCTCTTGCTCTCTCTCGCTCTCTCTCTCTCTCTCTCACCCCTGCCCCGCTAAACCCTTGCAGGCAGGCTGAAGCCACCATAGCACTTCCCCGTCACACTTCAGCCTGTGCCTGCTGAGAACATGGTGCGCTCCTAACAGACAGTCTCCATCATCCCGCCCCAGAAAATAGACGCCGATGCCACCATCGAATGTTCAGTCCACGTCCCAATTTCTCCAGCACCGGGACTGTACCTCAGGCTGCCCTGCCCGGCAACTCTGATTATTGGCTATTCCATTTCTCCATTCCTTCAGTCCACAAACAGTTATTGAGCACTTACTGTTTGCCACGTCCTGTTCTAGGTGCACGGTACACAGTGAACAAGGCGGATCAGGCCCTGCTCCCTGGCCCCCCCGCCCAGGAGAAGCTGGAGTCATTCCAGAGGGTGCCAGGGTGTCAGGATGGTGATTGGAGTCAGGCCCCAGCTCATGGTTGATTTGGTGCTTGCAAGTGAGCTGGGATCTGGGTGACGAGCCGGAGCTGACCATGCGTCTTTGCATCTGAGTCCCAGGCTGTTCCCTCCCTGGCTCCCTCACTCACTGTCTGGGTAGTGGCGGTGCCCCAGGTGCCCAGTGCTGTGCCAGGAGCGAGGGATGGGGGAGTTTGTTGCGGTTACCCCAGGCTACCCTGCTGTGGGTGCAGGGCCTGTGGGGCTGACCGCTTGGCTCTCGGTGTGCAGGCCTTCAGGTGGAGCGGCTCTCAGGTGAGGAGCTGACCCAGGAACAGTCCCGGGGAGCTGATCCTCACCTGGATGAGATCCCGGACTCGGAACAGAGGCTGCGATGGGTTGAGACTTTTGGGGTCGTCTGGGAGGGGGAGCGAGGATATTTTGCACGGGAAGAAATGCAGGACTCGGTGGCCAGAGGGCGGAGGGTGACACTTTGAAATGTGTCCTCAAATCCTTGGGTCTGCTCATCCAATGGTGGGGCCTAATGCTGCACTTCCCTTGAATGTCAGCCAGACTTGGTGACTCGTTTCTAACGAACAGAAAAGGAGCAGAGTGACGGTGGACACGCGAGACCAGGCCATCGAAGGCACCGTGGCTGGCCGCCGGCCCTCCCTAGGATTCCTCACCTGCAGGGGTCAGTGGCCACATGACCACATGGGAGGACACTCCAGACGCTCAGATGGTGACTCCCACATGGTGAGGCGCCGAGGCCTCCTACCGACAGCCACGCGGGTGCTGCCACCTGGGAAGGGGAGCTGCCTACTCAGGGGTGCATCAGATGATGGCCTCTGACTCTGTGACTGCACCTTCGTAGGAGACAGAGAGCCAGGCAATGAAGACACTCCTGAATCCCTGACCCTCAGATCCTGTGGGCCATTAACTTTGTGGCTTTAAGCTGCTGAGTTCTGGGGTAATTTTTATTTTTACTTTTATTTATTTATTTATTTATTTATTTATTTTTTGCAGCAAAATAAAACAAATATGGAGTTTGGGTTTAAACAGGTCCTTGAAAGAGGGGTCCTCTCTAGAGGTGTAATTAAAAATGATAATAAAATTGGCCAGGCGCAGTGGCTCACGCCTGTAATCCCCAGCATTCTGGGAGGCCGAGGCAGGTGGATAGCCTGAGGTCAGGAGTTCAAGACCAGCCTGGCCAACATGGTGAAACCCCATCTCTACTAAAAATACAAAAATTAGCTGTGCATGGTGGTGCATGCCTGTAATCCCAGCTACTCGGGAGGCTGAGGCAGGAGAATCGCTTGAACCCAGGAGGTGGAGGTTGCAGTGAGCCGAGATTGTACCACTACACTCCAGCCTGGGCTACACGAGTGAAACTCTGTCTCAGAAAAAAAAAAAAAAAAAAAAAGAAGATAATAAAGTTGTGGGGTATTCTGTTCAGGTGACAGGTGAAGCATCATCCAAGGAGGGGCCTGGATTCTCAACAGTTCATCTTTTGATGATTCAAACACACCCGCAACATCAGGGCGGGGCTGGAGGGGTTCGAGGCGGGGAACACAGTGGCAGGGAGGGAAGAGAACTCAGGGCCCGGGGTTAGAACATGAAAGCTGTTGGCTGTGACTTGATGGCTTAATCAGCCAATCAATACGCTTCCCAGGCAGAAGGAGTCGATGAAAAATGCATGAAGGGGGCTGGGGAGGCCTGGGAGGAGAAAATGAGGAAACAGCCTGCTCTGTTTGTCCAACACTGACCAAGAGATTAAATCGGCAAGGAGGACACGGGGAGCCACGGGCTGACTGAAACTTAGCACGTAACACACGTGCACACGGCCTTTCTCTTCATGAGGCAGAAACCCGCTCATTAAACTGCTTTTCTTGACTAAAGATGGATTTGATAACCTTTACCAGTGTTAAACACCAGCAGAAACTGAAATCATGTGGGGTGCAAGAGAGGCTGGTAGACTCGGGTGGAACCGGGGTGTTAATGATCATAGGGAAGACAGCCAGCAAGAGGCGAGTGGGAGGGGGCCCCAGCCCCGGCTGGGCCTTGGGTGTAACTGTGGTGAACACCACAGTCAAGAACAAAATCTGGCAATGAGCTGGGACTTTTTTTTTTTTTTTGAGATAGAATCTCGCTCTGTCGCCCAGGCTGGAGCGCAGTGGCGCAATCTCTGCTCACTGTAACCTCCACCTCCCAGGTTCAAGCAATTCTCCTGGCTCAGCCTCGAAAGTAGCTGGGATTACAGGTGCCCGCCATCATGCCTGGCTAATTTTTGTATTTTTAGTAGAGACGGAGTTCCACCATGTTCGCCAGGCTGGTCTCGAACTCCTGACCTCAAGGGATCTGCTCGCCTCGGCCTCCCAAAGTGCTGGGATTACAGGCGTGAGCCACTGCGCCCGGCCTGAGCTGAGACTCTCGATGAGCTCCTCTGTAAGGGGACTACTGTGGATTGTTTTAAAACACCAATTTTCACTTGACACCCTTGTGACAAGTAGGATCAAATCCAGGTGCACGTGACAGAAAACCCAGAACATTAGTGGCTTAAACCAGATAACTTAGTTCCCTCCAGTACAAGAGAAGACCAGAGGTGGATGTTCAAGTTGCCAGTGAGCCAGCCTCTCATCTTCCTGCTCTGCCATCCTCAGCATGTGGTTTCTACCTCAGGGTCTAGAACGGCTGCTTAACCACCAGCCATCATGTCCACACTTCAGCCAGCAAGAAAGAGGAAGGGGCAGAAAAGACCTCCCTCCTCCCACCACTCCCCTAAGGACACCTCCCAAAAGTTGTGCATAACCTGAGTCGCACCTCCCAAAAGTTGTGCATAACCTGAGTCCGCTCCTAATTGTAAAGAAGCTGGTCGATGAAGTCTTTAACCCAGGCTAAAATTGGGAGCTCTATTAGGAAGGAAGAATGGAAGCGTGACCATTGGGGAGGGAAGCGACAGATTCTGCAACGTCCTACGGTTAAAATACATTCAGCCTGAACAAAAACGACATCTTAGGTCAAAAGAAGACATTGACTTTGAGCACAGCGCCAGGGACAGAAGGATGACAGGGAGCGTAAGTCCCCACTTGAAGGGGGAAAATGTCACGTGGCGGGATGTTAAAAGTACACGGGATTAGTCACACAAACTGTGACATTTCAGTCGTGATGTGATACATGTAAAAACAGCAAACTTCATCCAGACAGAAAACAAAAATCTACCTGATCACATCTGAGTAAGAGGTCCCCCGGCCGCCCCTCCACCCCTGCTGCAAGGACCTTCGTGGGGTCCCTGGGCTGCACAGCTTGGGGAGGATAAGCAGAGTTCATCCTCTTTACCCCCAGTTAACAGTGAACCAGCCAGGAAACCCTGGGCTCTGAATATATACCCACTATGCGCTGAAAACCTGCCAGTGGGTAACACACACCCTGATCAGACGCGTGCATGGACAAATAGCACTTTCCCAAGATGTAGGTGCTAACAGAGCCCGTCACAGGGGGTGTATGAGTTGGAACCAAGTTAGTTGGTGAGGGACAGAAGGCCCCAAATCACGGTGCCTTGAACCAGGCAGAGGCTTCTCTCTTCTGTCTACACCCGGGGGTGGGTGGGGAGGGCTAGCTGAGGACCCACGGTGCCTTCAGACCCCCCAGTCTGTCCTATCTGTTCTGGAAGGGTGGGCTCCACGCCCAAGACATTCCATTCCCACTTCCTGGTCCAAGACACTGCTCCATATCCCACAGCAGGAAGAAAAGAAGGACATCCCCTTCAGGTGTAACTGTGTCTCCTTGGCGGGGCGAGACCACATGCCCATCCCTGGGCCTGCCACAGTGTGTATGTGGTATGTGTGTGTGCATGTGTGTGTGTGCATGTGTGTATGTGGTGTGTGTGTATGTGGTGTGTGTGTGCGTGTGTATGTGGTGTGTGTGCATTTGTGTGCATATGTGTGTATGCGGTGTATGTGGTGTGTGTGTGCGTGTATGTGGTGTGTGTGCATGTGTGTGCGTATGTGGTGTGTGTGCGTGTATGTGGTGTGTGTGCATGTGTGTGCATATGTGGTGTGTGTGTGTGCATATGTATGTGTGAGCATGTGTGTGTGCATATGTGTGTATGCGGTGTGTGTGCATGTGTGTGTGTATGCGGTGTGTGCGCGTGTGTGTATGCGGTGTGTGTGTGCATGTGTGTGGTGTGTGCATGTGTGTATGTGGTATGTGTGTGCATATGTGTGTATGTGGTGTGTGTGTGCATATGTGTATGTGGTGTGTGTGTGCATGTGTGTGTATGTGGTGTGCATGTGTGTGTGTGCGCGTGTGTGTGTGTGTGGGTGGCTCTGACGCTAAGACTGGCCTGGATCTCCTTACCCTGGGGTGCAGTGGGGAGGGGTAGTTTGATTCGAGCCAATCTAATCAAAGGATGTGAACTGATGGGACGCTGAGGACGGGTTCCCTCAAAGCAAAGTGAGACCCTGCATCTCTGGCGTGAGCTCAGCAGCCTTCAGTGGCCCCCATGGTGGTCCCCAGGGTGTCCGGTAGGTGTCTGCTACGCCCCGGAACCTGGGAGTATATTAGGTTACACGGCAAGAGGGAAGGCAGGCTGCCGCTGGAGATGCGGATGGATGCCAATCCGCGGAGTTTTGAGTAGGGAACATAGCCTGGATTATGCAGGTGGGACTGGCGTCGTCCCCACCATCCTTAAAGGGGTAAGAGGGAGACAGAAGGGGAGTCAGAGTGACGGCTGTGAGGCCTCGACCCACGCCTGCTGGCTTTGTGGGAGGGAGCGGCCGTGATCATGAACCAAGAAATGAGGGTGGCCTCTAGAAGCTGGGAAAGGCGAGGAAATGGAGTCCCCCGCAGCGCCTCCAGAGGGGAGCACGGCCCTGCTGTCCCTGGTGTCAGCTGTGAGACCTGCCGCAGACTTCCAGCCTCTGGGACTCTGGAATACGTTTGTCTGCGTGAACCACGCAGCTGTGGTCAATTATTACAGCAGCCACGGGGAAGGAACGCACTGCCCGTGGGCGACGGGGAAGGAACGCACTGCCCGTGGGTGACGGGGAAGGAACGCACTGCCCGTGGGCGGCGCTCATGGCACCGAAACCTCACTGCCCACGGGGAGGGCCCAGCGCCTCCCACCCCGCCTGCCACACATGGAGCCACGTCTAGGTCCCCAAAGGGCCGGCTGTGCGACAGCTCCAGCTTCTGTCCTCTGCTCTTTTTGCCTGGGACACGGGTCTGTCCTTTGAGAGTAAATGCCTTTTTTAAATTTTCTTTTTCTGAGACAGGGTCTCACTCTGTCGCCCAGACTGGAGTGCAGTGGCGCGATCTTGGCTCACCACAATCTCCACCTCCCAGGCTCAAGCAACTGATTCTCCTGCCTCAGCCTCCTGAGTAGCTGGGATTACAGGCGCCTGCCACCACACCCGGCTAATTTTTGTATTTTTAGTAGAGACAGGGTTTTGCCATGTTGGCCGGACTGATCTTGAACTCCTGACCTCAAATGATCCACCTGCCTTGACCTCCCAAAATGCTGGGATTACAGGAGTGAGCCACCACACTCGGCCGACTAAACACCTTTCTAGACACCATTGCTGCTGCGCAGAGCTGACTGCTCGGAGCGCCTGGTCCAGGCAAGCCCAGCGTCTCTCACCGCAGCGGCCGGAGCGCCCAGTCCAGGCAAGCCCAGCATCTCTCGCCAGGGCGGCCGTGGTTCGATCGTGCGTCTGCTGCAGCTCCTCATCCGAGAGGGCATGGTGCTGGGCCCAGTGTACAGAAAGGGGTTGTGGGAACCTCCCAATTTCTGGTGAGAGAGGCCTATTGTACAACAACATCAGCCTGGTCACCGCTGAGGACCAGCAGGATGAGTGTGTATAAAGTGCATGGAGGATGTGTTGGAATTTAAACTCTGGGTTCACCAGCCTTTGCTACCACAGCATAGTAAACGTTGCTGAAAAGTTTCTAAGTATCACTAGCAAGCCTCTGTGAAATCCCGGTGGGAAGCCCTGTTTCTCTGCTACCTTCTGCTCCTAGGAGAGGCCATGAAGCCAAGGCACAAGGATCCAGGCTTGTAGAGCCCATCAGACTTGAGTTCAAATCCTGACTCTGCCTAGAACCTCCCTGAGCTGCAGTCTCCTAGGTGATGAAATGGGGAAGCTGCCACGAGACAGGCTGAGGGTCACACGTTCATCCCCTTACAGGGTGCCCAGGCCTAGTGTGCGCCTGTCTGCAGCCAGGACGTAGCCAGCTGCCAACACGAAGTTGCCACTCAGTGAATTGGCGTCTCTTGCTGGTACAGGCTCACAATTGCCCCTTTTTCTATGGCCCCAGAGTTTTTGAAAAATTTTAGAACTACCTGTCTGCTTCCTAATGAGATCCCTACTCTTTTATGCTCAGAAGTTTTCTTGAACTTTGCTGGTTTGCAAACTAATGGAATGAAACAGAAAGGAGAGCAAATTAATTATGGCCTTTTGGCGATCATTAATTTGACCAACTACCCTTTGGAAAGGAAAGGCCAGTGCCTATTAGCTTTAGGGGCATCGCGTGCAAAGTCGAATATCAAAAAGCCACGGCAAAAAAGGGACTGCGTTCTAATCAAGGCAGGAAGATGCAATGTGTTCACAGAAATGCAGAGAGGCCCAGGAAAACGGGGCAGTGCCCATGATTCTACCACAGTCTCAGACACTTGCACTTTTTTCTTTTTTTTGAGACTGGATCTTGCCCTGACATCCAGGCTGGAGTGCAGTGGTGCGATCTCAGCTCGCTGCATGCAACCTCTACCTCCTGGGTTCAAGTGAGACCCTTGCACTTTCTAAGTGGCATTGTAAGGCCCTGTGCTGAGGACAGGTCGCGACCCACAGCTGAAGATGTCTCATGTCTACAGAGAGGAAGCCCTCGTGGGATTCCCATACACCTCCTGGACTCCTTTCTTTCTTTTATTTTTTCCTTTTTTTTTTTTTTTTTTTTGATACAGGGTCTCGCTTTGTTGCCCAGGCTGGAGTGCCGTGGTGCAATCATGGCTCACTGTAAGCCTTGACCTCCTGGGATCAAGCGATCCTCCCATCTCAGCCTCCCAAGTAGCTGGGACTGCAGGTGTGTGCAACCATGGCTGTCTAATTTAATTTTTTTTTTTTTTTGTAGAGATGAGGTCTCACTATGTTGCCCAGGCTGGTCTCGAATTCCTGGGCTCAAGAGATTCTCCCACCATGGCCTCTCTAAGTGCTGGGATTACAGGTGTGAGCCACTGTACCCAGCTTGGATTCCTTTCTCTGAATCCTTTCCTCAGAGTAAGAAGGGAGGCATGAGAAGTGTCCCTGTTCCACGGAAGATGGAGCGGGTCCCACGTGAATGAGCACCTCCCTACAGCATCCACACTTTCGCCTGCGCACACAAGGTGGGCTTCGCTCTCTGATCTTCTGCTCGTCTGACACGTGAACTGCAACCCTGGCACCTAGCACCTGTACACAGGGGCCGTGCAATACACATTTGGTGTTCAGGACTTCCACACCCAAGGGCTAGACTCACTGGCCAAATTGACAGATGTAGAATCCATGCTTAGAAGGGTCAAGTTACTGGCCCAAGGCCACCAATTTAGGAGCATACCAGAAACCTGAGCCTGGCATTCTCACTCCATTCCAGTCGGCAGATATTTATTGAGCACCTGCTGTGTGTGAGGGCCTAGAGCAGCATGCAAGACAGATGCTGCCCCTGCCCTGCAGAAGCTGACACTTGGGGAGACAGATGATAAGAGAGTTACCAGCAGTGTGCGGGGAGATCAGAAGGACGGGGCAGAGTTGGGGGAGGAAGGGACAGGGCGTGCACACTTTTATCCTGAGTGGTCAGGGACGGCCCGGTTAGTAAGCTCACTTCCTGGAGGAAGTCAGAGAGTGAGCCACGTGGCTTTCTGGAGGAAGAATGTTCCAGGTGGAGAAAGCAGCCCAGAGGCCAAGAGGTTGAACATGTGGGGAAGGGCCGGGCGATCTGCTGACCCAGTGGCTTCTTGCACCCGACCATCGAGGTGCCCTCTCCTGCCCTTCCCAGGGCAGATCCAACCGCAGCAGCTGCCCATGACAGGGATGGAGAAGCATCCCTGGCACCCTTCATTCTCAGCTGAGGCTCCTCCTCTAAGCACCATGACCTGGGCCTGGGGCCGGGCTGTGGAAACCAACCTGCTGCCGCCAATGTTTTCTTTCACTCACCTGTGTGGTTGCAGAGTCAATTTCATCTTGACACTGTAGGTCAAGTGTTACCCTGAGACGGGTTTGGGGACGTGAAACGTTGACTGAGGGGGGTTTGGTTCTGGCCTTCATGCTGTCATGCCCCTGCTGGGTGAGCCAAGCATGTTTCCAGGCCTTGGACATGGATGCCGTCAAATGCACGGATGAACTAGAAGGTATCCATAGTCCCTGCTGAGTGCGTGGGGTGGCGGGGAGGAGAGAGCGACCACGTTCTTCCAGTAGAACACCACTCACCACTCACTGAACCCAACACGCTACACCTGACATCAAGGCATGAGCCATAAAAGGGAAAATGGGTAAACTGGACCTTGTCAGAACCGAACACATCTCCTCTGTGAGGAGGAGGAAAAGGCAAGCCAAGGACTGGAAGAAAATACTTGCAAATCACAAAACTGACAAAGGACTTGTATCTCAAATATGGGAAGGGCTCTCAAAATTCACCATAAAAAAATCAATTAGAAAATAGGCAAATGATGGCCGGGCGCAGTGGCTTATGCTGGTAATCCCAGCACTTTGGGAGGCCAAGGTGGGTGGATCACTTAAGGTCAGGAGTTCGAGACCAGCCTGGTCAACATTGTGAAACCCTGTCTCTATTAAAAATACAAAAAATTAGCAGGGTGTGGTGGTGCATGCCTGTAGTCCCAGCTACTTGGAAGGCTGAGGCAGGAGAATCGCTTGAACACGGGAGGCCAAGGTTGCAGTGAGCTGAGACTGCACCACTGCACTCCAGCCTGGGCGACAGAGTAAGACTCTGTCTTGAAAAAAAAAATGGCAAAAGACACGCAGAGACATTTTGCTTAAGACACCAGATGGTAAATAAGCACACAAAAAGATCTTCAACATTATTAGCCAATAGAGAAATGCAAATAAAAGACACAAGACATCACTACATACCTATCAGAATGGTTAACGGAAGAAATATTGACAACGCCAAACGCTGGTGATACTGCAGAGAAACTGGATCACTCACACTGCTGGCAGGAATGGAAATGACTGCAGCCACTCTGGAAAATAGTTTGTTCCTTAAAACTAAAAATGGACTTACCATACGACCCAGCAACAAGATTCAAAGGCTTATATATAAAGGCACAGAAATGAAACTGATTTTCATGCAGTAACTTGTACGTGAATGCTCAGAGCAGCTTTGTTTGTAATAGCCCCAAGCTGGAAACTACCCAAATGTCCTCCAATGGATAAGTAGTTAAACAAAGTGTGGTACATGTACAGCATGGCACACTACTCAGCCATGAAAAGGAATGGACTGTACATACTGGTAGGTGGAACAACTTGAATGACTCTCAAGGAAATGATGGTAAGTAAAAAAAGCCAATCTCAGAAGGACACATACTGTGTGAGTCCATGTATATAACACTGGTGAACTGAAATACTTACAGAGATGGTGAACTGAAATACTTACAGAGATGGTGAACAGATGGGTGGCTGCCAGCGGTTAGGCGAGGGAAGAGGAGGTGTGTGTGGCTAGAGAGGGGTAGGATGGGGAGTCGTAAGGATGGTACCGTTAGTCATCTCGGTTGTGGTGGTGATGGTGGTTCCACAGAGCTACACATGTGATATAATTGTACAGAGCACCAGCCTGGGCAACATGGCAAGACCTGGTCTCTACAAAAAATGCAAAAATTAGCTGGGCATGGTGGTGTGCGCCTACAGTCCCAGCTACTTGGGAGGCCGAGGTGGGAGGATCACTTGAGCCTGGGAGGTTGAGGCTGCAGTCAGCCGGGATTGCACCACTGCACTCCAGCCTGGGTGACAGAGGAGAGCATCTCAAAAAAAAAAAGATATATATATATATAGCATAGCGCCATACACTCACACATACACACGAGTGCATGTCTAGCTGGTAAAACTGGAATAACCTCTGCTTCACCCTGATGTCAGTCCCCTGGTTTTGATACTGTACTTTAGTTATGCAAGATGTTAATATCGGAGGAAGCTGGATGAGGGGTACATGGAGCCTCCCTATATGTTTCTTTGCAACTTCCTGTGAATCTATAATTATTTCAAAATAAAAAGTGAAAAAATCCAACAGGAGATTAATTGGGTAAGTATGGTATGCATTATGGTATGCAACCAAATAGAGGAATACCCTTGTAACATAAAACCCAAGGATGGACACAACAAAGAAATAAACAAGCTGCTAAGGACAGCACCACTGATACACACTCCCGGAGACTGGAAGAGGCTCAGCACATGTTGTGTGGTGGAGGCTGCTGTTCATCCATCAGAAAGGGGTCTCCCCTCGGCCAGAGTGAGGGTCGCAGATGGCTCCATGGCTGCCCAGTTAGAGACTGCATTTCCCAGCAGCCCTGGCAGCTGGGTATGCTGTGTGACGAAGTTTCTGCTAATGAAATTCAAGAGGAACTGACGTGGGCCAGTGCTGGGTCTGGGACTTAAAACACTGGCACGTGCTCCTCACGTGCCTTCCCCTTTCTGCAGACTTGGAAGGTGCCTGTGACAATGTCCTAAGATGGGAGAGCAGGATTCCCAAATGACTGCGTGGAGCACAGCTGTCCACTCCCTGGTGGGGCTCTTAAGTGGAGGAGAAACGTGTCTGCTGTCTTTAAGCCACTGCATTTTTGGACCTCTGTGCTATAGAACCTTAGCCTTTGCTAAAATGGGAAAAAGGTTTCAAAATAGTACACAGTCTGATCTCATCTTTCTGCAAAAACAACAACAACAAACCACAACAACAACAACAACAACACGTCCATAGGAGGGTCTGGAAAGGTGAGCACCAAAGTGCTCCAGTGATGAGCTCCTGCTGGTGGGAATCATGGGTATTATTTCCTTTGCTTCGCTTATTCACATTACCTCATTTCCTACAAAAGGAACATATGGATTCCTTTTGTAATTAAGAAAGCAAGCCTATGATGCCGATGAGAGCCAAGGCTGAGATGAGTAACGCATTAAGTAACAGTCCATCCCACCCGAGTGCAGGGTGTGAGCACGGCGGGTGCTGACGATCGCTTGCTGCCGTCCCGGGCTGGCTCTCCAGCTTGTGGCCTCAGTTTCCTCTCCCTGTCCCCCTGGCCTCAGCCCCTCCCTTGTCCCTTCTTCCCTGGAGGCATAGGTCATTGTCTCTATCAAGCCCGAGAGGAGCACGCTGCAGATGAAGCCGCTGCCAGCAGGACCTGCCTGTTCCCTTAGCGCCAAACTGCGGCTCACACCGAGGACAGTCAATCTGCAGCTGAAATTTCAAACTCAATTAGCACCGAGACAGGCTGGAGCTGCTCCTGAGTAACTAATCATCGCACAGCTGCCAAGTGCTCTACCTGGGATGTGCTGTGAACCTCAAGGTTTAGCTCTTCAAGTACTAATAACAGGGCACAGGCAGCCTGCAATTTAAAATTCAACTTGAAAGTGAGTTTCTGAAGTTCCTTTCCCCGGATGTAAGGACCCGGCTGGGAAGGAGAGTGGGGGAGGGATGGCAGAGACTGGGGAAAGAGGCCGCCTGCGTGTCCTAGAGAGTGAAGCCTAATTATCCGCTGCCTCTTGTCCACAATCTTGGACGTGCAGATCATTCGGCCTTGAGTGGACTCAGCAGGTGAGCAGGTGGAATGGGGCTGGCCCACCCTGTCCCATCAGGCCCGGAACCATGAGGCTCCCCATCATCTTCCACATGCTGCTGGAGATGTGGAGGCTGGGGGCACAGATGAGAAGGGCACCTTGTCCTTTTCTGTCTTCTACCCACAGACCTGATGGCCGAACAGTGCCTCCCGTCAGGTTTGCAGGGGCTCCAGATCTTGTGAGAATCCTGGTGTCGTCCCTGCCCCTCCCAATTCCAGTGCCCTTAAAAGGCTCTCGATGTAGCAGCAGGCCCACACTCTGACACCCTAAATGCAATGGTGAGTTTGCACATTAACACGGAAAGATCAGCCTTTCATGCAGTCAGTGGTGGGAAGTGGAAAAACATCACTCTGTACCAAAAGGCCAATTCCCAATTTAGTTCAGAAAAAAAAAATCTGGACCACCTTTCATAGACCTCCTCGCTCCATTCTGTCAGTTCCTACTGGGCACCCGGGGGATTCACCGTAACCCGGCCAGCAGACAGTGTGGGGTAATGGCGTCCCGGCCTCTGGTGGCCACGGGAAGCATTGGCAAGACGGGGTAACCCGGCCAGCAGACAGCGTGGGGTAACGGCGTCCCGGCCTCTGGTGGCCATGGGAAGCATTGACAAGACAGAGGGGTCAAGTTCTGGCTGAGGGTTCTGGCTTAGGCCACGTTCGATGCGGCACACTCGGGCACGGCAGGGCCAGTCCCTTGCTGCTGAGGAGCCCCAGAGCTCGGCCGTGGCCAGCCTGGCAGCCAGCCCCTCCGTGTGCTGCTGTGTGAACCCCTCTGCTTGGCTTCTCATCTATAAAACAGGGAAAACACCACACCCCCCCCCCACCCCACTCCGGGGATTACATTAGCCGACAGCGTAGGGGGCCTGGCAAGCAGAGGGGCTGCACTGCAGGAGCCCTAATTAAGTCCCATAAAATACCTTGTAGGTCGGGCCTAGAGGTCCCTCTTGGATAGTCTATTTCTAATTGAAAAAAATTCTTTTGTAGAGATGGGGTCTTGCTATGTTGCCCAGGCTGGTCCTGAACTCCTGGATTCAAGCCATTTTCCCACCTCAGCCTCCCAGAGTGCTGGGGTTATCGGTGTGAGCCACTGCACCTGGCCCACCCTTGGACAGTCTAGCTCATGTTTTGCCCCTGGTGAACCAGCACCCATCAATGGCCACGTTCCTTTCAGTGACAGGCACCAAAGGATGGCTCTGAGGCCTGGTGACCATCCTCACAGCAGCGGCGTCTCTGGCTTCCCTCGCAGTCCACCATCTTAGAACTGACCCCAACTCACCTTGGTCTCTATTTGTGTCAACTTCAGGTCAGTGCATTCTGTTTCAGTGGGAGACACACAAAGCCGGCCTCCCTCAGGTTCATCTCCTGGAGTACCCAGCTTTTGAGTGTTTGGCAAATGAACCCATCACCCTTTCAGCCCCTCTCCCCTTTCTGGATCTCAAATATACTCCCGTTCAGCCTTGATTGAAGGTTGAGAATGTCAGAGATGGGAAGACCTTAAAGGCTAGCTGCTCAGGCTCGTTTTCCTCCAAACTTCCCTTTTTTGGGGGGGGCAGGGGACGAGATCTCACTCACTCTGTCACCTAGGCTGGAGTGCGGTGGTGCAATCTTGGCTCACTGCAACCTCTGCCTCCTGGGTTCAAGCAATTCTCCTGCCTCAGCCTCCTGAGTAGCTGGGACTACAGGCACATGCCACCATGCCTGGCTTTTTTTTTTTTTTAGTACAGACAGGGTTTCATCATGTTGGTCAGTCTGGCCTCGAACTCCTGACCTTCAGTGATCCACCCGCCTCGGCCTTCCAAAGTGTTGGGATTACAGGCGTGAGTGAGCCACTGCGCCCGGCCTCAACCTCCCTCTTTAATTAGGGACTGTCAAAAAGCAGGAAAACAGAACAGCAGGCAACACGCGCATCCCCACTGCGTAGCCTCCCTGTGACCAATGCACAGCCGATCTGTTCCATCTCTAAGCCCCCAGCCCCTCCACCATCACTGAATCACCAGCCTTGTGCCTCACGGATGAGGGCATGGGGTTCTCAGATGAAGCCACTTCTCTAGGCTCCTGCCACCGCTAGCAGAAGGCTGGGATGCAGGCCTGGGCAGTGCGTCCGCCCCCCGCCACCTGCCCACATCCTTCACACTTTCTGTCATAGCCACTCTTCCTGTGCTATTATTTATTTAATGTTTTTCTTTAACAGTCACACTTTTTCACCTAAATAAATTTATTTTAAATGGACACTTTGTATCACCCCTGTAAATGGGAAACTGCCATCATTTGCGATAAACAGAAGGTTTCTCTGAGGACGACACAGAGAAGACAAAACCAGCGCATTTAGTTCCAAGTAGAAACAGCGCCTGCCTGAGGCTGTCAACTCAAGGCTCCTCTCTCTTTTGAAAACAGAGACTGGCGGGAATTGGAGCGACCTTTAGTGCCCAATGGGGATGTTCTCAGACTTGCTGCAAATTGGGAGGATTCAAACAGTTAAAAACCCAGATCACTTTCTCACAATGAGATTTACCAGGACCACAAATCCATCAATCCTCAGATAGATGCTTTTCCCCATTTGAACGTCTCTGGCGTGTGCCGTCTGCCAGCTGGCAGTCACGACGTGCGTGCCACTATCTGCACATGCTCCAACTTGGTCATAGCTGGTCATACTGTCGTCACTTCGCATGAGCTGTGCACAACGTTCATACTGCACGGGGTCAGTTTACTTGCCTTTTAAATGTCTCTGGAAAGATGTGCGGCACTGAGACAAACTGTTATTATGTACCCGATATCCTCAATTCCATCTTTTCTTGCAATGCAAGAAAGAAACAAGTGTCTTACAAGACCAAAGAAAGGATACAGCAAGTCAATGAAGCTGTGTGCTGGTCTGTTACTGGGAGTTGGGTAAAGGGATCGCCTATCACAGGCTAAACAATAAGACTTAAGGCAGGAGAAATGACTGCTCCCTTGGAATAGATGAAAGAAACGTCAAAGCAATGAAAGGCTGGTGTGACGGATTCACGTGTCACACAGGATTATCAAGACCAGGGTTTAATTGGCAGCATGTTTTTCTTTATTAGTGGTTAGTAATGATGTATCTTAGGAGCACTGGCATCTTGAATTTGACAAAGTAGGTGTGGCGTTTAATCTACAGCCACCCCTGGTCTGGAAAAGTCCTGCCTTACCCTGTGTGCCCCTCCCACTTCCCCGAGTGGGCCATCAAAGCACGACCATTCCTCCTGGGCAGAGGCCTTAGGTGCCAGGGCACGTGACAGTCACCTGAGGGCTGCTAAAGATCAGGTTGCTGGACCCCACCCCAGAGCATGTGTAATTCTTTCTTTTTTTGAGATAGGGTCTTGTTCTGTCTCCTAGGCTGGAGTGCAGAGGTGTAGCCTCGACCTCCCACGCTCAAGCGATCCTCCCACCTCAGCCTCCCGAGTAGCTGGGACTACAGTCGCACACCACCACGCCTGGCTAATTTTTTCGGTATTTTTTTGTAGAGATGGGGCTTTGCCATGTTGCCCAGGCTGGTCTTGCACTCCTGGGCTCAAGTAATCCACCTGTCTTGGCCTCCCAAGTGCTGGGATTACAGGTGTGAGCCACCGCACCCCGCCTGGGGATGTGTATTTCTAGTAAGCGTCCACGGTGGCAGTGCTGCAGGTGGGATGCCACGTGGGCAGGCACTGTCCTAGAGCCCTCAGCACGAAACCCTCTCCATTCTCTGGCTCTTTTCGGCCAGGGGTGGCGGGGGGAAGGCTGGTGGTACCAGAAGCCAGGGAGGACCCACTGGTTCTTTTGGACATCTCAGAAGGTGTCATCTCTCTTGACGCTTTGTTCACGGCAAAGAGAACATTGTTCTAGCATGGGCCTGGCCAGGCTGGCTCTGGGCGATGCCACCACCCTCCTCAAGCCCTTCGCCAGGTCAACGATCTTCACAGAAACAGGCCATGTCTTTAAAAGTTGGTGCTGAGGCACTGAACAAAGTCGGGAGATGGGGCTGGGATCGAGTCATGGTAATATTTAGGACAAAACCTGGGGCCCACAAGCCGACACCCCTGCGAGTCCTGCTCACACGCATCTGGCCGGCTAACCCGGGCAGGTTCCTTTCCCTCTGGGGTATGCGTGTGACTGGTTTAGTAAAAAGAAACTTCTGCATGTTCTTTTTCTCAAAAGGAATCATTCATTTTTCAAGCCATCACAGCGTCTCTGAAATAGAGGATCTGCCAGCACTGCCCTCTCGCCCGCAAGCAGGACGCAGGGCAGTACGTGCTCAAAAAGAACCACCCTGTGAACATGGGACGTGCTGGTTTCTGCTTCTTCAAGAGGCCCAGGTCCATTATGTGTTCATGAACTGAATGTGTAGTACTTATAAGGTGCTGTAACAAACAGGAGACAAAGCCTTATCCAGGATACAAAAGGTTTATTGCTTATAAAAATAAGTTACCAAAACCCAAGCCCCACAAAACACAAGAACCCCGCATGACGATACCCATGAACACAAGGGCTCATTCCAGTAACAGCTCGCGGAGACGACAGACACCAGCACTGCCGACACACATGGACGAGGAGCATGCTGCACAGCTTCCTTCTACCAGGTTCTAGAAAGGTCTTCTTTGCCTTCAGTCCGCTGGCTAGTGGGAATAATTAGTCCCATCAGCCACAGAGGGAGTCTGCTCTTCAAGAGTGGCCTCTGCACACATGGCGCTGCTTTATGAAAGGGAGGAGCAGCTGTACACATCTGGGCAGTGAGGAACCAGCTGAGCCTTCTGTGGGCTTCCTGCGTGTCTGGGAAGGTGCTGGGTGGGGTCTGAGGCTGGGGCCAGCGTGGGGGCTACTGCCGGCAGGTGTCATGGAAGGCTTCGAGGGTTCGGAAATCCCTCCATGTCGGGGGAAGGCCGTCCTGCAGAAACTTCCCGCAGCGCTGGCACGGGGCCTGGAACAGCTTTATGTAACTTCTTAACCAGGTCTAAAAAGAGAAACGAGGAGAGAAGTGAAAGAATGGGATACGGGTGCTCCCAAAGTCCTCCTTCCTATCAAGCCTAATGGCCCAGACAACTTAAGTTGGCTTTGGCCCCAGAAGATGCCCTGTGATTTCACAGGGAGCAGCAGGCGGAACCCACAAGGTCACCTGACTGCTGATGTTCACGTCTGATGCTCGCGTGCCCCTCCTAACCGAAGGAGTTTTGAAAACAGAAACCCCTACTCTCAAAAGCAGGAAGGCCTCCCTGGAGTCCCCGTGAACCACCGAGCAGCCTGGTGGTCTGGGGGCCAGCACCCCACTTTCACTTTCTGGGTCCCATGTCTTCTGAATGTCAGTATCCATCCTCTTCTCCTTGCCCACTACTAAGAGGTGGCTGTGCATGTGTGCTGAGGAAGCCTTGGAACCGAGGACAATTCCAGAGTTCTCCGCGGAGGTCAACATGCCTTCTAGCTAATCTGATTTCAGAGGTTGTCACTCATTGTCACAGTGTGGCCTGACATACTGGGGGGAGGGGTGGGGACAGCCCTGGTGCCACCAAATAACATCATAAGCAGCAAATCCACACTTGAATGGTTCAGAGTGCAGAGCTTTCTTGGGCGTCATACATAAGGATGAGCCTCCCGTAACTCAATTCTCAAACACAAGGAGATTCACTACCAAAGAAAAAAATACCCAAACGTAAAACAGCAGGCAAGCAAGTTCTCGCGGTGAAAGGGCACGTGAATCTTGTCATTTAATGTCCTCCTGAATTAAGAGAAAACTGTTATTTGAAGAGGTTGGCCGAGCTTATTGATACACATTCTTCCATCTTCACCACAGCTGCCTTCATGGTGACAGGGCATGGCCCATCAGTACTGTCCCCCTTTCCAAAGGCCAGGTGTTTGGGGGTTTTGGCAATAAACACGAGGTCAAGAGGTCCTTCAGTTAAACTACTTATTTTTCCCTAAGTAGAAGAAGTTCTGTCTCTGCCACAAATAGTACTCATGTCTGTGCCTCAAATCAATCAATCAACAGATTCGTATTAATTAGCTGGTGTGGGCTGAGCACAGTGCTGAGTGCTGTGACAGATGTAAATGGTTCTTTTTTTTTTTTTTTTTTTTTATGAGACCACATCTCGCTCTGACACCCAGGCTGGAGCGCAGTGGTGCAATCGATCATAGCTCACTGTAACCTTGAACTCCTGGGCTCAAGCGATCCTCCCGCTTCAGCCTCCTGAGTGGAGTCACTGGGATTCAAATCTTCCCTAAATCCCACAGTCAGTTACCAAAGGGAAAGGGGGCATTACAACGTGTTAGGCTCAAAAGCAAGTCTTTATATCTATCTGAAATTGGAGCTCTTGCTGAAGATGGTCAGGGGAACTGTTCCCTGGACACACAGAAGGACCACTCTGTGGGAGCTCTGAGCACCTGGCTGTGTTGTGCCCACTCTGCCAGCATCATGAAGCCAATCAACGCACCAGGGATGTGTCTTCTGAGGAATGAACTCCAGGCTCTCTGAGCAGTGGCACTGTTGATGCCATGTGATAAGATGCACACTGATTTGGCCTTGCTAACAGGTCTTTGGAGTCGGTTCTCTAACCGGCAGACTTTCTAGCATGAAGAAAACAGGGAGTCCCAGCAGCGGTGGATGATGGGGTCTGCTGGCGTGAGAGCATGCGGCCGTGTGAGCATGCTGGCGTGAGAGCATGACGGTGGAACAGCTGGCGGCTACGTCTGTCAAGGACGCGGGGACATGGTGTTAGCCCTGCTTAGGCCAACTGGTGGCGGCGTGATAAATGCTGATAAACTGGCCCTGGGGTTCGGGGGAAGTCCTGACTTGCAGTGTTTGCCGATTTCCGTGGTGTCAACACTCCCACCAAGTTTGATTTCAAACTAGTAGTGGTTGAAGAACCAGCTCGCAAGATACTGAACAGGCACTGGCAGGAGCCGGCTGCAGCACCCCATTGGAATGGCTGCTTTGGGGCTGCTATCATCTCGAGCTCCAACTCCGAAAATCGAAGGAGGAAACGTCTTGGGAAACTGCACGATCTGTTAATTCACTGCTACATGCTCTGTGCCAACCACAGGGCCTGGCCCAGATTAGGAGCTCAATGAAATATCTGTGGACTAAGTCAATGCTGGAACTATTTTGGAAGATCATTTCTGAAACCACCGCTTTTTCAGCAAGTAGAGAAAGCACCAGTGAATGAAGCTGGAAGTGGTTTCTCCCAGATCCCTTCGCAGTTTAAAGAAAGTAGCAGTTTTAAACTGGCAGCCCCATCTCCCACTGGGAGGCCCTCAAAGTCTGAAGATGCAACGGCTGCCCTTCAAGCTCCCTGTTCTCACTTGAAGGGAGCTGAGGTTTAAACAGGAGACCTGACTCTTGAAGCCACTTACCATGAAGGATCGGACCACGACATCCGGCATCTGGGGCAGCTGATAGTGGAGCAGGGCAGTGGTGGCATGGTCTGTCACCTGAGAGTGAAGGACAAAGACGAGTTAGCGGCCACTCCAAGCTGGCATAGAGAAAACAAGCAGGACAAATGCACGCCTTCTGTGTGAAAACAGATCTGAGTATCTCGTGGAGGAAAGGGCATCTAAAATAAAATCTCTGTAGAAAAATTAGTTAGCAGAGTTGGGGACCCAGAGGGGGAGAAGAGGCATGCTGTCGGCAGAAAGGATGCAGGCCTGGAGGCAGGGGGCGTGTGGAAGATTCCAGCAACGGAAAGCCTGGCCAGGCTGGAGCACTGGCAGAGGGAGCGGCCAGAGGCCAGTGGGGGCAGATCCCAGAGGGGATCCCAAGCCTCCCTGCTCAGCAAGGCGCGGCACACACAGCACATACGACAAGGAGCACTTCCGCCCGGTACGCACACTTCCTCTTCCTCCTGCGATGGTTTTCCCAACAGGGCAATTGGTCTCTTTCCATTTCCTTGAATTCTCATTCTGTCACCATTTGTAGCCACACAGGATTTATGATGGGGAGCCTGGCAGTTTCTGAGCCACACAGGATTTATGATGGGGAGCCTGGCAGTTTCTGAGGCTGTTCTGTTGGGCCTCACCGTTGCTAGGATGGCCCTTCGCAGGAGCCCGGCGCGCCTGGTGTGGTCCCCTCACCAGCTCTCTGAAGGCTGTGGCCTATGGTCAGCACCTTAGGGGTCTGTGCCTATTGTCTCCTGACTCCTCAGGAGAAGTTTATCAGCAAGGCCAAGGGCAAGGCTGCTTGAAGTCCAGTGAAGGCATCAGGTGACCAGATGGACAGAGCACAGGGTTTAAGCTCCAGCACCACCCCCTGACCTGGATCCAGCTCCTTATCCTCTCTGCGTCTCCATGCCCCTTCCAAGGAGCAAAGGGGCTGGCCTCAGAACCCTGGTGGTTCTGAAACTGGATGACACTGTGAATTGTTAATGCCCGCCGTCAATCAGCATATGAGTAGATTATACCTAATTTGATAGTTATGTTCAAAGTAATGGTTTACATGATTGTCCTCATTAGGGATTCTTGACATCGCACATGTCATCATTAAAAACAAAACAGGCCAGGTGCGGTGCCTCATGCCTGTAATCCCAGACCTTTGGGAGGCTGAGTCAGGGGGGATCACTTGGGCCCAGGAGTTCAAGACCAGCCTGGACAATAGAGCAAGACCCCGCCTCTATAGAAAATACAAAAAATTAGCTGGCTGTGATGCCACACACCTATAGTCCCAGCTACTCAGGAGGCTGAGATGGGAGGATCATCCGAGCCTGGGAAGTTGAGGCTACAGTGAACTGTGACTGTGCCACTGCACTCCAGCCTGGGCGACAGAGACCTGTCTCAAACAAAACAAAATGAAAAAACCACACCTAAAATAAAAAACCCAAAAAACTCCAGAGAAAATCCTTAGCTTTGAGAAGAATGAACATAGGTCTAACTTGTGTAGACGTGTTCATTTTCTAACCCCCAATGAACACTGTGTATGTGGCTGAACCCATGCAGGCGCAGAGCAAGCTGGGCAGGTGGAGACCAGGGTCCGCGCCCCGCACGGTGATGTGTGTCCACACCTGCAGCTGGAGAGGCTGCCCCACAAAACGTGAGGACGCCGGCTCTGCAGCCAGGCAAGCCGGGGCCCGGCCCCTGGCCTCTTATGGGGGCCTCTCTAAGCCTCAGTTTCCCCTTCCATAAAATGGAGACTGTACTGCATACTGAGTAAGGCTCGTGAGAGGACAGAGTGAGGCCAGGCGTGGGAAGCACTCACTCTCTGGCAATGCCACCAGCCCCGCCTGCCCAGTCTCCTCTTCTGCTCTGCCTGGGCCCTGGACTTGCCCTATTTCCCACTGGACTTTCACGGCCTGCCCCATACTGCATCCCCAAGGCCTTAGGATATTACCCTGCATACAGCAGGTGCCCAATACATATTTGCTGAATAAAGAAGTAAACTTAAAAACGCCCACCCACCAAAGGCCATGTACCATAAACACCTGCGCTTTCTTGCAAATACATCAACGGTTCTTGTAGCCAACACTGTTGAGAAATTCTTACCCAAGTGGCTTTCAAGATAAATGGTACTTATTCCTTCGAATGCCAAGACTGCTTTTATTTTAAGCATTTTTGACAGACAGCTTTCTAAAATGAGCAATGTTTTTTTTTCTTTTAAACAGTAGTAATGATAACTTTGCAAAATGACTGGTGGTAATTGGCGGGGGGACATTAATGGCTACGAAACACAGCAAAGCAAACTGGGCTCGAACGGTCCCCGAACTTGAACGCTTGGTTCTTGCCCATCTAGCTCCCTTGCTAAGAAAACCTGTGAAAGTGTCATTTTACAGGCTGACAAGATGTTTTTTGCAATTATACTTGCCATTACAGAAGAACCAAAGTTTCTGGAGAATTCTTTCCCCTCACCCCCTTTATTTTTAAAATGTCTCCAGTGTAGCCCCTGTTGGAATAGCCGAGGCAGCTGGGCTGGCTTTGTTTGCTCCGGCCCTGCTGTTCCGTAGCTCCGTGTGTGACACCTTCCCTGCGATAGGAACGTCAGTCCCTGGGATCCCCTGGGTGAGACCACCTCCATCCATTTCAGCCTTTCAGCAGCCATGTGCAGGCAGAGAGGCTTTGTCTGGCTGCACTTTTATTTCTTTTGTTTTCACATTTTTAAACACAAATGACCAACACTTAAAATTTAGGAAACTTCACTTAACTGTGGTGCCCAGCTCCTCTTGAAGCATCGGAGGATCTGGGGACCATCTCATAGGCTACTGTGAAGATCAAAGGGGGCCCAGCTTCTCCTCATCTCTGTGAGTGTGACCCTGGCACTGCCACGTGGCCACCAGCTGCAGCAGCTGAGGAGCGGTGACACGTGCAGTTTGCCTGAGCACCCTAGGGTCTTGGATCCAGCCTACTCCACTCATCAGGGGCCCTGTGGCCTTTGGAGTTTAGAGCCTCTAACCAAACCAACAAGACCCTGCACTCCCAGGTTCCCCAAACCCTCCCCAGCCTGCTGTTCCCTGGGTACCTGGCCTGGCTTCCTGATCTTTATTTGAGCTCATCTTCCCTGGCCTGACAGATCTGTGCCCATCTCCTCCTCCCTTCCTCAGCTGACCTCTGGACTTGACCTCCTCTGGCTGAACTTGAGTTCTCCAAGCATTCCAAGACAACTCAGTACTGATAACTGCAAGGTGCTCTCTCCAGGCAAGGCGTCGTGCAAATTACAGGAACATCTCAAGTGGTCTTCCAGACCTGCACCTCCTCCAGCATTTTTGCTAAATGGCCTTTGACCCAGAGGCCTGAGCCAGAAACCTGGGCCCTGCCCTGTCGCCTCTCTTCCCCCTGCCTCATACCCAAGCAGCCTCGTGGTTCCAAGTTATCTATCTCAAATCCTTCTACTTCTTCCCATCTTGCCTGTCTCAACACGGCTCAGAGGGAACATTCTGCAGCAAAGAGGGAAAGAGCGTGGGCTCCATCCCTTCTAGCAGTGACGCCTTGGGCGAGGCACTTCATCTTTATTAGCTACAGTTTTCCCATCTGGAAAATGGGGATAATGACAGAGTGCCTACCACAGGGGATGACAGTGAGGGTGAAGTAGTGGGCAGAAGCGTGTGCTGGTCAGAAAACATGAGTGATTGCCATCGTTCAACTAGAAACCCAAGTATGTCACTCCCCTAAAACGCTCTCATGGCTTTCCCTGCACTCAGGATGAAATGCGAACTGTGAACTCCATGTGAAACCCTGCAGCACCCGGTGTCTGCCTCCTTTCCTCGGGTCCCTCAGCTCCTCAAATGCCCATCTCTGTCCTCCCTGAGTCCTCCCCTCAGCACGGGCCTCTGTCCTTTCCCCCTCTCCTTCGCGTGTTGAGGGAAGCCCCCCAGGCTCCCCCGATGGGGCTTGTCTCCTTGCCTGGCTCTCTTCTCCCATCTCAATCCTCATATCTGAACTTGGTATTTTTTGCCATGTTTGTTTCGTGTCAATTTCCCTACCTTGAGCCCATGTCAGTCTAGTGCCTGATGCAGAGGTCCTCAGGTCATGTGTGCAGACGGTGAGAAGGACCGCCATTCTGACTCTCTGCGGGGAGAGTGGCTCAGATGAGGTGGGTGGAGCCAGGGGCCTGAAAGGAGTGGGGACTGCGGGACAGGAGCTGAGGACCTGGGCTCTGGTCTACCTCTAAGGTGCTGGGGCATCTTGGACTTGCCCTCTGTGGTAGAAGTTACCAGCGGTCACTCATCCTTGAGTGACACAGCCCCGTCAAAACTCAGGATGGATATGTAATGTGAGGAAGAAATGAGCTTGAGTTGTGCAGAACTACAGGAGGTTTGTCACTCAGCATCCTCCTCCTCTCTGCAGACCAATCTGCCTCCTTGGATATTCACTGCACATCTAGGAAATGGGCCACCATGTTGGCCAGGTCTCCCAATCCCATTACAGTGGTGGCACAGCAAGTTCGAGCTGCGGCCAAGGAATTTTCCCCTTAAGAATGGTGCTGCTTGAAATGTTTGGGGACCAGCGGTGCTGGCACCATCTAGGAGTTGGTTAGAAATCTGCCCTCTTGGGCCCCTCTCTAGCCACAGCATTGGAATCTCCTGGGTGGGGCCCAGACACTAAGTCAGCCCCTCCAGGCTATTCCTAGGGATGCTAAAATGCATGAGAATGCGAGGCTGGTGAACACACAATCACTGGGGGTCTTTTGTCAGATTCTCATCTAGGAGCTCGGGGAGGGGTGGAGCGTTGGCACTGCCAGCTGACTCCCAGGGGTGCCCACACTGCTGGTTAGGGACTGGGCTTTGAGTGGCAAGGCTGGGGCATATCCCAGGCACTACAGGAGAATGGCCCCCAGAGGGCTGGGCATTTGATTCTGGGCCATGAAACAAAGAAATACAAATCAGAAGGACAGTCTGTCTTCTCATGAATCAAAATGAATGGTACCAGTTTCACAGTGGGCACTGTGGGGTGCCAGGGTGGAGGGTTTTCACAACGGGTGCTTGTGGAGTGGGGGTTTTTCCTTATTTCTGAAAAGTGCTTTTTTTAAAAGATCCATCGGATATTTTATTAACTTATAGTAGCTATTATTAATAAGAGCTTATTATGTGCCAAGTCCTATGTGCCCCTCTCATTTAATTCCCACACTAACTTGGAGATAGGTGCTTTTCTTTTTCTTCTTTTCTTTTGAGACAGGGTATTGCTCTGTCGCCTAGGCTGGAGGGCAGTGGCCCAATCTTAGCTCAGTGCAGCCTTGACCTCCTGGACTCAAGCAATCCTCCCACCTCAGCCTCCTGAGTTGCTGGGACTATAGGCTCACGCCACCCCGCCCAGCTAATTTTTTATTTTTGTAGAATCAGGGTCTCACTGTATTGCCCAGGCTGGTTTCCAACTCCTGGCTCAAGTGATTCTTCTGCCTCAGCCTGACAAAGTGCTGGGATTACAGGCGTGCGCCACTGCGCCCGGCCCACTATTCTGATTTACATTGGACAGAGGAGGAGTGAGGATGTCCAGAAGTTGGGAAGATGCACATAGTGGGTGAGGGCAGCAGTGTGGGAGCCCGAACACTGGGAGGCCCAGGCCTCTGCCCACCTCCTACCCACTGACTCCCATCCCCGCTCTCCCAGTTTGCAGATAAAGGTGCAGGCCCAGGGCTGTGGCCAGCAGCTGCCCGCCATCTCCCAGGGCAGGTAAGTCTTTGGGAAGCTACAGTTCCGACGCCAGGCACAGGCTGGGAGATTCACAAATGTGCCTGCTGTAGCACAGGCTGCTCAAGGGTAGCACGAACTGAATTCACTAGAAAGTGTCCTCTTCAGAGGCGGCGGGAGCCATGCGCCACAGCCCTGCTGGGCGTCTGGCTCACAGGCAAGGCACCTAATTAGTTTTTCCATTGCTGGTCGGCAATCTGGCCAAACTCAGCCTCTTTTTCAAAAAGTCCAGTATAAAGCATATATTCTCTTCCACTGCCAAGTGCTGGCAGCTTTTTCCAGCGCTGATGCAATCACTTGATTTCTTCAATTTCCCACCACCAATTACAGAAATATTTTAATAAAGGAAACAGAGCTGATGAACTCGCCATGTTTTCCCTCCTGTCCTCCCCAAGTCCTCCACTGCTGGTTTTGGAATTCCTCTGGGTGGCTGTGGAGCACAGGAGAACTTCACCTACAGTGATCTTCCGTCTTGTCAAAGCACTCCACCTTCAATATTTTTTTGTTTTACATTTTTCAACAACAAAGTTGTTTTTTTGCTCAGCATCCAAGACTTGGAAAAAACAGGCCTGGGGCAAAAAAAAAAAAAAAATCTGCTATTAACTAATTTAAATCCACTCTGTGGCAGCCGAGGTTCGGTCCCATTGTGCGGCAAAGCTAATGAGATTCCGCTGGGAGATAAAAGCCGCCCTCCCCCTTGGCGGAGGCCAGGAAGGGCACTAATGCTCCCAAGGAGAGGGAGGCGATTCACCCACCAGTGAGTGCAGGTTTGAAAAAAGGCTTGTAAAAACATCAAAGGGATGCAAGCCCAAGGAAAGGGAGGGAGGAGAAGGCAGGAGGGTAGCAATAAACCAGTGAGGCAGGGGTCCCTGAAGCAAGAGGAATGCGGGGATGGGGAGACAGGCCTCACAAAGAGGGGCAGAGGGTGATGCAGGGAGGGGTTTCACTGGGAGGCGCCTGGTTCACCCCAAGGCAGAGAAGTCTCAGATGCCTCATTTGGGGTGTGTCCCGTCTCAATGGTGACCTGCAGTGATTTACTTTGAGAAGGGTGACATCTCCATTGCCTGCCAACAGATCCAGTCCACTTGATCAATGTTCCTTTCAGTTTTCCCTACCCTCTCTCAGCATATCCAAACCCAGGAGAGAATGGAGCTTAGGGAGGGAGTAGGGACTCTTTCAAGAGACCTTGAAACAGCTGCCAGTCAACGTGCTGGAAAAGGAGATGCCAGTCAAAACAGTCTCCCAAAGCTCCTCTGCCATATTGTGTGCATGGAGCTCCTGACAGCCCCCCTCCTACAATCAGAGCTGGAGGGTGCTTTGGAGATCATGAGTTATTTTAGCTAAACCCAGAGTGGCACTGCTTGCAATAACAGCAACAACCCACATCGCCATTTACTGAGCACTAATCCTGTGCAAGAGCTGGTCTACGCTGCACAGCTCAGGGTGTGTGGCTCCTCCAACAGGAGCCCAGCCTCTGGATCTGTCCCTTGTGAGCTGTGTGACCTTGGGCGAGGATTAAATGGGCCGATGCAGGGACAGTGCACTGACATACAGACCTCAAGTGTACGACGCATGGCAAGCGCCCGCCAAATGTGTCCCCTCGTGGTTTTAGCCCGCTGAATCCCCACGATGACCTTATGACAGAGGTACTCTCACGTTTGGGACTTCTAAGTCAGGGGGCTAAGTCACAGGGAGGTTAAGTGACTTGCCCAAGCCAAGGAGCTGCTAGGTGGCACAGCAGGAGTTTGTTCCGACCTTCTGAACCCCAGCTTGAGTGCCCAGACTCTATGCCCCAAGCCTCATGGGCCCCCCACTCCAGGCCTCTTGGGGTGGACAGGGGTTGTGGGGGGATGAAGAAAAGTGCCATTTCCAGGCCCTCTCCTCCCCAGAAGGGACTGGACCTCAGCACTTTGAGGGTGGAGATGGGATTGGATAACAAGTCTCCTCACTTACACCCCAGTTCCTGTCACTTATACAATGTTCCTTCCACCTCTCAGCCAGAAGCTTCAACCTGTCTGGCTCCCTGCTATGTGCTGGCCCCAACCCTCCAAACGGTCTGACAGAGACACCGGTGGGCCCTCAAGAAGACCTCCAGATTGAATGAGTCTCCCTGCTGTGGACAAAGAAGGGGAAATCGGGCAAATACAAGGCGGCTGCATCAGGTGGGCATGCCCACACATTCATCGAGGGAATGAAAAAGTGTAGTGTGAGAAAAGGTGCAGGGCGGGGAGAGTGGGATGGTCCTACTGTGGACCCCAGATTCAGTGTGCATCCCACTGTGTGCCCGGGATTCAGTGTGCATCCTACTGTGAGCCCTGGATCCAGGTGTGCGTCCTGCTGTACGCCCCGGATTCGGTGCTCACCCTACCATACACCCCACATTCGGTATGCAGCACCCACACGCTTTTTCCTACTCAGGCCCTCTCCTGCGGTGGGGGCAAAGATAACAGGTTTAGGCCTAGCAAGATGATTTCTCACTTAAGCTTAACTCCCAGATTCCAGGTTTTATGTTGACCAGATAGAGGTTTGTTCTGTAGCAGTAAGGGAAGAATAAAGGACACTGTAATGACACAGAAAGGACTGGGGAGAAAAACCCTCTTAATACACTATTGTCCTCAGCAGTTTCCTCTTTAAAAAGCAAGGGCCTGTTGGGCTCCTTGAAGGGGAAAAGTTAAGAAGATGGCAATGCCAGTCACCAGCCTGGTACAGGAACAACGGCACCATTCACAGCAAGACCCTTGTCCTCTGTTTCAGGGGTGACCTTGTACTTGTCACCCATGCTGGAGTGTGGTGGTCTGATCACAGCACACCGCAGCCTCGAACTCCTGGGCGCAAGTGATCCTCCTGCCTCAGTCTCTCAAATAGCTGGGACTACAGACACACACCCCCACGCCTGGCTAGTTTTTTAATTTTTAGTAAAGACGAGGTCTTGCCATGTTGTCCAAGCTGGTCTTGAACTCCTAGGCTCAAATGATCCTCCTGCCTCCCAAAGTGCTGGGGTTATGGGCCAACCTTGCACCTCTTTCCTATCTTTTTTCCTCCGAATTTTCTGAATACTTTCAACTTGGGGTATTTGATTTGATTTAAATGGAAACTTACAGTTCCTGCCAGGCATTCTAAAACAGGGGCCCTTGTATTTCTCAGTGATCCAGGGATTGTCCTCAGGGGCTCCCGAGTGCCCAAAGGTCATGGGCATCATCTGGCCCCAGGGGGCATGCTCCTGGGCCGGAGTGGAGGCTGGCGACGCAGCATGCAGGTGAGGAACAGACGCTGGAGGCTGACTGCTGGGAACCGCCTTCCAGCTCCTGGCTGGTGGACCAGGCTGGGGACCAGGACCCAGGAGTTCACAGGCTCCCTGAGATGATTTTGGGTGCAGGTTCAAGGGCCGCTGCGGGCCACTGCCTGCTTCCCACCACCAGGGGACAGGACTGTGGCCGAGCAGCGCCTGGGGGAGCTGAGCTTGAACAGAGACGCTCTTCCTAACGCACCTGCTGAGGGCATTATCTGCCAGCACACAGCCCCCGAGGCCAAGCTAGAAGAGCGGGCGCCTCTACTATTCGGAGTATTTCCTCACAAGATTAGTAAACAGGGAAAGTTAAGTACTCAAGTGTTTAGAAGTTGCTTATTTAAAAGAGAAGCCTGGTAGGGACCCAGACTGTGGCTTCCCTCCAGCCAATATCGGCTTCTACGTACTGTGAAGAGAAGATTCTCTTAGATCTGGGTGAAAGTGACAAAAAGGCAGACAGAGGGGAACCGTAAGGAGACCGGGGTTTGACCCTAGCTTAGTGGCGAATGGCCTGGGGGGCCTCTTCCCTGCTGGCCCTCGGTAGAAGAGCGTGGGGAGGCTGGGGTGGGGCTGGGTGATTCTGCAGGCCCCTCTAGGTCTAGGTTTTCAGCAGATGCTGCTGCAGAGCCTGAGCTGTCCTAGTTATCTCCTGGCAGCATGTGCACACTGTGCCCTGAAGTTCCTGCCCCAATCCAGGAACCCACCTGCTGCCCTGATGCGATGGCACCCTCAGGTGGGCCTCAGATTCCAGGCCAGTTCAAAGAGCTTGAGGATTCAGCTTGGAACCAGGGAGGCCACCTGCACAGCACTGTCCTCTGTGTGGGAAGCCTCTGTGCCGCTCAGCCAGACTTTGGAGCACTCAAGTAGCAGGCAGCAAAGCCAAACGTGTGCTAGGCACAGGTGCCCAGGCAGTTCCCACGATGCAGAGATCAGAATGGACTTTCATTGGGTAGATGTATTTTAATGTTACACAAGGAGATCAGCCCAAGAGTTTGGGTCTCTACTAAGAGTTTTGCCAAGGACAGACCCACCAGTAAGGAGAGGGACAGTAGGAATCTCTTGGAAGGAGAAAACTCTTTGTGGGTCCTGTGGGCAAAGACATGAACCAAGTGTGTTAAATGTTTAAAGAGACAGCAATCCCTGCCAGCAGTGTTGCTCTAAGGATGTGTGCTGGTTCGATGAAGAATATTTAAAACAGTCCCAGAAGTACTCATTCCATGAAAAGAGGAGCCATCATTATTTCGAAACTGGAATGCTATGAAGTCAGCCCTGACAGTGATGTTAGGGGGCGATGGGGAGTGCGCAGAGACGAGCTTCTCAAATGGGGATGAAAGTACAGTAGAGCGGAAGCAGGGGATTTATTTTTTATTATGCAGCTCTCGTCTCTAATCTGTACCTCGGATTTGTATGCCACAGGTTCAGCGGGCCTAGCAGCCTGGAGAGGAAACATCGAAGCCCACAGGGACTTGGGATTACTTGGATGGGATCAATATTTCCTCCTCTGCTTAATGAAGGAGCCATTTGCATGGGCTCTGAAGGGCTTATAACTGTCCACCAGAGCCAGGCATGCTGCTCTGGGATGAGACCAGAGGCAAGGCTGCCTGAGCTGGAACTGGAGAGGTGAAGGCAGACATTGCTGCTCCATCTTGTCCGAAATCCCTGCTGACACTTTAGAGATCAAGCTCTGTGTCTGAGAGGGGCGAGCCTGTGGATGTACTCAGCAAGATCTCTGGCACACACCAGGGCCTCTACATATCAGATGTGGTTTGGTTTGGGGGTTCCAACCTTATCCTCTTTAAAGTCCCAGCCAGGGTGCCACTGACGCCTGAAAGGGAAGCCCCCAACTCCCTGGACCCTTGAGTGCAGACTGGCTGCAGACAGCCTTTAGGGGTGATGTACCCCCGCTGGCCACTCCACAGCCACCTACAGGATCCTTCTGAAAGCCCTGGTGGAGCAAAGGAGGCCTTGCGGACCTGGGTCTCAGCCGCATTTCCCTTCAGCCCCCACCTTCCATGGCAGCAATGCCGGCTCCTGGAGGAATCCGCCTCCCGCCCCAACACGTTTTCCTGGCGCACGTCTGTGCTCAAGTGGCCCCTCTGCCTGGAATGTTCCTGTCAGGCTAAGCCCTTCTCACCCCTCAGGACTCAGCTCAGGGTCTTCCCCATCCCAGCCTTGCCTGTACTCTCAGCAGCATCCTCTGCACACCCCCGCCGGGCACTTGCCAGACCTATGACCAGATGCCCCTGTCCCCCAAGCTGTGCTCTCCTTGAGGCCACACCTGCCACATCTCCATCCTCCCTGGGCCTAGCTCAGGGCCTCCGAGAGGACTGTGGCTCAGCACTGGGTACGGCTCACCTTGCAGGAGCCTGAGTGAATGGGAGAGAAAGTGGACAGGAGTGTATGTATTGATTTTCAGCCACTGGGGAAAGGGGAGCGGAGTGAGAGGGAAGGGATGGGGTGGAGAAGCAGAGGTGGACACTGCCTGGAAGGTGGGGCCTGGGCAAACAGGGAAACCCCAGGATAGACACGAGGGAACTTTCCAGGGTCCTGACCGCCTTCGGCGTCTGCCGAAGGCCCTGTGCGTAGCTGCGAGGAGACGCGCTGGGTCTTTGACCTTTCTCAGGATTAAGGAATTAAGGCTTTTCATTTAGATGAAAAGAAAAAAGTTCAGTGCTTTCCAGATGGTAAAACGTCAGTTTCTGTCACTGGCTGCCAGGAGAGTCCAAGCCCAAAGACACCTGAATTGTTCTGCACCCACTTGGTGTGATATTATTTTCTGTAGGAACGGCCCTGCAGTCAGAGAAACATCCAAAGACATCTGGGCTCCCAGGAAAACACAGACAATACCACCTACTTCTCCATCAAACTTGAGGCAATGACTGGAGAAGAATGCAGACTGCAGAGCTGGGAGAGAGACCCCGCCAAGAGGCAGCTCAGCCGCCAAGGTGCCAGGCGCCCCAGCCACCCCTGCTCAGTGGGGGAAACGGGAAATTGGGGCACAACATCTCAATCTCGGGTGCCTTCTGGAGATCACTGGTTGCGCCACTGGCCCTCCCAGGACCCTAGGGACTGATCCAGTTCCTGGACCCAGGATCCTGCCTACATCAGCATATCAGGGCTGCCCACAGGGCACTGCTGCGCGGCTGTAACTGTGGTGTCTTACAGGATCTTCAGCTCACTTTGTGACCAGAAGAGCAGATAACATGCCTGAAAAAATGAGAAGGCAGACAATGCTTTGGTGGGAATGGGTAGGTCTGTCATAGCAGCTGGGTCTTGGGTTGACTTTACACACGACAGCTGGGCACAAACCCAGGTCTGTCTGACTCCAGCCTATACCCTGAGCCACCGTGTCCACTGTGGAGATATGGGAAGCACAGATGGAAGGGGTGGTCACTGAGGAAGAGGCCTGCGGGAGGAAGCCTGCCCACAGGGGATGGAGGGAGAACTTTCTCAGGACAAGAGAGTGTCACCATTGACAGGCACTTCAGAGAAGTTGACCAGGTGGTAGACAAGACATTCACCTTACACTTCATACCTACGAATTCAACTTCACACCAAGTCTGTGGGGCAGCTACTCTCATGGCTCACTGCAGCCTTAACCTCCCACACCCAAACCATCCTCCCACCTCAGCCTCCTGAGTAGCTGGGACCACAGGCACATGCCACCACACCCAGCTAATTTTTATTTTTTTGGGGAGATGGGGTTTTGCCATGTTGCCCAGGCTTGTCTCAAACTCCTAGGATCATGATCCTCTGCCTCGGCCTCCCAGAGTGCTGGGATTACAGGCATGACCCACGCGCCCGGCTGCGTCTCTGTTTTACAGATGAGGAAACTGAGGCAAGTGAATCCACACAGGAAACAGTAGGGGAGCCGGGACCTGATGACACGGCGAATGGCTCTTAGCCACTCTGCTATGTGGTCTCTCTCTGGGATGGTCGCTGTGGGGAATGTGGTGGGAGGTCAGCCTGGGCTTAGAGAGCGGATGGGTGGGGGCCGTCCTGCCATGCTGGCAGCCCATGCATGGAGTTTACAGCCCTATGGGCTGAGGACGGAGACCTGGGGAATGGGAAGGTGGGCAGTCTTTCCAGAAGCAGTTTTCAGATTTTGACCTGAGTACACTGCAGCCCGCACAACCCTTCAGGAAGAAACAAGCTATACAGATGACAGATGACTACTCTGTGACTCCTCTAATGGCAGAAAGCCACAGACCACTTCCAGGGCAACGCAGCGTGCCCTCAGAAAGTCAACAGGATGGCCCAGGCTTTCCTGGTTCAATTTTAGCCATAAAACTGGGTTCATGTGAGCTCCTGGGCCATGCTCACACTCAGCAGGGGCTGAGGGAGCCTTGTGCAGGAAAGGTACTGGGGCGGCGTAAGAGGAGAACAAATGATCAAATCTGTCCTGAGTTTAGTTTAGATGCTTATGAATATTCAAACAAGACCATTAAGAGAGAAGGTGGCGGTAAAAGGGTTTTCGACTGTTGGATTAAGCCTAACGACCCTCCCTGCGGCTCTCAGCTCCCAGAGCCCCGCGCCGATGCTTCTGCTTGGCGACCTGGTCAATACAGTCCAGCTGTCAGCTGAGGGAAGGGCTGCCCTCAGGGATGCCCTGGGACCGTCTGCCGCCGCTCCTTCCCTGAAGCCTGTCGCCAGCCCACTAGCGGGCTCACGCACAAATCTCTTGGGCATACCACTCATCGGAGTCATGGACAGAACTTTGTCTTGCTACATGAAGCGGCCCATTTCCCTTTGCAAGGATGAAAGCTGTCCCCTCAGTTCTATCTGTTTGGGACACACTTGTGAGGCAGCAACAGAACGCACAGAAACAGATGAAAATGACACCACATTCTGTCCTTACAACATAAGTTCTCCCTGTTGGAAAAAGTTAATCACCATTTAAGAGGCGGGGAGATGGTCAGAGGGCTGAGATCTATAAAAGACAGAAGGGCCTTCAACGACTCTGGGAGGCAGCTCCCAGCTGTGGAGTCCCTCTGAGTGTGGGGGTCTCACCTGTGCAGGGCACCGAACAGGGAATGGGACTGAGATCTGGCCTGAGGTCTTAGAACTTTTGTCACAACCATGGCCTCTTCCAGGCCTTCATCTGTGGCATTTGAAGAGAGGCTTTGGGAAGGAAATGTAGAGGAGGCTGGTAGGAGGAAATGTTAGAAACTGAAAATAACGCGGCTGGGCACAGTGGCTCACGTCTGTAATCCCAGCACTTTGGGAGGCTGAGACAGGTGGATCATTTGAGGTCAGGAGTTCAAGACCAGCCTGGCCAACATGGTGAAAATCTGTCTCTACTAAAAATACACACACACACACAAATTAGCTGGGTGTGGCAGTGCACACCTATAGTCTCAGCTACTCGAGAGGCTGAGGCAGGAGAATTGCTTGAACTTGGGAGGTGGAAGTTGCAGTGAGCCGAGACCACACCACTGCACTCTAGTCTGGGCGACAGAGTGGGACCCCGTCTCAAATAAATAAATAAAACAATGTAATGACTGTTTATGGAGCCTCTTTAGTGGTGTGAAACACTGCAGCGGCACCACACACCCAACTAAGGTGTGCAGCACAACCTGACTCAGAGGAGGGTGACGGTTCCAATCCCTGGGGAATGATCCCATGTTGAAACAGTTTCCTTCCCTAGGAGTTGGAATGAGCGATAGGTTAGGATTTTTGAATACTATTGGGGTTGGTAGTCAATTTACGCTAGGTACTCCACGTACCCACCAACGCAATATCAGGTGTCCACCCACTTTTCAGAGAACTGAGTCTTCTAGGGCTGACTCAATCTCTTTTACTGAAAAGCACCTGGTGGCCACCGAGTAAACAGACCTTGATCAAGTCTGCCTCAGTTAGGGGCCAGTCTTGCATATTAAAAAGAATGAACAGGCCGGGCGCGGTGGCTCATGCCTATAATCCCAACACTTTGGGAGGCCGAGGCAGGTGGATTACCTGAGATCAGGAGTTCAAGACCAGCCTGGCCAACACGGTGAAACCCCGTCTCTACAAAAATACAAAAATTAGCTGGGTATGGTAGCGCATGCCTGTAATCCCAACTACTTAGGGGCTGAGGCAGGAGAATTGCTTGAACCTGGGAAGTGGAGGTTGCAGTGAGCTGAGATTACACCACTGCACTCCAGCCTGGGCAACAGAGCGAGACTCCATTACAAAAATAAATAAATAAATAAATAAATAAATAAATAAATAAAATAAAAATAATCAACTAATAAATGAACAAAGGAATGAAGAAGCAAGCGGCACCCTGCCCAGAACATGACCCACCATGCACAATCCATTTGCTCACAGCTAAAAGTTCAGACGGTGCAGAACTGAAAGGGTTACTCATCCCTCTGCAATGACTGTGGATGGAGAGCTGGACATCTGCGGGCTACTTTCATGCTGTCCCTTACCTCTGATGAGAAAGCTGCAAAGTGTGTGTGGGTCCCTCTTGGCCTCTCTCTTGATGTCCCCTGCCTAACCTGGGTGGTACACACACTCCACCTCTCTCTCCAGCCACCCTAGCAAGACAATGCAGTGAGTAGCTGTCGGTCTGCTCTTACTCTCCCTAAATTGCTGGATGAAAATGCACAGAGTTTTGAAATGAGGGGGTTAAAGAACAAAACAGTGGCTGCCCCTGCAGAGTTTAAATGTCAGAAAAATATGAACACGCTTGAAACCTTTCCTGGCTCTTTGTGATTCTGCCCTTTCAGATGGTCACCCGCCCCCACCCCGCCCATTTCTAAGTCCCATTCTCTGAATCTACTCTGCTGGAGACTTGCTGGCTATAAAAAGCTTCTTCACCCTAGGACCAAGTGCAAGGAGCCTCCAGGGACCACAGTAAATGATGGGAACCTGTTAGCAGCCATAGACCCATAGCAAGCTGTCCCCAGCCCTCTGCTACTTCCACACTTGGGTAAGGGGTCTAATGAGGAAGAGTGAAAAGGGCTTGCTGATGGCATGAACATCTGCAGACAAAAGGAAGGCAGAATTTTGCTTCCTGTGGTGGGATTTGCTACAGAAGCTCAGGTGCTCAGGCTGTAAGCCAGCGGGTCAGGCACGGGCCTGAGAGAATGTGACAAGGGCATGCTTCCATTCTCCTACCTCCTGACATTGTTTGCCAGAAATAAAAAGGTGAGTGTTAGCTTGGTTTGGCTCTGCAAGGCAATCCCCCTACCCTGTCACACTGAAGGAGACCTCAGGGTGGGCACGGGTGGGGGGCGTGGCTTCCTGCTTTCCGAGTTCTGCTTTCCCTCGTTCTGGGCTGGCCACAGCTGCTTCTTGTGGGCAAGAAAACAGGCCTAACACAGTGACTGCAACCACATAATGAAGGCCTAGGAGAGGGAGCTCTGCGGTTCTACCTCAGCTAGAGCAGGAGGAGAATTCCTCCATTAATGCCATGTGAGCTGCTGCTGGTGGCCCAGAACTCCCATCTCAGAGGTGGGCATAGCTGTGGCACCTCCCACCACTGTCAGGACATCTGGGTACTATCTTCAGCCTGAGCAATCTCCTCTTCTTGATGACCAAGGAGCATCCTCCAGCATGTCATGCTGCTCCCCAATGCACTTCATGCCACTGCTGCAGGCTGAGCTTTTCTGGATGATGCTGGGAACGAACCCCACCCTCGCCAGTCGACTTGGCTGGGTGCAAACAGGCAGAGCAGGTGGAAGATGTCTGCCGCAGTGCTCCCAAACAGCGTCTTTCTGGGAAACACTACAAGCAACATCAATCATGACACCCCATATATAAGTGGGTGGACAGGAGGAAAATAGAATCTTGAGGAATAGCAAATCCTAAAAAGCGGAGTTTAGAAACGTTGCCACCGAATCCTTCTCTTTTGGTGATTTAGGTTTGAAATACTTAACGTCACCCCATAAACTGTGCCAGGTCTCTGAATCTGCAAAGGACAACGTGGTCCCACCTCTGCACGTAGTGCAGGGCCTGGCAGTGGCACAGGGAGGTCTACCTGCTGGCCACTGAGATGAACACGACGAAATAGGCACGCCAGTCACCGCCCTGGGATGGAGGCTACACCGCGCATGCTTCGTGCTTTCTACCGCCATCTCCCACAAGCTCAGTGATACAGAAACAGGCTTTTTTTTTTTCTAACAAGATCCCAAACTCATTCTGTGTGATGATGATTAGTTGAAGGCTTTATTGATAAAGGATTAAGCTTAATTCTGTACATTATTTTCCAATATGTTTCCTTCATTTGACAGCAAATGGAAGACATTTTAGTTAGGAAGAGAGAGGACTCACTAATTTAATTCTTACTTGTCCCTGAAAAAAAAGGACTTCAATGTTATCTGCCTTTAGTTGTAATCAGAAGGCACTACCACCTCTCCCAATTGTGGTTCTTTAATCTGGTACAGGTCAATATCAGAGGTTAAGTCCACTTAGTTAATAATAGGTGAAAGGAGCGATGATAAAGGAATCTCAGAAAGGCTTCTGCACAAATACACATGATATGCCACTCACCAGTGAGATAAAATTCCCATCCCTTAGAATTCATCAATTTTTACTACTTGAAACGTGTTACACAGACTGGAAGGAAGGAATTGGCGGATGCTCCTAAATCTCTCCAACTAGACTAATATCAAATTTTAAACACTTCTGCTTCAGAGTGTGTTTGTAATTTTAAATAAATACAAAGAGTGCCTGGCAGGTTATTTTCAAGGGAGGTAGGATAAAAATACAGTACTGTCTTTCTAAATCTATGCTTCACCAAATCTGTGTTTTATACATTTTACAACTTCCTAATACACTTTCTGCTTGCATTAAAAAATACTTAATACTACAAGAACATTAAAAAAAAAAAACATGCAAAAGTGAGCATGTGCAAGCCCCTCCCTCATCAAGGGTATTGGAATGGAAATGGACCATTGTTAAATACCAAGTTACAAGCTGCAATGCTTACAGCCCTCAAGAAGTCATCATTGGCCTTTTGTGGAGACTGGAGGAGGGAACTCATTGCAATACCACAGAGGACATGAAGATAAGGACCAGATTGAGGGGAAAAGCTGACCATTTTAATGTTCTTCACTATTAAAGCAAAGCAAGACAAGGATAATGAGCAGCATTCTTTCTCCTCAGAATATTTTTCAACCAGCCACTGGGGGAAAAATGACAAGGACAGTCAGCACGGAAAACGTTAGCATTGAAGGCTGAGACTTTTTGCATGCGAAACAAGTAAATACCTCTGGTATGGTGACTTAGGTAAGAACACTAAGATGAGAAATGTGCTTCCCTGCACTAAAGCCTGTGCGTAACCACACCCTTCCTTCCTTTATGCTTCAGACCCAGGGACCAGGGAGGAAGAGAGAGTGGGAGGAAGGGAGGGAAGGAAGGAGGGAGGGAGGAAAGGAGGGAGGCTATTTTCTTCATTACATTTCCAGGGAGCTCAGTTGGGTAAAGGGTGTTAGAAGAATCAAGCTATGATTTTCTTTGTTAAAACTTTATTTTAGAGCAGTTTTAGATTTACAGAAAAGCTGCAAAGATGCAATAGACAGTTCCCATGTCCCTCACCCCGTTTCCCCATTGTTAACATCTTCCATTACTACGGTACATTTGTCACAACAAAGAAACCAACACTGGTTACTCACTAATAACTGAACTCCAACCTTTATTTGGATTTCACCAGTTTTTCCATTAGTAACCCCTCCCTCCCTCCTTCCCTCCCTCCCTTCCTTCTTCTTCTTCTTTTTTTTTTTTTTTTTTTTTTTTGATGTAGTCTTGCTCTGTCACCCAGGCTGGAGTGCAGTGGCTCACTGCAACCTCCCGCGTAGCTGGGATTACAGGCGCCCGCCACCACGCCTGGCTGATTTGTGTATTTTTAGTAGAGACAGGGTTTCACCATGTTGGCCAGGCTGGTCTCGAACTCCTGACCTTGTAATCCACCCACCTGAGCCTCCCAAAGTGCTGGGATTACAGGCATGAGCCACCGCACCCGGCCCCATTAGTAACCTCTTTCTGTTTCAGGATCCAATCCAGGGTAGCACATTGCATTTAGCTGTGATCAGATCATGAATCTGTAATGCTTATATAGGTTCCCTAAATGTGTGGTTTTCAGCCTCAGACTACTCCCCTAATCCTAGACGCCTGTCCTCTGCCTAGCCCTTATCACCAAAAAGGGGCCCAGGGGGCACTGTGGATTATGTACAGTAAACACCTCTAGAGGGTGGTCCATGACGCCCCTCTGATCCACTAAGTCCTATGCTCACTGCTCAATGCACACCAGATTTTCTTGTGGGGTAAGGAAATGTTTTAGAACCAGACAGAGGTAGTGGATGTACACTATTGTGAAGGCACATCAAGCCAAGGAGCATTCACTTTAAAACGGTTAATTTCAAGTTATGTGAATTTCACCTTGATCTACAAAAGAGTCCTGTGCTTCCTGGCACACTGTGGACACAACCATTCTTCATCGTGGGGATAACTCGGACCAAGCTTTCAAAATCACATCCCCCTCTGTGTAAATCCCGTCAGTGGTTTCTCACTGAATTAAGGATAAAATCCGAATTCTGCACCAGGGCCTAGAGGCACCTCCCTGACCTGAGCCCTGCCTTCTACCTCCACTTCATCCCCACTTCACGGGGCTGGCTCCTCCTCCTCACACTGCCTGCCTCAGTTTCCCCTACAAAGGCTTCCTCTGACTAGCCTAATCAGAAGGAGGCCCCCTTGTGTTTCCTGGCCACAGCCCCCAGTTAATCACCTGGAGTCATTTGTTAGGCTTCCTTGCCTGTTGGAGTTTCCTCTGTGGCCCTGGCACCTAACAGTGCCTGGCACAGAGCAAAGGGGCTCAGTGGATACTTTTTTTTTTTTTTTTGAGATGGAGTCTCATCTGTCACCCAGGCTGGAGTGCAATGGCACAATCTGGGCTCACTGCAACCTCTGTCTCCCAGGTTTAAGCAATTCTTCTGCCTCAGCCTCCTGAGTAGCTAGGATTATAGGCGCCCGCCACCATGCCCGGCTAATTTTATATTTTTAGTACAGACAGGGTTTTGCCATATTGGCTAGGCTGGTCTTGAACTCCTGACCTCAGGTGATCTGCCTACCTTGGCCTCCCAAAGTGCTGGGGAGTGGACACCTGTTGTTGAGCTGGATGAGGGAATGAATGAGATGATGGCCAACTCTCTTATTTCACTACTGGATGAGACCAGAGACAGAAGATGGATGAGAACAGAAGAAGCCGGCTGCTGCCCTGCAGGGAGCTGGCCCTGAGTACTGTGGGGACTGGTGGGGGTGTGGCGGTGGGGACAGAATCCTCATCAGCCACAGGGCCTGAGTTAGTCCAGGGAAGGGGCCCTGCACTGTCAGGAGCTGGGGAAATGAATTTTCTCTGGTCACTTTTCATTTCGTCTGACATTTCCCATAACAGTTTTTCATAAGGAAGCCCAATATCTGAAAAAGATACAGTGTCCCCAGAGCACAAAGTGGGGAAGGGGCAGGGTGAGGGAGTGCCAGCCTGCTTCCCTTGGCCCATCCCTTGGGCACCAGTGGAGACCGCTAGGGCTCTGAGAAACCGAGTTTTAAAACTAGGTTTTCAGAATACAGTTTTTGGAACATCTCAAAAACCTATGGTTTTCCTAAGGTATAATTTACATACAATATGACTGCCCCTTTGTAGTAATATAGTCCTGAGTTTTGACAAACATGTACGGCTGTGTAACACCGCCACAATTAAGATAAAGAATATTCCCACCACCCCACACTCCCTTGTGCCCCTTTGGGGCCAAGTCCCTGTACCCACCCTTAGGCAACCACGGATCTGATTTCTGTCCCTAAGGTTTTGTTTTTTTCCAGAATGTCATACATATGGAATCAGACAGTGAGCATCCTTTTCTGTCTGGCTTTTTTCACTTTTTCAAAAGCCTCTGATTTGAGACCAATGTTTAAACCTCAAAGCATTCACGTTTTCCTAATGCCGCTTGAGTAAGAAGCAAAAAGTAAAACTTACCTTCTGGAATACTTGATAGTTGGATTTGGACCATATATCAAGCTGAGGGGAAAGGAGAGAAGGATCATCAGCATCGGTCTTAGAATTCGGGACTTCAAGAAATAATATTGTAACTACTGTTAACCCTTCTTAAACTTGAAAAAAAAATCTGATTATAGAATAATAGGATCTCAGGGTTGAAAAGGATCTTAAATGTCTGACTTAATTTCTTCTTTATCCATTTGTAGGCAAGTTAAGAAAAGTCAATGAAGGAATACAGCAAGTCACCTTGAGGCACCTGCTGCTTCCAAGGCTCCTGCAAGCTGAGCCCCTGGCTCACTTTCAACTTTGATTCTCACCACGGCTCTTGCATATCTCAATGCCAAGGTCAATGCTGCCTCAGGCCCTTTGCACTTGCTGTGCCCTTTGCCTGAATTGTTTTTCCCATAAACCCCCATGTGGCTCTTCTTATACTCCCTTGAGCTCAAATGTCACCTTATCAGAGAGGCATTTCCCAGTTACCTTATCAAAACATTCTTTCCAGTACCTGTTACCTTGATTCTCTTTACTTTTTTTTTTTTTTTTTTTTGAGATGGAGTCTGGCTCTGTCACCCAGGCTGGAGTGCAGTGGCGTGATCTCAGCTCACTGCAACCTGCATCTCCCGGGTTCAAGTGATTCTCCTGCTTCAGCCTCCTGAGTGGCTGGGACTATAGGCGTGTGTCACCATGCCTGCTTAATTTTTGTATTTTTAGTAGAGATAGGGTTTCACTATGTTGGTCAGGCTGGTCTCAAACTCCTGACCTCAGGTGATCTGCCCCCCTTGGACTCCCAAAGTACTGGGATTACAGGCATGAGCCATTACACTGGACCCTTTTTACCATTTCAAAATTTAAAGTTTTCATAATATTTAAAACTGCCTGAAGCTCTATTATTTCTTTGTTTACTTGTTTCCTGCCTGACTTGCCCACAGGATGGAAGTTCAGTGAGGACAGGAGGCTTGCCTTCCTTCCCACTGCCTCTCCAGGTCCAGAAATGGGGTCTGGCATGTTGTGGGCATCAGTAGGTCTTTTCTGAGTGGAGGAAAGCTGGCAGCATCCAGCTGCTGAGCACCTGTTCCATGCCAGGCACTGCACTAGGCCCTCCACACACACTCATGTAATCCCCAGAACTGGCCCATGTGACTGGCCCCATCACAGTCTTATTCTCCAGATGGGGAAACAATAGCTCAGAGCCTTTCATGAGCCCAAGGCTATCTGGCGAGGCATCTTACAGATGGCCTCATCTGGTGGTGCTCAAATCCTGGCTGAGCATCAGAAGCCCCCGGGGGAAGGTTTTTGTTTTTTGATATACAGATTGCTCAGTTCCTCCCCTAGAGTATTGAATCAATGGCTGGAGCGGGCCCAAGAGCCTGTTCCATTGTTTGTTTTGTAGCCCTGCTCCCAAGGGTAACTGACGCCCGGCTGGTCAAGAGCCCCTGCTCTAGGGCACCCCTACTTGACGAATGAGGAAGCTGGAGGAGGTGTGAGTTGGCATGTGGGTAGGGCTCACAGTAAACCCAGTCCAGTCCTCCTCTGGTCACACTTGGTCACACACAGGGTACTTCAGTAGCTCATTCTAACCAAAAACATTTTGGTTTTTACTGGTTTGCATGATATACCAAATCAATCCCTTCTGTTTCAACAAATCAATGCCTTCTGTTTCAAGAGTTTAGAACAAATTAAGTATGGCAAAAATAGAACTACCCACAATACAGTGCTGACAGAGACGGCTCAAGGGCAATGAGGAAACGAGAAAGCCATCACTGTGTCCCATAGGTGCTAAAAAGTTGACTTTAATATATGAATTCAAGAGTTGAGTGAATGGAACACCTGGTCAATGGGCCTCTGGGAACCTGCCTTGGGGGTTGGCCAGCGGTCAGGTAGAGCCCTGGGCCATGGCGGTTTAGGCCTGTGTGGTGTGTGATTGATTTTGGAACACCAGAAAGCATTGGGAAGCCATTGGACAGGAAAAGTCCTTTAAGAAGACAGGACAGGATGTGTTGCATTTGACCCAGGACACTTCAGAGCTCTGTGTCTATTCTGCGGAATACACTGAAACCTGGCTTTCTGAAAACAGTGCTTGGAAATTAAAAGCAGGGCTGTGAACAGGCATATACATTTAGTTCTCCTGGCTTTTCCCTGTTCACAATTAGTTTCATGAAAATTTCACTGTGTTTGAAAACTTTTAGGACAGTAGAGAAGGTTAAGATGATTCTGAGGAGGCCACTCTGTACTTCCGCAGGAGAGGAACTCCATGAGTTCAGCTCATCGAACTCCATGACAAATCATGGAGGAGCTTTCACTGATCAAGCATTCATTCAATAGGAAAAATGAACCTCAATCACCCACTTCTCCCTACCCCCACTGCCTGCACCATCTCCTTCTTGCATTGCCACAAAAACCCTCAACAGATCATCCTCCTTCTACTCTGGCTAAACTGCTCTTCAGAAAGGTGGTGTCAATTGCCAGTCAGTGCCCCCCACTGAAACCACTGGATGGAGTAAGAATTTTAAAGATCTTCCAGTGCTGGAATTATAATGTGACAGCTCAACAATTTGCAAGGGGAAAAGTGACATGTTACCTCCAGATAACTCTGAGGGAAACCTCAAAAGAAACATATGAAATTAATTCCCCACATTATCAATTCTGTTGAAGAAAACTACTGTTGGGCAGCTGGTCATATTTGGGAGGATAAATCGGGTTCGTATTACTTTCTCAGTGCCGCAGTTTAGCACAGGGCTTAACAAATGCAGCATTTAAAGATTATTCAGGGGTTGCAGGATGAATAAGAATGACTTTTGCATCGTTTAGTTGTACCAAAATTACTGCCAAGATGACAGAGAGAAGCCAAAGATTCCAAATCTCAGTTTTAGGAAGAGGAACACCGATGTCTGAACTTGGAACTAATATAGTTCTCCTTCCATTTTGAGCCCACAGCTGTTTCTTCTGAACTTCTTCACTGTTTACCCTTCCTGCCTGCTTACATCATACATAAGCAGACCAAGACATAAACACAGAGCCAAGAAAAACAGAAAAGAAGAATCTGCTACATTAAAAAGTTATAGTTTTTATTTAAAAGTTAAACATATTTAAAAATCCTTCAGTATCTGCAAAATGTCTTAATTTAAAAAAATCTAGAGAAAAATATGCATTGGTTTAATGAAAACATGGCCTCTCCAGCCTCATTGTGGATTCTCAAAACACACCACATTTATTCAAAGTGAGGATGATGCTCTTTTTAAAAGGTTTAAATGTATTATTCAGGACCCTAGGGAAAAGCTCCTACCATCTGGGACAGAAGGACCTTAGATAATACGGTCTATTTACCTGGTGCGCATGGGTGAAAAAGGGACCCCTTAACCATAGGGCCCTCTTTTGCTAGGAGTGCACAGCAGGTGGTTCGTACTTGATTTTCTGCTAGATTTATGCCAAAGAAAGCCAGAAATGAGCATTCTGGAGTCAATGCCCTGCCTCTCCTCAGGGCCAGGAAGATTTCAGAAATTCATTTCAGGGAGCCAGGACTGATCCAAGTGAATATTTATTAGCTTCAGCTTATTTACTGCAGAGGCAGACATGGCTACCAATTCTTTGCTGGCTGCAATATTCAAAAAAGGAGCATTCTGGAAGCTGCAAACCTTCAACCTGATGAACAAGAAATTATTCTGAACTATAGTGTCAGGAAAAAGAAAGCGAAGCACCCTTCAGTATTCTGAGCAAGCATAAGAAAGATCTGAAAACACAAAAGTCAACCTTGTGGTAATTGGTGGCTGAGTCTGCAGTCTCAGGAGCAGCCTCCTGGCCTCTGGGGATTGCAGTAAGTATTTTAAGGGTGGGGTGTGGTCTGTTCTCAGGTGAAATGAAAACAAACCTTGCAGATGACCAATTGCTTCAGCACAGACACGTCTGTTCTCAGGGCAAACACCAAGACATCAAAAGACCTCTTGACACACAGGAAGAACTGGTGAAAATGGTGACAAATCAAATTTATTCACTGACAAGAACAATCAGAGCGACCCAGTATCAGCAGGCAGGTGATTCTGTCTGCAATGCTGACCACCACCACCACCTCCATCACAACCAGCAAGGGCGGATGCCATTTACTGATGAAGATGACGCATTCGGCCTGCCCTTTACCTGCGTTACTTTTAAAATCCTTTTGGCAATAACATGAGGTTGATAAAACCATTTCCAATTCACAGATGAGGACGCTGAGGCTCAGAGAAGTTAGGTGACTTGTCCACCATTGCATAGTTAATGCGAGGTGGGGGAATTTGAAACCAGGTCTGTGTGCAGAGGCCCAGCTCTTACCCTGGGAGGAAGAGACTGCCTTCCAGTTAGACAGCAGGCAGGATGCCGGGGCTGCGCGCTCCCTAAGCTGTCACTTGCGCAGCTCTTCTGGGAGCATAGTTCTGCTTTGAGGCCTGCTGCTGTGACAACCACTGCCACTAAAATTCATGTAACAGCAAGTGAACATTTTGGCAGCTTATCAGAAAGTTATCAATACTTCATTTCAAAAAACAGTGGAATCGATTCAAAATTATCTAAATAAAACTCGTAAGCCACACGAGGTTCCAACTTTTAGAACCTCTATTTAGTAGCTTCGTCTTGCAAGGTGAACAGGTGATAGGCCTATCAGTTTGGGTAGAATGCTGCAAACCAGCTATGGTGACGGATCTCTCCATGTTGTTACCCACATTTTCCAAACCATAAACTTCTATGTGGTCACCCTCTCAAATCTGCTGACCCTCCCCAGAGAATAAGAGTGAACAAGAGCCTCACCCAAGAACACAGTGTTACAGGTCTATTATTCTTCAACTTTTCACTTTCAATCAGGACATGCATTTGTTACTAAAAAACTGCTGAAAGCACAATTTCAGGGAATCCTCTGCATATGAATTAAACTGGATTCCCCTTTCCCTGGCTTTCACCCTTCCCCCTAGAAGTAACAAGAGGCCATTTTTCTGAAGGTCATCTGAACAATTTCAAAGGCTATAACAAATCAAAATGTTCCCTGCATCTGATATCAAACAGGGCTGATGCCAACACTTATTAGAGAAATCAGATTCAGCTCCCCACCCCCTCGACCCACATGCACACACACAGCCAACTTTGAAGTGGGAAGAATGCAGGGATCAGAAATTACCCTGGAGACAGCTCTGGCTGTCTTTGAAGGTTTCCTTTGATACCACCATTTCTTTTCCTCTCTTATGCTCGGAGGCTAAAAGCTGCCTTTTTTATTGATATGGGGTAATTAATGAAGCTATAGCATTAACATAACCTAAATCCCCCAAAAAGTTAAATTCGAACGAGACACATTTTTTTTTCAGTTAAGTCTGACTGGTATAAAATCAGGACAATGGCCAGGTATTCATCTTCAATCCTGCCTTTTAACATGCTGAGTCGTGGCTCTTGCTACTCCCTGAGTACAATGAATAAGTGGTTGGTAAGTCTGAAAAGCATTTTTATTTTATTAGAGGAATCAGGCTATTGGTCCTTGGTATCAAAAATATGCATTGCAGGTAAAGAGACAGGATGCTAGGGTCATGGCGGTGGTTGTTAGAGCAAAGTGCAAAGTGCAAAGTGATAGCCTTGCTGGGCTGGATTCTGATGGGGAAAAAACCTGCAAGGTCTGGAAATTAGGGGTGGTGCTGGGCCACTACAGCAGCAAGAAGGATAATGAAACTTTCGAATGTGCTGGTTGCTTTGGGCTTGGAGGACAGAGACAACCGCAGAGGCAGAAGTTAAGCCCATAGGAGGCTTCCTGAGCCACACCCAGGGCCTCTGTGGCTGTGCTCCAGGAGACTGCAGCAAAACACCCCCCTGCAGCCACCTAGGCACCAACTCAGCAAACGCAGGCTGCGTCCCGGGAGCAGCGACGTCTCCAGCAACAACGTGCTCTTGTAGAACACATGTCAGGCCCCAAGGGCTCCTTCCAGACGCCACATTTCATTTGGGATGTGCCAGACAATTCAACACATTAATTGCACTAATGCCTAGATTGTATATAAATAAAGTACACACACACAGAGTACTCAAAATAGAGCACTAATAATGTCTGCATGGTTTATTTTTATCATTTGTGAAGTGCTCTGAAAAAAAGGGGCTAATCAAATTGGCTAGGATGAGATTCTGAGTGGAACAGTCATTTGAGAGCTTCTCTGCCAAATGTGGTCAGTGTGTCCTTAAAATAACAAAGAGGCCTGGTTCTCTCGGTCTTGCAATTTCCACTTTTAGGGTCCCTGCTTAAGCACTGCTTGGGCCAACGCATACAGTTGTAAAGGGGGACGCAAGGCTTCCTGTCCAACCACATTTCTGATGTCAACCAGGGTCCCAAATGTACAGCCATTTTCCTTCGGAGAAAGAGAGAGGCCGGGCTAATCTCTCATCAGGAGGGCCTGAGGTCTCCCTTTACTCGTGTGTCTCCTTTATCCTCTGACTTATTTACAACTTCAATTACTGCCGCTCCTTTTAGTCCCCATTTCTCATTTTTGATTCTCCACTTTCCATTCCAGCTTAAGCATTTTCATATCCCAAGTAGGCTTTTTCATCATCTCCTCCCAGACAGGACTGGGCTCCTACCGTGCTCCTGGCACAGAAGTGCACCCTACAGACAGACAGTCACACGATGGAGCCTGTGCCCTTGAGGAGCTCCTGGTAGATGCAGGATTGAGATCCAGCCCTGTGTGGCTGTGGGCAACGTTACCATTCTAGGTCTCAGTTTCTCCATGTGTAAGATGAGTCTAAGAGCAGCACCTGTCTCATGATGCTGTGAGGAGGATTCGACAGCCACCGTGGGCAAAGTTCGCTTTGTGCAGTGCCTGCCTGACCAACGTATGTTAGTATTGTTAGTATTTTTATTAATTGCAAGATGGACATGTAAATAATCATGATGCACCAATTCTAGTACTAGGAAAAGATTGTTCTGAATTCTATGGGTGTATGGATAATGATGATAACTCTGTGCTGTAAGGAGAGGCAAACCCAGGTCGGCCATCTCTAGAGCCCATGTTCATAAGCAAAGAGGCTCTTGGGAAAATGGAGACAGGATGGGAAGGAAGATGGCATTCAGCCACTGTAAAGGGAAGAGTAAAACTTTGTCAGCTGGACTAGGAGGGATCCCAGGGCAAAAGGCACAAAACGTGCAAATACGTGAAAGAGTCTGGCATGTCATGGAAGCTACAGGGAGCACGCGGCTGGAGATAAGATGAGGTGTGTGTAGAGAATGATGCCAGATGAAGTCAGAAAGGAAGGCAGAGGCTGCGCCATGAGGCATTTAGACGCCTTGCAGAGGAGTCTGGATTTTATGCTACAAGCCAGAGTTTTCAGAAGTATATTCTACAAAATGGCAATGTCACAATATGCTCTAAGAATAAAAGAAGATAAAAAGAATTTGGTGGCCAAATAAGTTAGGAAAATATTGCATACTCTCTACTCCCTGTAAGATATTCATAAGGCACATCAGCAAACTGGTTTCCACAGTAAAGAAACCCACTGAACTTTCTCTAACCCAGAGTTTCTCAAACTTGTTTGACCATGCATTGCTTTCTGCCTAACATCTATTAATATCCTACTTTCCTACTTTGGGGAGGGCTGCTTTGGGCAAGGGGGAGATGGCAAAAAGAAAGAGAATCATCCGCTCGCATGTGTATTTTAGGAAGACAGCTCTGGAAGCCAAGTGAAGGACAGACTGTGAGGGAAGCAAGACTGGAGACTAGAAGTGAGGCGGTGCGTGCATTCTTCAGTGCAGAGATAATGAGAGCCGGAGAGGAGCGAGAGGGGTGGAGAGGGATGGGGGGCCCAGTTTGAGAGTTACTTAAGAGGGAGAACTGCCAGTAATCACTGACAGCCTAGACCGGCGGGATGAAGGGAAGAAAGCTTTAACCAATTAGGTGGGGGTACTGTTAACCAAGATAAGGAAAAGAGGAGGGAAACTGAGTGTAGGGAGAGAGATGATGAGTTTTGTTTTAGACAGGCTAAACTTGAGGAACACGGGAAGTCTGATCTAGAAACAAATCATGAGTGATCCTTGTGTGGGTGACATGGATGAGAATGGCCAAAGAGAATGCGCAGAGGGAGAAGAAAACTCTGGGAAACTGGGAAGTCAAGGGGGAAGACAAGAAAGAAGGAAGTAACTGGAGCAGCTGAGGAGGGGCGATCAGAGGTGTTTTGGAAGCACCATACCTCTGAGACTCTATATTTCAAGACTGTTATTTTAAGTTAGAATAAAAATAATACTAGTTATCATTTACTGAGTATTGACTAGATGGCAAAGTGCCAAGTGCTTTATGTGTACTACTTCAGACACTTTCAGTAAGGGGCAATTAAATAGAGTGTTAAAGGTATCATGCAAAGTAGGTAAATTTCCACTCCTTCTTATGATCTCAATTCAGAGCATGCTTCATTTGCACCCTAAGTTTGGTAACTCTAGTAGCACGGTCCTGATTATGACTCACCTTTCTACGTATTTGTTCTTCAACTCTCCAATTCGTTTGTAAGTCCTTGGCAAGCAAGGGCTATGTTTTGTACCAGGAGTGACTATGAAGTTGTCAACTTTGAAAAAACCCAACAAGAATGGCATCTCAAAATGCCACTGCCCATGGTCTCTGCGAGGGTATACACTACCCTCAGTGCTGCCTCTCCTGCTGACCAACAGTGTGGAACCTTCTGGAGCAGCTGTCAGAGTTTACAAATCAGACGCACAGACTACACCTGACTGATTACTCACTTTACATGCATGCTCCAAAGACATTTGGTTTTTCCAAAAAGAAAAAGGAAATCTCCCCTCAATGAATGATTTGGTATCAACGAGGAAATTTACGAGAACTGGGCACAGTCCTTGGAGCAGGAGTTGCATCCCACGTAGACAACACTTGTGTGGAATGTGGAAATGCTGGGTTACTTGTTCAAAACACACATCTCATTATATCACGGGCTGTGCTTCTTATGTAACGCCCTGCTATGTGCTAAGCCACAGTTACCACCTTTTTTTGAAGAACATTCTATTCTCATTATAATGTGGCTGTTGGGTGGTGAGTGCTAGTATTCATACTAACAAACTTTTACATTTTAATGAGAGTCATGAGGAAGGAAAGGCTCCCGATGGGGTGGGGAGACCAGGCTCCGTGCTGAGAGTGGCCTGGAAGAGTGTGGGGCATCTCAGGCACGGTGTTCATTACACTCTGGTGCAAACACAAATGAAGGCTGTCAGCTCCCATCAGCATCCTCTGATGCTCTCTGTGGAGCCATATGGAGACTGTGCAGTCAAAAGGAATTAGGGGTTCACAAGGGTGAACTTTCCATGAAACAAGTCACCCGTGGAAATAACACGTCTTCTTTCAACAGCAGTATTCAATATATGCTGCTGTGCACAGCCACTTCCTAAGGGCGACTTGTTAGTTTTGTGGAAAAAGAGTGTCATCAGGTTGTGTCAAATGAATGGGAATTTTCCTCGTGGTTCTAGGAAAAGCAAAATGCTGAACCTTGGGCTACTGAGGAGCTGCTTGACTTGGGGAAAAAAATCCATTTCCTCAGAAGACACATTTAATGAGGCAACTGGGGTCTAAGGTGATAAATTAGAAATTCAACTAAGGGCATCAGGCTTAGAGGAAAAAGCAGAAGCTTGATGGAGAATGCAAGCAGAGAGAATGAAATGTTTTTTCACAAAGTGTGCATCCTCACACTGACAAATCTATGTTTGCTGATCATTTCCGCTATGATTGCTAGTTTTTAATGCCATTCATCTGGAATTCGACTACACTTGTTCTGGGATACAGAAAACCAAGGAACACACAAGACTGCACAATGCTTACCTTGCCATCTTCTGTGTAGACATTCTCGTTATATCCCTTTACTATTGTTCGATCAATGAACAGGCTCCGCATGACGACGATCACTTTCAACACCTTTCCCAAGGTCACCTGCCAAAACACATGTAAGCTGACACTTGAACACGCAAATCACACAAAGTTGGGCAGGGGTGTGAGAAGAAATGACCACCTGGCCAATCCAGTGAGACTGGATTCATGGTGCTGGCCCTGTGGATCCTCCAGCACTGGAAAATGAACTCTCAATAACAGCAAGTTCTTTCTGTGATCACTGAAAAATGTTTTGGGCCTCAACTCGTCTAACTTCCCTAAATTTATTTATATTTTTGGCTTACAAACTCTGAGGATAAGTTTCATATGTTTACTATCTGCTGGAAAAAGTAAAATCCTTCCCTTTCCCATTTTAAGATTTTCTTTTTCAAAGGCGAGGATTCTACAATTCTGGCAATTATAGGATTTAGTGAGCACGTTGTTTCGTGCTCATGGCCCTATGTATACCTATGCAATATGTACAGAGTACAATATACAGAGCAAAGGCAAGTACCAAATGCCTCTTGGTTGAACTATCTATTTATAGTAACTGGTAAAAGTGGAAAAGCAATACCAAATAAAGTCAGGAGGTAAAAGGAAAGTAGCTGAATTTTATCTTCAAAAAAGAAACATGATCCTGGAAATACATTTAAGTGCTTTTACTCTCAGAACCTAAGCACATATTATACATTAAAAAAAAAAATCCTAAAAAAAGTGCAGTTTCATGTATGCCAGGGAAAAAGGAACCTGCTGTGCTTGCTGGAATAGGCTCAGCACCAAGAATAGAAACAGCACCTTCCCTTCTTTAGGGACACTATGGTGTGGATATGGCTGTTTCCCCCCATCAAAACTCAGCTTGAAATTTTATCCCCAATGTGGTGTTGGGAGGTGGGGCCTAGTGGGGGGTGTTTGGGTCAAGGAGGCGGATCCCTCAGAAATGGCTGGGTTCATTCTCGACATACTGTGTCCCTGCTCTGGCAAGACTGGATCAGCTCCCTCGAGAGTGGCTTGTTATAAAGCCAGGATACCCCTTGGGTTTTGGCCTTCACACGTGTCTGCCTCCCCTTAGACCTTCCACCATGTTGCGATGTTTGTGATGCGGTGCAACACAAAAGCCCTCGCCAGACGGTGAAGCAGATACGGGCATCATGCTTCTTATACTTCCTAACCAGCAGAACTGTGAGCTTAATCTCTTTTCCTATAAACTACCCAGCTTCATGTATTTGGTTATAGCAACAATAAACAATATACGGATGAAGACGAGGGGCTCACGTAACTCTTCTAAGACTTTGCTAAAGCTTTTCATTTCGTATATGAGAACCTGGACGCAGACCCCAGCCTGGGACCCACCCGCCCATAGTGCGAGTTGCTCTGATGAGGTTTTGACGTCACAGAATTTGCTGAAAGGAAGCCCTGCTGAGCTGCCTAAGGTAAGAGCCTTAGCCCCAGATGGCAATCCTGATCCTTCAACTCCGACCTGCCGTCAGTTTCTGGGGATGCCACCTCTAATCACCCCTTCCTTATATCCCCATTCCTTGCAGTTTTCCAACTGATCATCCTCAACAACAACCTTCCTCTTTCCTTGATTAGTCCTGGGTATCAGTGAACACCCCCAACGTTTGATTCCTTCAATAATTTCAAGCGTTAGGTTGATAGCTCTATTTCTGTATACTTTAAATAGTACTGAATACAAACATGGTAAGAAAAAACATTTATTTACATTTAAGGGACTGCTAATAAAGGCATCCTATTTCTGTATAACACTTTTAAATATTGTCACACCATGTAATGTTCAGTGGGTCTCTTTATTTTTTGTTGTCCTATGTCCAATCAATGGGTCATTTTTTTGTGTTACTGAAAATCCCTATCTAAGGATGCCAATAAACCATGGAGGTAGAGTGAGTAACTCTGTCTTTAGTCAACATGGAGCCTACTGGAAGAAAGGGAGGGAGGGAGAGCAACTGAGTTATAGTTGTTTTTTTTTTTTGAGGCGAAGTCTTGCTCTTTCACCCAGGCTGGAGTGCAGTGGTGTGATCTCGGCTCACTGCAACGTCCATCTCCCAGGTTCAAGCGATTCTCCTGCCTCGGCCTCCCGAGTAGCTGGGACTATAGGTGTGCACAACCACATCTGGCTAAGTTTTTTGTATTTTTAGTAGAGATGGGGTTTCACCATGTTGGCCAGGCTGATCTCAAACTCCTGACCTCAAGTGATCTGTCTGCCTTGGCCTCCCAAAGTGCTGGGATTACAGGCACGAGCCACCACGCCCGGCCAAGTTATAGTTTTGTAGTTACAGACACTGAAATCGATACCTTCTCACTAGGCTAAAGTGAATGTAGGTCCCACATGTTCTCCACAGCTCTCCTCTGGAAGGGCCACTGTTTGTAACTGCACATTTTAACTTTCTTTGCTAATAAGCCTAGGTGACTAAGCAATTGTTTCCTGAAACATCAAAACCTGGCTGATATTAATTAAATAATAAATTGCCTTTGTAATTTAAGTTTCTTAAGATGGATTTTAGAAATACATACTAATAACACCAGAAATTTTATATTCAAATTTTTTTCTATTAAAAGTTAATTTTGGTATTTTAAAGTTAACTAATACTTAAAAATATAAATGTTTATTATGGAAAAATCTAAAATTAGAGAACAAAGGAAGAAGACAGTTGTTCCTGGTCTTGAGATGGAAAGATAATCACCATTAACATTTTGGGGTACTTCCTTTCAATCATTTTATTATCAAAGGCTTATGGTTTTTGAATTTCTAACATCGTTATAATGAAACTATATATATATATTTTCTTTCTTTTTTCTTTTTCTGAAACAGAGTCTTGCTCTGTCGCCCAGGCTGGAGTGCAGTGGTGCCATCTCGGCTCACTGTAAACTCCGCCTCCCGGGTTCAAGCGATTTTCCTGCCTCAGCCTCCTGAGTAGCTGGGATTACAGGCGTGCGCCACCACGCCCAGCTAATTTTTGTATTTTTAGTAGAGACGGGGTTTCACCATGTTGACCAGGCTGGTCTTGAACTCCTGACCTCATGGTCCGCCCGCCTTGGCCTCCCAAAGTGTTGGGATTACAGGCGCAAGCCACCACGCCCAGTCATGTATATTTTCAAATCAAATTTTTCCTTAAAACTATGACAAGTATTGTTCCATACTGCTATATAGTCTTCACAATCAGTGTTGCATTGCTGCACGACATTCTACTGAGAGGATATCCTATAATTTCTTTAACCATTCTCCTATTGGTGGACATTCGGGTTACTTCCAAGTTTCCCCTAATATAAATATGGCCACAGTGTATATTTTTGTTCACAAAGTTTTCACCACATTTGGAATTATTTCCCTAGATTTGCAAAGTCATAACTACTGTGGCAAACAATACAAATATTTTAAGGCTTTTGATATAATCTGCCAAACTGCTAACCACAACGGTTATGCCAACCAGAAAGGTATGAACACACCTATTTCATTCTGTTCTTGTCAGCGATGGGCACTACTAAATCAAATCAAAACTTATGAGACTGTTGGAAATCTGAACACTGAACTACATGCTTGATAATACTGGAGCGTTATTATTGTATGAGATGTGGGTGTCATGGTTCTGCTTATGTGCTTTTGGAACCCTTTGAGAAATACGTACTGAAATATCTACAGATGAAGTGATACCATGGCTGTTATTTGTTTCAGAAGAGTAACACAGGGAGGGAAAAGGAGGTGGAGGTGGAGGTGACAAGATTGGCCAAGAGTTGGTCATTGTTGAAGCTGGGATGGGTTCATGGGGTTCTTTGTACTATTTCATTTACTCGTGTATATGTTTTTAAATCTTCCATAATAAGAAGTTTTTAAAAATCAATTAAGTTGGCACTTTGGGCAGGGAAGGGGTTTGTTGGATTTTACTTTTGCCACTTTATTACAAGTCTGCTCGTATCAGGATCCAAATATGGTCCACACAATGTGACTGGTTGACATGTCTCATAAGTCTTTCCCAAACTAAAGAGATCCCCCTCCCAACCCCATGTCCCCATTTTATGTGCTGAAGAAACTGGGTTATCTCCTACAGAGTTTTCCACAGTCTGGATTTTGCTGGTGGCATCCCAGTGGTATACTTTAACATGCTGCTCCTTCCTCTGTATTACCTGCCAATTGATAATTAGATGAGATGCAGGTTTGATTTTTTTTTTTTTTTTTGGCAAGATGACTTCCAGGGCTATAGTAGTTTATGGATAGTCAGTATGAAAAGTCTTGCACTGGCTTACTTTTGGGATCTTCTGAATCCATAAAGCTCTATGAAGTTTGTCAATTCTTATTTATTTATTATTTTTGAGATGGAGTCCTGCTCTGTCACCCAGGCTGGAGTGCAGTGGGGTGATCTTGGCTCACTGCAACCTCTGCCTCCTGGGTTCAAGCGATTCTCCTGCCTCAGCCTCCTGTCACCACACCCAGCTAATTTTTGTATTTTTGTTTAGTAGAGACAGGGTTTCGCCATGTTGACCAGGCTGGTCTCGAACTCCTGACCTCAGGTGATCCACCCGCCCTCGGCCTCCCAAAGTGCTGGGATTACAGGCGTGAGCCACCGCGCCCAGCCAATTCTTATTTTTTATAGAGCCAAAAAAGATCCTGGTGCTCATCTAAGTTGAATAGGCATAGAATTATGGCTTTATGCATTTTTTTTTTTTTGAGATAGTCTCGCTCTGTCTCCCATGTTGGAGTGCAGTGGCACAATCTTGGCTAGTGCAACCTCCCTTCAAAGTTCAAGCGATTCTCCTTCCTTGCCTTTTCTAGTTGCTGGGATTACAGGCGTGTGCCACCACGCCCGGCTAATTTTCATATTTTTAGTAAAGACAGGGTTTCACTATGTTGGCCAGGCTGGTTTTGAACTCCTGACCTCATATGATCCTCCCACCTTGGCCTCCCAAAGTGCTGGGATTATAGGCATGAGCCACTGCGCCCGGCCTGGATTTTTAACATGGTAATAATATACCCAGTTTTGAAGCCTAACATTTTGAGGCTTTAGAATCAGGTCTCGGCTCTGCTGTTGGAAAGCCTGGCCTAGCTACCTACCTTCTCTGAACATCTAAATGGAGATAATGGCACTCCCATCTCAGAGTGACTGTGAGGAGTCAGTGAGACAATGCACAGGTGAAGGGGATGGCACAGGGCCTGGCACAGGGAGTGCTCAGTGGCAATGCTATTGTTACTTGGCCCAAACCCCTGTTTGGACTTTATGGAGGTGAAACGGTTTGAAGCCAGTTAACGTCAAAGCTGGAACCAGAACTGCTGCTGTAGCCAGGTCAGTGAACTGGCTGACCTGGTCCTTATGTTAATTTTCCCTCCTGCTGTCACAACTGGGGCTACAGGAAGCTGAGAGGGGGTGACAGTTGTGCTGGACCTGAAGGATGAATAAGACTGTGGGGTCTGCTGAGCGACCACTGAGCAGAAAGTGCCTGCAAGCCTGAGGGTCAGGCAGCCAGACCTCCTGGCGGTGGCCATTTGGTGTGCAAATCAATTGCTCCTACTCTCCAGCACTGTGCTTCAGGCCCTCATTCTCCACTTGCAGGCAGTGTGACCCAGGGCAACTCAGACAACCTCTGGTGCCTGTTTACTCAGCTGTGAAATGCGGTGGGACCTTTTGAGGAAATTGAAGGAGGCGATCCATGTAAAACTTGGGCCTAGGGGTGCGGTGGACAGCAAAGCTCAATGGCTGTTAGCGTCCTTTCTCTTCGGAGTGTGGTGCAGCAGGAAGGGTAACGTAACAGGAGCCCTCCTGGCTCTGCCATCGAGATGGAGCCTGGTGTGCGCTCTCTAGCAGACCTTCCAGCCCTCACATCGCTCTACAATGATTCCGATTCTCATGTGTCTGGCATGTGCCAGTTTCTAACGTATCTGCATGCACCAGGTTGTAGTGACCTTGAACTTTTTGATAGACTGATAAAGAGATGCAGCACATAGAGGCCAATGGGCATCTTTCCACAAACTAGCCAATGCTGGTCACAGTCAGAAGCAAAACGCCCACCGACGGGGGCTACAGGTCGGCTCTTGGCAACTGCTATAGGATACCACTAATAAAAGCTAATGCCATCTGGTAATGAAGCGAGCTTGCTGTTGCCAAGGTAACACTTTTCTATACCAAGCAGCACATTTCCAAAGAGCTTGCTCACTACTCATGGTAGAGAGTCAGGGGAGGCACTATGTTTCCTGTGCAGGCATCAAGGTGCACTTGAAGAGGAAGCCCAGCCCGCCTCCCATCTGGCCATCGCCTCCCAGAAGTGCATTTATAAAACCTGCCCCTGCCTAGCCCCCCCATCAGGTCAGCTGCACTCTGGGCAGCGAGCGGGGGCCGAAACCAGTGGTCTTCTCTATCTGCTTTTCCAGCAATCGCCTGCCAAGCTGTATTCCACGAAGAGAATTTCTAATCCACTGTGGCAAGGCAAGTCACAAGACAGGAAAGGAAAAGTGGGAGGAAAGTAGAAAAAGTATTTAGTTCAGCTCTGCCAACTGACGTCTAACAAAAACCTAACAAATCTGGTGGTTGAAATGATATCTCTACTGCCTGACCATGTGAGCTGAGAAGGTGAGAGGAGCTGGTCACTTAAAATGATCTTCCCCCAGAACTCGTGTAGGGGGAAAAGTGCTTTGAAACTGAGCGGTATCTGCATCTAGGATCAGGGGAGGTGAGCTGACCAAAAACTTACCTGCACGAGGAACCCGGGGCCAGATAGCATCCCCAACCTGGCAGAAAGCATGTGTGTGGGAGGTGAAGGGGGATAGTTCAGGGGTTTGTCAGTTAGACAAATGGTGGCATGTCTAAGCCCTGCTTTGGGGAGGGGAGTGTGTTATTAAAAAAGAATTAAAAAGAAGCCAACTATTTATGTAAAACCATCCATGAATGTTATTTTCTGTATACAAAATAAAAGTCTGATATGTAGGCGCCCTTAAGGGATCTGTTGTAATTTAAATGATGTTTTTCCAAGTACAGCAGAAAGAAAGAGAGAGGGAGAGGGAGAGAGAGGGAGGGAGAGAAAAAGAGGGTAAGGGAGAAGGAGGGAAGGAGAGAGGAGAGAGACACAGAGGAGGAGAGGGGAGACACAAGGAGAGGGGGGAGAGAAAGAAAGAGGGGGAGAGAGAGGTGAGAGAGACAGAAGAAGAGATGGGGAGAGAGAATGAGGGAGGGAGGGGGGAAGGAGGGGAGAGAAGAAGGAAGGGTGGAAAGGAGGGGCTGGCGGGCACACCCAAAGGAGATTTAGGAAGTGTTTTCCTTCATACAATATTGAGAACTTTTCTCTTTGTACTAATTCCAAAGAAAGAACAGGCTAAGGTAAGTGAGTGCAGTGAACAATGTCTTGTTGAAGAAATGTCTGTACTGTGTGCAACACTGGGCAAGGACACTGATTCACAGAATCATAGAACTGTAGGCTGAAAAGGATATAAACAATCATTTTCTCTAACTCTCCCATGTCTAAAGAAGTAAACTGAGGCCTAGGGAGGTTAAGAAGTATCAAATGTGGCTCCTACCTTAAAGAAGGTAACAAAATCGACATATGCCCGGAGTCACTGGAGGGCACCTAAAGTGCTCTGCCACCTGGAGCTCACAATGTGCTTGAGGAACGGAGGGAGGAGGGCACTGCCTCACTGAGCTGTCTGGCACAACCAGAAAATGCCTGGTTCAGCACCTGCCTAATTCACCGCACATTTTGAAAGGGTGGAGTTGGCTATGTAGATGAGCAGTTCCCAAATGGGGTTCCAAATGGGAATCTCCTCCAAGAGGTGTTTTTAGATACGGTCTGTAAAAGCTCATCAGTGCCCCTATACTTTTCCTAGGGGGTCTTTCCTCCATATCATGCAGATTTACCCCTTTGCTCTGGAACAAGGGCAGGTGCATGCACACAGGGCAGGCAACTTTCTCCTCTGTCTGCCTAACAACCCGGGATTCAGCCCAGGCAGTTGTCTTATTCCCATTCTTAATAGAAGGAAGCTGAAGTTTTGAAAGATTTGAGTCGAAGGTCACTGGTTTTCTGTGAAGGGCCAGAAGCTGTCTCTTGCTGTTTCCCTACCTCATGCCTGGCCCATGACCCCACATCCATGCAAATCACAAGCAATGGTGACCAAAGAGCCTTGAGTCATGGACTCCTCCAGCCACCCAGCAATCCTCCTCCAGGGCTCTGTTAAAGGGCTTAAAGCCTTGCCGATCGAGACTCCTGGCTTCCCTCACAAATGACTTCATACACACACCACTGACCCCATCTCTAAGACGCTAATAAACTACTTGCTTCTTCTACTTGTAGCATTTTTTAAAAAGTTAGCACTCTGAATTCTGCACAGCTGCTAGGTATGTGTAGCCCTGACAGAGTCGTGCTGGGCGGAACTGTCCTCTTAACAGCAGGCTCGAGAGCTGCGGCAGCAAGGGGGATGAGGGAAACTGGCTGTTGCTTCTTTCTAGGAAAACTGTAAAATTGGATACAACCAAAAGAAAACAGAGACAGACCAACTCTGAAAGGCTGAAACTCTGGCAGAGCTGGGGCAAAGAAGATAAACTGTCATGCCAAGGAAGAGGGGGCCACCAGGACTGTATCGAGCGGGACAGTAACTGAATCATAAAAAGAAAACGGAGCGATGTGACTTGGAAACCAAGAGGTCAGACCGAGGGACTGTCAAAGCTAAAACCGATGTTCTTCCATACTGAAGGTCACTCATTTTGCTCTGCAAAACCAAACCAGTTGTGCCTCTGATGATAAAACACAATGTAATATAATGTGATACAGGAAAGGAGAAATGGCCCTGGGGGTGGCTCCCGTGTCCAGACTAGACTCCAGATACAAAGTTGTTATAGCCCTAAGAGGGGAATTATATTTTTCCTTTGACAAGGTCCCAGGAAAAATGAGGCAGACAAACTGAATTTAGGGTCTGTTTGCCAACAAGTCAGAAACCAACGTGCCAGCAAGATGGGAGCTACAGTTCTGGACTCTGGGAGGAAAAAAGACCTGCATTTGTGTCTTGGCTCTGCTCCTTCCTGGCTATGTGACCTTGAACAAGTCACTTACCCTCTTTAGGCTCCAGTTTTCTTGCCTGTCAACCCTGGAAGGAATGACACCATGCATGTGAAGTGCTCAGCACCACATCTGAACCATGAGAGTGCTGGGTCAGTGGTGGCCACGGGTGTATTAGTCCATTTTCACAGTGCTGATAAAGACATAACCGACATTGGGCAATGTACAAAAGAAAGAGGTTTATTGGACTTACAGATCCACATGGCTAGGGAGGCCTCACAATCATGGCGGAAGGCAAGGAGGCGCAAGTCACATCTTATGTGGATGGCAGCAGGCAAAGAGAGAGCTTGTGCAGAGAACACCCATTTTTAAAACCATCAGATCTTGTGAGATCCACTCATTATCATGAGAACGGCACGGGAAAGACCCACCCCCATGATTCAATCATCTTCCACCAGGTCCCTCCCACAACACGTGGGAATTATGGGAGCTACAAGATGAGATTTGGGTGGGGACACAGAGCCAAACCATATCACAGGTGTTACCCCATTAGTCCCCTCGGCACAGGGAAAGGCAGAGTGGGATAACCAGGGGTTTGGAGCCTGAGACCCAGGTTCAGATACTGCTTCTGCCATGTACAGAGCAGAGTGGCCCTGGGAAAGGCGGCCCACATGCACCTGGGCTTTCTTACTTCCAACATGGAACCCTCTCTAAGGACTGCACAGCTGATGCTATTGAGCGTCCACGAGAGCTACTATTGGACACTGCACTCAGTAGGCACTCCCTGTATGGTGGCAAATATTATCACTGTTGTCATTATTATTTTTTTTAGAGACAGTGTCTCACTCTGTTGCCCAGGTTGGAGTGCAGTAGCATGATCTCAGCTCACTGCAACCTCCACCTCCCAGGCTCAAGTGATCCTCCTGCCTCAGCCTCCCAAATAGTTGGGACTATAGGCATGCGCCACCACACACAGCTTTTTTTTTTTTTTTTCTTTTTTTTGAGATGGAGTCTCACTCTGTCACCTAGGCTGGAGTGCGGTGGCGTGATCTCGGCTCACTGCAACCTCTGCCTCCCGGGTTCAAGTGATTCTCCTGCCTCTGCCTCCTGAGTAGCTGGGATTACAGGCATGCAACCACCATGCCTGGCTAATTTTTGTATTTTTAGTAGAGACGGGGGTTTCACCATGTTGGTCAGGCTGGTCTCAAACTCCTGACCTCGTGATCCACTTGTCTTGGCCTCCCAAAGTGCTGGGATTACAGGCGTGAGCCACTGCGACCAGCCCAGCTATTTTTTGTATTTTTTGTAGAGATGGGGTTTTGCCATGTTGCCCAGGCTGGTCTTAGACTCCTGGACTCAAACAGTCCATCTGCCTCAGCCTTCCAAAGTGCTGGGATTACAGGTGTGAGCCACTGCGGCCAGTCTGTTATCCTTGTTTTTAAAAATTATTAAACACCCTGCCTAATAAGACGTGTTTTATTTTTATATTTTTCTTATTTTTTTAGAGACAGGGTCTTGCTCCATTACCCAGGCTGGAGTACAGTGGTATGATCATAGCTCACTGCAGCCTGGAACTTCTGGACTAATTTTTCTTTTTTCTTTTCTTTTTTTTTTAAATAGAGATCGGGGGGGAGCGGTCTCACTATGTTGCCCAGGCTGGCCTTGAACTCCCGGCCTCGAGCAGTCCTCCTGCCTTGACCGCCCAAAGTGCTGGGATTACAGGTGTGAGTCATTGCACCTGGCCAACAAGGTTTTTTTATGAGGTAGCTTATTCCACTCACGAGTGAACTGGGGTCATTTGCTAAAGAGCCATCAATGTTAACAAGTTGGGCAGCACTTCCAATTTTCCTTAGCTCTTCCATATTCTCCTCTCTTCTAAATTCAGAATATCCTGGTTGGAGGGGAATTTCAACACAGTGGACTAATCCATTTACCAAGTGTTATAAAAGGTTTTCATGCCTGGGAAGGGTTATGAAATAGTTTTCCATCTCACATTGTAAATATAAAATTCTTCACAATCTTCCTATCTCATCTCGTCTCCCTTTCAATAATAACAACACAAGTTCACATAAAATGTAAAGAAACAAAGACAGAATAGAGAATTGTGCTTCCCAATCTTGGTTTCATGCTACCTCTGGGCTTCCCTTGCAGTCTTGGGAAAAATCCCCCAAACTATCAAAATTAGCTCATTTAATTTATAAAACGTATATTCAAATATATAAAATATAGCCCTTCCAGGGAAAGTGAATACAGAATGAATGCCAATGCCTGTATAAAAATAGGGCCTCCAATCCAAAAAGATTCTATGTGAATCAAGTGGGATACAGGTTACCTGACAAAATGGGAAGCTACTGTTTTCTTGAACATACTGAAAATGTCAAGGTGCTCCTAACAGATGTGAAGAGGAATCCTCGACAGCACACGTCCTTTATCTGTACATGACACTGAACATGACAGTAATGAAGCCTGCCTCACACTGTGTTCCTGTCTCACTGAAACTACCTGCCACCCAAGGAAGCTGCTGTTTTCTGTGCTGGGTGGAACCAGCTGGCCCAGGGGTAGGCACCCTACACAGTGGCCTGGTAGAGAAGGCTCTGCCTCATACTGCTTAGGCCAACAAAACTGCGTCCTTCCAGGACCAGGTACGGTGGCTCATGCCTGTAATCCCAGCACTTTGGGAAGCCGGGATGGGAGAATTTCTTGAGCCTGGGAGGTTGAGGCTACAGTGAACTGTGATCAAGCCATTGCTCTCTAGCTTGGGTGACAGAGCAAGAGCAAGACCTTGTCAAAAAAAAAAAAAAAAAAAAAAAAAACAGAAAAAGAAAAAGAAAAAGAAAAGAAAAAACCAACCTGCCTCCTTCCAGAATTTGGACTGCAGAACATGGAAAAGAACCCAGAGCTGCCTTGGACTGCAAATTGTTCGCCCTTCCAGTTCCTTCTTCCTCCCATCTACCCAGCAAATATCTGTTAAATACATATTATGTGCAGGCCAGGCATTAGGCACCCAGAGTGAGAAATGAAATAGACATTCACAGAGCTAACAGTCTAGTGAAGGAGACAGGCAATGAAGAAGTGTATAAATACAGACATAGAAATTGCAAAGAGTTATGAAGGAAATGAACAAAACGGGGATAGCTTAAAGAGAGATTACTCAGGTAATATCTACATGTGAAAAAATGACATTTAGAACAGATCACTCAATTATTCACTTGCTCACTCATTTACTCAAATATTTATTAAGTACCCACCACGTGCCAAGCATCGTTCTAAGGACTGGAGACTGAGCAGGGAATACAACAACTTGTGCTCTCAGGCTTGTACATTCTTGGATGGGGGAGGGGGTTGTGGGCAGATAATAAACAAAAAATATTTGGTCCGTATGGGGCTGTGAAGACAACAAAGCTAACAAGGGGGTTGGTTCAAGTTTGATTGAAACCTACTGGGTAAGACAAGGTCATCCATGCCCAGTGCCGGAGCAGAGCAGCACAGGCCGAGAGGGCAGCACCTGCAAAGGCCTGGCATCCTAGGAACAGAAAGGAGGTCGGACAGGTGGGCAAGAGTGTGGCTGGCCACCAGGGGCCTTTGAGACTCTGATGAGGAGCTGAGTTTTGTCTGGGTGAAATGGAAAGCTACTGTAGGGCTTTCAGTAGAAAAGTGGCATGTCTGATGTGTGCTTTTAAAGGAACACCTTCCTGGCTGCTTTGTGGAGGCATCAAGAGAAGAAATGGAAAGACCAGGAGAGGGAATGATGGTGTTACTGAAAAGGGATCCTGATCCAGACCCCGAGAGAGGGTTCTCGGATCTTGTGCAAGAAAGAATTTGAGGTAAATCCATAAAGTGACAGCAAATTTATTAGGAAAGTAAAGGAAAAAAAGAATGGCTACTCCATAGACAGGCTGCTCAACTGACTATACTTACAGTTTCTTCTTGATTAGATGCTAAAGAAGGAGTGGATTATTCATGAGTTTTCCAGGAAAGAGGTGGGTATTTCCCAGAACTAAGGGTTCCACTCCTTTTTAGACTATATAGGTTAACTTCCTGACATTGCCAGGGCATTTGTAAACTGTCATGGTGCTGGTGGGAGTGTCTTTTCAAATGCTAATGCATTATAATTAGCATATAATGAGTAGTGAGGATGACCAATGGTCACTTTTGCTGCCATCTTGGTTTTGGTGGGTTTTGGCTGGCTTCTTTACCACAACCTGTTTTATCAGCAAGGTGTTTGTGACCTGTACTTGTGCTGACCTCCTATCTCATCCTGTGACTAAGAATGCCTAACGTGCTCTCCCTCTCCCTCTCCCTCTCCCCACGGTCTCCCTCTCCCTCTCTTTCCACGGTCTCCCTCTGATGCCGAGCCGAAGCTGGACTGTACTGCTGCCATCTCAGCTCACTGCAACCTCCCTGCCTGATTCTCCTGCCTCAGCCTGCGAGTGCCTGCGACTGCAGGCACGCGCCGCCACGCCTGACTGGTTTTCGTATTTTTTTGGTGGAGACGGGGTTTCGCCGTGTTGGCCGGGCTGGTCTCCATCTCCTAACCGTGAGTGATCCGCCAGCCTCCGCCTACCGAGGTGCCGGGATTGCAGACGTAGCCTCGTTCACTCAGTGCTCAATGGTGCCCAGGCTGGAGTGCAGTGGCGTGATCTCGGCTGGCTACAACCTCCACCTCCCAGCCGCCTGCCTTGGCCCCCCAAAGTGCCGAGATTGCAGCCTCTGCCCGGCCGCCACCCCGTCTGGGAAGTGAGGAGCGTCTCTGCCTGGCCGCCCATCGTCTGGGATGTGAGGAGCCCCTCTGCCTGGCTGCCCAGTCTGGAAAGTGAGGAGCGTCTCTGCCCGGCCGCCATCCCATCTAGGAATTGAGGAGCGCCTCTTCCCGGCCGCCATCACATCTAGGAAGTGAGGAGCATCTCTGCCCGGCCGCCCATCGTCTGAGATGTGGGGAGCGCCTCTGCCCCGCCGCCCCGTCTGGGATGTGAGGAGCGCCTCTGCCCGGCCGCGACCCCGTCTGGAAGGTGAGGAGCGTCTCTGCCCGGCTGCCCCATCTGAGAAGTGAGGAGACCCTCTGCCTGGCAACCGCCCCGTCTGAGAAGTGAGGAGCCCCTCCGCCCGGCAGCCGCCCCGTCTGAGAAGTGAGGAGTCTCTCCGCCCGGCAGCCACCCGGTCTGGGAAGTGAGGAGCGTCTCCGCCCGGCAGCCACCCTGTCCGGGAGGGAGGTGGGGGGGTCAGCCCCCCGCTCGGCCAGCCGCCCCGTCCAGGAGGTGAGGGGCGCCTCTGCCCGGCCGCCCTACTGGGAAGTGAGGAGCCCCTCTGCCCGGCCAGCCGCCCCGTCCGGGAGGGAGGTGGGGGGGTCAGCCCCCCGCCCGGCCAGCCGCCCCGTCCGGGAGGTGAGGGGCGCCTCTGCCCGGCCGCCCATACTGGGAAATGAGGAGCCCCTCTGCCCGGCCACCACCCCGTCTGGGAGGTGTACCCAACAGCTCATTGAGAACGGGCCAGCATGACAATGGCGGTTTTGTGGAATAGAAAGCGGGGAAAGGTGGGGAAAAGATTGAGAAATCGGATGGGTGCCGTGTCTGTGTAGAAAGAAGTAGACATGGGAGACTTTTCATTTTGTTCTGTACTAAGAAAAATTCTTCTGCCTTGGGATCCTGTTGATCTGTGACCTTACCCCCAACCCAGTGCTCTCTGAAACATGTGCTGTGTCCACTCAGGGTTAAATGGATTAAGGGTGGTGCAAGATGTGCTTTGTTAAACCGATGCTTGAAGGCAGCATGCTCGTTAAGAGTCATCACCACTCCCTAATCTCAAGTACCCAGGGACACAAACACTGCGGAAGGCCGCAGGGTCCTCTGCCTAGGAAAACCAGAGACCTTTGTTCACTTGTTTATCTGCTGACCTTCCCTCCACTATTGTCCTATGACACTGCCAAATCCCCCTCTGCGAGAAACACCCAAGAATGATCAATTAAAAAAAAAAAAAAAAAGAACTTTAATAAAAGAATGCCTAACGTCCTGGGAATGCAGCCCAGAAGGTCTCAGCCTTATTTTACCCAGCCCCTATTCAAGATGGAGTTGCTCTGGTTCAAATGCCTCTGACAATAGCAGCTTCAACTAGGGTGGTGGCAGTAGAGAAGTGAGAAGCCAATCAATTTAGGAATTGATATGATTTGCTGATGGAGTGGATATGAGGAGTGAGAAAAAAGGGGAAACTACGTAAGGAAGCCTGCAGGCTTCTGGTTTGAGCACCAGGTAATGACTTTGCTATTTATTGAGAAGAAGAAGGGAAAAAACCTGGAGGGGAAATATCACTTCCTTTTCACCAAGTTTAGGATACTTTTGAAATATGTAAGTGAAGAGATGTTAAATGGGCAGGCCAGGCACAGCTGAGGGCTGAGCTAGAGATAGTTCAATTTTATGAACAATAATAATAGGCCCTCTTTTTCAAGGTAGCCTGAGTGAATCTCAGATAAGCTGATGCTCATCCTAAACCCACTCCTGTGAGCAGCATTAGTGTGGACTCTGAGGGGCTCAAGGGGGCTCTTCCCCAAAAGTGGTGGGCCCCTGGACTTAAACAGGACTGTCCTCTTGATAAGGCAGATTCAAGTCCAGGTGAAGGTGGTCCCCACACAGACCTGCCGCTTGCATTAGAAGGGTGCCACAGCAGCACTGGCTTTTTAATATTTTGTCTGTAGGATATATGCCAACTTGACCTTGATGTAGACAATTTTAATACAAATCAATATGTGGACAAGGTCACTTTAAAAATCCAATTAATATGAATGGAAAAATATGTCCCACAGTTCTGTGAGCTGAAAGTGGAACAGTTGCAAGTTAGCAACAACGAGAGAGGCAACCAAACAACACTGTTTGGGTTCTTGTGTGTCTGAGAATGCAGCTCTCTGTGTCCTTAGATACATGAGGTAGTTAGAATACTGAAAACTTTTTTATTTTGCTTCTATTTAGGGTAGCTTAAAATTAAACTGTAGTTTGTTTGAAGAAAAACATAAGATGTACTGAAAACTGTGAATTCCTATAACCTAATTTTAAATAAATTAAACTCTGGACTTCAACTCACCCAGGAATCCCTAGAGAAATCTAAGGCTTTTATAAGATTTGAATAGTAGCAGTTTGCATTTATGTAGAATGCATTTACAAAACTGTTTGCAATGATCACCACGATATAAGGGGAAACCGAGGCGCTGGTATTTAAGAGTCTTGTTTATTCCTACAAGCATTATTCAACCAGGGCTCTAGGCACTTCCTTCTCAGATTTACCACCTCTACCCCTATATTTTACTCCTGATTAATGAGAAAATTTTATTTTATGCCAAGAATTACACAACCACACAATAAATTATAGGAATGTATTATGTATTACTATTATTACTGGATTCTTCCATATTGTTCTATTTTCCTTGTTACATTGTATCCCATTTGGAATCTCAGCTTTTCTATCCTTAAACCAGGTTGTAAGAGAATATAAATGATTAAGCATCTACCTAAAGACAAAACTGCCTTGTAACATCAAGGAACAGCAGCAAATTATGTAAAATCAGAATGTGATATTAGGGGTGCCAGTGAAATAACATAAACCTGTTTCTCAACTCATTTACATTTGGATTTTTTTTTTAAAGGGCTACTGAAGGGCCCAGAGCTGAGTAATACAGAAAAGTCCCACACTTTGCATGGCTTTTTCAGCATCCTAGGGAATCCTCACGGATTTGAAGTGCAGATGTCCTGCTATGCAGGGCTGAAAAGAAAGCTTCCATCTAAACAACACCGGCTAAGGTCACAGACAATTGTGTGAGTGTGTCTGTTCACCTCCACAGATTACACTGCAGCGACAAATTAAAAAGAGCCCAACTCTTTGCAGCCAAAGGACAAGCTGCTGCCTTGCATAATGTCTGCTCTGTCCTCCCCTCCTGGACTGGTGCGGAGGATCGTTCTGCATTTTCCTTCGTTCGAAAATAATACAAACCAGCAGACTTCCCATCTATCCCTCCCCACCCCCCACAACCACCAGTTACCTCATCTGCCACTAGTATTAATGCTCTTCATATACTCATTATTTTTTAATGATGCCTGTTTGTAAATAGCAAGATGGGATGCAATTAAACCATGAGAGGCTAAATAAACATACATACTAATTAGGATCTTTACAAGAGATTTTTTTTTCATGTATAGACTGGAATTTACCTTTCATTAATCTAACTTAATTGCAATAGTGCACCAATAAAGAGTCAACACAAATTAAGTGCTCTAAATGATTTCCCCATATTAAGGATGAGCAAGTGATCCTTCCTTTGGGTAACAAGCCATAGCGTGCAGGAGGAGGAGACTAAATGGGAAAACAGTACCACTAAACATTAGGAGGATTTTGGCACTAAGATAGGTATTGACACCATTATCAGAATGCTGGTGCTTCAGATGCCTGAAGTTAATGAGGTCAAGGTCACAGGTTCAAACTGCAGCTTCATCCCTCTTGCAAGTCAACTAGCTTTGCTTGGTTCCATGGTAGCAGACATCACCCCTTACATGTGTCAGCTGTCACTGGTTCCAAGAGAGACCAAATAAGGGTTTGGAACAATGGGTTCAAATCCATTCCCACTCCTAGAATAATAATGGCCAGGAACATTTGCTTCGTGGCAAGGCAGTAGATATTTCTGTATGAAAAGAACATCTGTTATTTGCAGGAAAAGAAAAGTTCTCATGTTTTAACCTTTGATTCTAGAAGGTGTGAAAGATTATATACATTTGGCAACTAACTTGAAGCAAGAATATGATGGTATATCAACATTAGATATAGTCTTTTAGCAAAGATGCAGAGTACCTAGCAACGTATTCATTAAACAGGTGCTGACTGAGCCCTGCCTAGCTAGCAGGTGCTGTGCATGGTCAGGAATCTAGAAAAATGTCACTCATCTAGAGCACTCTCCATCCTTTACATATTTTACTTTTCCTTCCCTGATCACTGCTGTTAACTGTCTATTGCCTTTCTCTCCTGGTCAAACACAGACATGCATGGAGATGCAGTGGCCCCAACTTCCCTGCTGCCCCACAGCTGAGCCAGTGGTACCTCTGCCTTAGAACTTGGCAAATCTTAAAAAGCAAGGGCCTGAAAAGTCCAGAAAGGCAAGGGGGCTAAGCCTACCACCCCGAGGAACTGAGACTCTATATTAAACTATATAACCAAGAGACCAATTAGATTCTGGAGTTCCTAATTTAAAAAGAAGTATTTGGGAAGCTCTCCTTGACATTTTCCAAAGTCTACTTCATGAAAAGGGGTCTGTGGTCAAGCATGTCCAGGAAACAACATGCTCCTCTTGAAGATTCAGTGTGTATGAATTAAAGGCTCTGAAAAGGACTGCAACTAAGGAAAGTGCTTAGCTTTCTTTAACCAGTGAGTGCTTCCTAAACTTACTGCACACATGAACTTCCTTAAGAATTAGTGTTCCAAGAAACCCACTTTGGGAAACACTGTTACATTAGTATCAGGAAAAAAATAACTCGCTATTCAACCAGGCACTGGTAGCCTGGATCCTGGTTTTGTGGTTTGATACCACACCTGACTTCACTCACTCCCATGTCACTCCCTGCAGGCAAAAAGGTGACAGCAATGCTGCTCCCCACTCCCTCACCCCCGAGTCTGGAACCCACTGAACCTGACTTCACTGTGCCACAGACCAACAGAGGCTCCAAGGATAGGAAATGGCTCCCTGACAGACTGTGGATAAAAATCTATCAACTCTAAGACGTTTAATCGCTCCCAGTTCAAGAACTTTCAAAGATCCACTCTTAAATTCCTTTTTATGGTTACATTATAAGTCTCTGAAAACCCAGTCTTGTAACAGCATCACCAACAGCCCTCACTTAATCACTCTGGTAGATCATATATAAAAACAAAACAGAGCTAAAAAAAATCATTCCATGTTAGCGAGCAGATGTCTAGCCCATTTGCAATTAATACGACCCACTTCCATACAATCAGACTACTTAAAATTCCTGGAACAAGATGTAAAAGTTAAGATGCAAATGTTCTGATTTTAATGAGAATGAATGGAAACTATAAAATCCTCTCTCCCTTTGAGGGTAGGTACAATCTACATATAAGTCCCAACTGCACACTAAATTTATCAACAAAACAATCATTTGATAACGCTTGTGTGAAGGAAGAAAATAGAACTGGGAAAGTCAGAAGTATTTTCAGAAAGCACTGCCTACCAAAATTACATTTGATCAAAACCATTATTCTTTTAAAAAACTTCACTCATTTCAATACATTTCCCTTAGTCCCCTACATGCACTAGGAGCTTTCTGTATTTCTTTGAATCTCTGTGACCTTTTCATGGATAGTAGCAGAGGTTGATAAAGAAAGACCAGGACTTGGGCATTTCATGGATCTCACTTCAAATCCCAGCTGTACCACTTAATGTGACCTTGAACAAGTTATTGAACCTTCTGAGTCTCAGTGTTCTCATCTATAAAACAGTGATAACATCTTCGGCTGACGGGTGAGTGTGAACATCAAATAAATAATCATAAGCATATAGTAAGGGGTCAAATAGAGTCCTGAGCACACAGTAGGCATATTAAGTGGTAGCAGTCATCAGAATAATATTCACAGTGGCAGGGGCATACTCTTCTAGGATCAAAAGGCAAATCTCACTGTTCACTTGTATTTCTCCCTGTTTGAAAGGCCGTTTGTTCGGCTTACCACAGTTGCATCCCTCCCTCAATGGTCCAGTCATGAAGTCTCTCCAGGGGTCTGTATTGTCCATGGCTAGGTGGCAGTAGGTTTCTCCAGGTGTGGACCCCAGCCCAACTCCATCTGAACCAGATACCCGAGCCTGCCTCCCGCTTTACCCCATCAATTCTGGGGCGAAACTGACACTTCTAACAAGCACCGAGGGCGGTCCAATGATTCCCTGAGCCACTGGCGTGGTACCAAACGCAGGACAGCACTCTGCCAGTCTTTGCTGAATGGCACAACCAAAACTCAAACTTTAATTCCTCTAGCGCTTGCTTGTACCGCTTGTCTTCATTCATTCATTCAACAGCTCTTAACAGAACGCTTCCTTTGTGCCAGGTGCAGTTCTAAGACTTGGAAATATGATAAGTAACAAGAAATAATGTGATAAAATTATATTCTTCTGGGGGAGCTTGCAGCCTAGCAGGGGATTTGTTCAAGGATGAGGGCAGAGGGCAGGGACCTGACACTGACTTTCTTTTTATCTTTTGTGACTGGCACAAACCCTATGGAAATCAGGCACTCAAAAAGTATTTGATGACAACGATGAACAAACTCAAGACAGTAAGACTTCAAAGGTACAATAAAATCCATAGAGACTTGGTAGTGGTTCAGGAACATCCAGTAATGGGAAGCCATGTAGTACAGCAGAAAGCAAACACACTTTGGAGTCCGGCTGACTGAGGTTAAATTTTGGCTTTGCTGCTAATTTGCTAGGCAGGCAGGCAAGTTCTTCTGCCTCTCTGTGCAGTACCTTCCTCTGAGGGCTGCTGTGAGATTACACTGTAAAATGGTGCATTCCTATCATGAATGGTTATTGGGCATTCAGCACGAGCCAGGTGCTACTGTATATGAGGGATACAAAAGCGTTGTACACTGAGGATACAGCAGTGACCAAAACAGTCTCTATCCTCACAGAGCTCTCATTCTAGTGGGTGGAGCCTGGAAACAAGAAACAAATAACATGGGGAAGAGATGGGTCACGTAGGGGCTTAGAGATCATGGTAAGGATGTCTCTTGGTGCAATGGGAAGCCCGTGGATTCTCCTGAGCAGAACAGTGACACTGCACAAGTGGCACTCTAGCTGCTGTGCAGATTACATGGGTGCAAGGGTGGAGGCAGAGAGGCCAGTTGGGAGGATGTGGAGAAAGATGGCAGCCTGAACTGGGTGGCACTGGGGAAAGGTGAGTGAATTCTGGATATGCTTCTCAGGAAGAACCCATGGAATTTACCAATGGATTGATTGTGAAGTATGGGAGAAAGACGAGGCAAGGACAACTCCAAGAATTCTGGCGTGGGCAACAGGAAGAATCTCAAGCAGCAAATGTGGAAGTCAAATGGCGACATGAACAGGCAGATTAATCTGAGGCTGAAGTCCAGGGAAAGGCCAAGACTAAGGATGTCAACTTGGGTGCAGCCAGCAAATAGAACCATTTAAAGCCATGAGATGTATGAGATTATCTAGGGAGTAGGAGTAGACAGAGAGGGGACAAGACCAAAAGCTGAGCTCCCAGACACGTCAATGTTTTGGGGAGATGAGGAGCAATCTATAAAGGAGACCAAGAAGGGATAGCCAGTGAAGGGGGAGGTGACCCTGAATAAACTGTAGCTAGTATTATGATAGCTTATTTTAAGGCAAAAACTAACAAAGCATCTACTCCAAAATTCCATTTGGCAAGTCTCACACATCTTTGTAATTGAAAGAACTGGACATAGATGGATGCGCAGTGAAATAAGCATGATCAATAATGAGTCACCTTAAAAGCAGACACAAGAACTGTCACCATGGAATCCTAACTAAAAACGTAACTCAAGATGGGGAGGGGGAAAAGACAAGAATTTTCACTCTAGGTTTGATTAAAGAACCCAGATTATTTACAAAGGATTTTTGAATGGAAACAATGGCACTTTTTAATAATCACATTGCTTAGGATCAACAGTTGCTGTGGTAATTAAGTGCATGAACAAGGCCTACAACATTTCATGATCTTCAACAAGTGTCTAGTAGAAACCACTGTCCTCCCACTCCCATGCCCACTGCCCACTGGCACAGCTGTAAGCAATGCTATCTGAATTAAATAGGCAATTTTCATGGCAACCCCCAAAAGGAAGGCTTCAATTAGCTCCACTTTACAGAGTAGCAAATGACGGCACAGAGACTGACTACTCAAACTCACATGAGTAGAAATGGCCAAGCAAGGATTTGAACCCAAGCTGCCTGGCTCCAGAGCCTGCCCGCTAATTACAATTTGCTTACAAGTCAGGTTACTTACGATGATGATAAGAATGATGACTACTATTCCTGTAACTACATGTAGTACAATTAGTTAAATTAACTTTTATTAAAATCCAATATAATACAATTTATATAATCAATAATACCATAGACCATATTAGTGTAAATGCATACTAATTTTTTAATTCAATCGCCAACAGAAAGGAATTGTGCATGTCATTTTTATTAAAATTGAGCAACTGTTTTATCTCAATGTATAAACACAATGAAAAGATTAACTGGAGGAAAAATCAACTGTGTAGAATGGGATTAAGAAATAAAGTAAAATATCAAGATAAACTGCTTTTAAAATCAGTTGAAGATTTAATATAGCCCTGGAAGGTTTCAATTATTTACACGCTTGGTCTATACAGTATAAGTCCAAGTTAATGAGATTCAATTGCTATGTATAAATTTGAATCAGGACAACCCGATTGTCTACAAGAAAACAGCAGCTTGGGCCTCTGTGTTAATAACTCTTCGAAACAAAGCTTATGGGTCAGGAAGAGAAACATCATTTTTGCGGCACATTATTGACTGCAGTGGGTTTGGAGAGAAATGGCTCCATTTGGTAAAATACAAACCCTAAGACAAGTTGCAAGGGATCCACAGTCTATTGATCAATACCACTGTTCTTCGAACAACAAGGCTAACGCTAATAATTTACATTGTCTCTTTGTCCTATAGAAATTATGAAGTCCCAAGAGAACCCTTCTTTGTGAAGCTCCCTGTATCTAGTACCAAGGGCTCTGGCATGCTATGTCATGAGGTGGAACACAACAGATGTTAATAGGGCACTGGCCAGCTCCCAGCACCTCCCGGTTACCATCTTCCTAAAGGCACTGTGCACAGCAATATATGATACTGTAGGTACCATCAAATGGCATTCTAAAGCAAAGTGATCCATTTAAGATCAATCCACAATCCTCTTTGCACACAGCACACCCCTTCAATACAGGCATAAATGGGATTCTAGGGGCATAAAGGAAGGTGGGGCTATCTCGGCCTGGAAATAAGGGTAGGCATTTGAAAGATGACATTAGAGCCCCATCTCAAAGAATGCACAGCCGTTTTGCCAGAAGGGGCAGCAGGTGGAGAAGGGTGCCATAGGCAGAAATGCAGGTACAAAGCATAAAAGCACCAGGCATGGGAATCTTGTTCCTAAGGAGCCCCTGGAAATGGGAAGGTATTTTTGCTTGTCACAGTAAGTCAGGGAGCTATTGGCATTTAGCAGATTGGAGCCAGGAATGCTAAACCTTCTGCAATACGCTGGCCAGTTCCATAGACTGGAACTGAAATTGTTCCATCCAAACTGCCAACAGTGCCTCCACTGAGAAACATTAGAGAATACTGAGGATACCCAGGGAAGGGAGGAGAGAGGGAAGAAGAGGAGAAAGGTCAACTGAGGCCGGGTTATACAGACCATGTACACCACCTATCCTAGAAAGGGGGGGCTTTATCCTGCAAGCAACAGGAGCCAACAGGGTAGCAGACTGGCATCTCTGGAATGATGAGTCCAGTGTGGAAGATGAGGGGAGGCAGAGTGTTTCAAAGCAGGTAGACCAGGAGACCAATGAGACGGCTGGAGCAAGGGTTCAGACGACAGGAGATGAGAGCAGTGAAGATGGGGTGGGGGGCTAGTGTGCAGGGACGAGGTAGGCTGATAGCACATCAGGAAGAATGCATGTGGCATTGTGGGTGACAATGGGGATGCCACCCGCAATGTAATCAGTGCTAGAGATTACAGTTTGGGGTTATCTTTCACATAGTATTTGATCAATAAGCATTTGTTACAAGAATGGAGATAAGTATTGGAACAGAAAAATGTTAAATTGGAGACAAGTTGCAAGGGATCCAAAGGGTGTAGGATAAGCGTAAGACAAGTAGTCTGGCCTGAAAACATCCAGCATTTATCACTGACTAAAACTGAATTAGACAGCCTTAAAAAAATAAAAATAAAAATAAAGGTAGTGGTAGTACTATGCATTCACTCAACCCACTTTTCTAAATTTTAAAAACAGTTTCACCCTGTCTCAAAAAGGCAAGTGCCACCTGTTTCTACCTAGCATTAATTTCATACATTCAAAATATTTTAAAAGTAAAATCCAATAAAATTCCCTTGGAGGTGGAATTGCCTTCTCCAACATTTAAATTCACTATTGTAAATGCCAGCCATTGAAATATACCTGCTAGGGATAGAGGAATATGTTTTCCACCTCTTTGGGACAAATGCAGTTGAAATTTGTGGAAGGAAACCAGAGATCTGAATTACGGGGCTTTCAAAGGTATCTTTAGAAATTATGAGTCTGATGATTTGGGCACATTAGCATTTTTGAAAAAGGGGGACAATCTAGATTGCCTAACTAGGCTACTGCTAATGTAGACTAAATATTTTTGTGGAATCTTAGGGAAACTCTGTTATCCTTAAGTCCTAAACATACATTCACTGGACAGATATAAGTGCACCACTGCCTCTGGGAATGACTGTGCTGTAGAAATTAACTAAACAGACAATGTATACCTAGTAAGTAGTATTTGCCAAGCAAACAAACAAACAACTCCCTGAAATTAGTTCTAAGAAAAAACCATTTATCTCTAAATTTGACTTAGTATGTTTTTGACACAAAATAAAAACTATGTAACATAAAGTGTTTTCTTTCTGCATGACTTAGCTGTCAGAAAACTGAAAAACAGGTTTAATGCCCAAGCATTTTTTTTTCAAGCTGCTCCAGTCTGGTGCCTGAAAGCAACTCCTTCTGCTTCCTGTACGCGGCCATTTTCTTCAACAGTAGGATCTCTCCCACTGTGCTTTAATGTGCAAGCCACCAGAAATTCACCCGGAAATGAAACACACATGTTCCAGTGTACTGAGTATGAAACAAGAGTTCAGAGAATAGAAGCTGGACCTGCAGGTCAGCAGAAAGCCTACGGAGAACGGCCTCCCAGTTCTAGCTAAGGCCTATGACCAGCGTCCTTAACCTGCTTTGGGAATGAGCCTCCTATTCTAATGAAAGTCACAGACCCTCTCCCTCAGAAGAAGGCACAGAAGGACATCCACACACAGAAAACTGCGGGGTTCAGAGGTTTCCTGAAACCCATCCACCACCTCCCAGGAGTTCATGGACCCAAGGTTAAGAGCCCTGAGATAAAGATAATAGCAATTTCAAGAGTAGGGAGTAGGGAGAAGGAGGATGGGGAACTCCCACAAAATGACATTACTAGGTTTTAGACAGAATGCCGTATTTACACGGAACTTGAAATCACTTGCCTCCAAAAGATAAAAAGCCAAGTACAGCTTTGGCATACATATTTAAGATGGAAGCATAGCACATATTTTGCCTAAGAGATCTCAGAATTGAGTGGGCCCAGAACAATTTGAGGCAGTTCTCAGCCTCGGTTGCTGGGTCCTGAGTTCACCTTTGGCTACAGGGAGGTTGGAGACTCTAGGGAGCTGAGGGCCAAGTGGGTGGCAAGCAAGCAAGCATGACATGCTGCAGGCTGGGGAAGAGCTGAGCATTTGGCTTCAAGTGATTTTTTTTTTAAGGATGAAAGTTTGAACTCTCAAGTCAGACTGGGATCCAAATTGTCACTCTGTCACTTAGTACTGTAGCACTGTGGGCTTGAGCCTCTTCAAGCCTGTTTTTTCATTTGGAAAATGGGGGATAATGCCACCCACCTCCTGGGGTCCCAAGTAGGGGTGAGTACAACAGTGCGGATAAAGACTGCACACAGTGCCCAGCACAGGGAATGCTCCTAAGAACAAAGACACTGGCTGAGGAAACCTCTAGCATCAGGTCACTATGTACCCCATGAATTTTATACTTGAAAGGAAACTTTATACTGTAAATTGTAATTCTAAGAATAATGCATAATTCTTCTTCCTTTTTTTTTTTTTTTGAGATAGGGTCTCACTGTGTCACCCAGGCTGGAGTGCAGTGGCGTGATCATGGCTCACTGCAACCTCCACCTCCGGGGCTCAGGTGATCCTCCCATCTTAGCCTCCCGAGTAGCTGGGACTACAGGATATGCATCACCATGCCTGACTAATTTTTAAAATTTTTTGTAGAGATGGGGTTTTTCCATGTTGCCCAGCCTGGTCTTGAATTCTTGCACTCAAGCAATCCACCTGCCTCAGCCTCCTAAAGTGCTGGGATTATAGACGTGAGCCATCACACCTGGCCTTAATGCATGATTCTAGTAAAAGTGATCAAACAATACTTCGGTGTCTTAAGCAGAAAGTAAAGAAACTAATGATCTTGCCCCACCCACCATGACATAAACACTCCTCTCTAACAGTGCAGTGTACAGATATCCCCTCTAGCCTGTTTACAAGTGCGCTTATCAATAGGTATATGTCTGTTTTTCTCAAAACCAGGATTGCACAGTCTGTATTTCAGGCTCATTTAATAATATATCATTCCCTAATTGCTCATCTCAGTATTTGAAAGAAGACATTTAATTTTCATCTCTTTACACATACATGCATGAATCTGAATCAACACTTACTCAACCAATAATTACTCAACACCTACTATGTGCCAGGCATTCTTCTAGGGGGTTGGGACATATCAATGAACAAAAGAGACAAACATCTCTCCTGTGTGGAACTTAGGGTCTTTCCAGAGGAAACACAAAAGCAATAAGCATAACAATAAGGAAATCATATCCTACATTAGAAAGTGATAAGTACAACGAAAGAAAATAAAGGCTGTTAAGGAGATAAGGAGTTGGGGTGTAGTCAGTTGCACTTGGTGGTAGAAGAGACAGGAGAGCAGAGCCTTGAAGACTAGGAGGAATGGGGGCCTGGGGAAACCTTTGGCCAAAGGCCTTAAGGCAGCGCTGGGCCTAGTGGTGGGGGAGAGGGGGTGGAGTCAGGGCAGATGATGGGCTGTCACAGGGGACACAGGCTTTCACTGGAGGGAGATGGGGAGCCATTGGAGGTTCTGAAGAGAGAAGATACATGCCTGATTTTCCCTATAAAAGGCTCTGGCTTCACGTGGAGAACTGATGAGAGGCAGGATGGCAGTGGGGAGGCCAGGCAGGAGGCAGCTATAATAATCTAGGTGTGAGGGACCAGAGGCTTGGAGAGGGATGGCGGCATTGCGGAGAGTAGAAGCAACAGTCAGATTCTGGGCCAAACACATATCATTTCATCCAATGTGGATATCTAAATATGCATGCTTACAAATGTTAATTTCTTATTCTGAAACAACTTTAAACAATTTCAGGCTCACAGAAAGTTCCAACAATAGTACAAAGAATTCCCGTACACCCTTCATCTAGGTGTCCTGTTAGCACTACCCTGCACCTGCCGCAAACTCACATCTGCACTCTCTCTGCACACACACCCAGTCCGTCGTCAAACTGTCACCCATAAATTTTAGCATCCATTGATGATTCTTGATTCTTGTCTGAAACAATTACTATGGTTGCTACCCAATTTTCTGGTTTCTTTTACATTTCTTAGTTCACATTCTACTGTAAGAAAGAGCTTTCCTTCATCATCACTGGCCATCAGAGAAATGCAAATCAAAACCACAATGAGATACCATCTCGCACCAGTTAAAATGGCGATAATTAAAAAGTCAGGAAACAACAGGTGCTGGAGAGAATGTGGAGAAATAGGAACACTTTTACACTGTTGGTGGGACTGTAAACTAGTTCAACCATTGTGGAAGACAGTGTGGCAATTCCTCAAGGATCTAGAACTAGAAATACCATTTGACCCAGCCATCCCATTACTGGGCATATACCCAAAGGATTATAAATCATGCAGCTATAAAGACACATGCACACGTATGTTTACTGCGGCACTATTCACAATAGCAAAGACTTGGAACCAACCCAAATGTCCAACGATAGACTGGATTAAGAAAATGTGGTACATACACACCATGGAATACTATGCAGCCATAAAAAAGGATGAGTTTCATGTCCTTTGTAGGGACATGGATGAAGCTGGAAACCATCATTCTGAGCAAACTATCGCAAGGACAGAAAACCAAACACTGCATGTTCTCACTCATAGGTGGGAACTGAATAATGAGAACACTTGGACACAGGGTAGGGAACATCACACACCGGGGCCTGTCATGGGGAGGGGGGAGGGGGAGGGATAGCATTAGGAGAAATACCTAATGTAAATGACGAGTTAACGGATGCAGCACACCAGTGTGGCACATGTATACATATCTAACAAACCTGCACATTGTGCACATGTACCCTAGAACTTAAAGTATAATAAAAAATAAAATAAAATAAAATAATAAAAATAAAAATAAAAAAAGAAAGAGCTTTCCCACAGCTATTGTTAAAGAAATGAGCAATATACCGTGAGCTATTCTTACACTGATAGCTTTCAATTTTTTACCATGTATTTACTTAAATCAGTGTGGACTCAAGGATTACTACTGTATTCAATGGACTGTAATCCATTATGAGTGTTATTTATTTTGGTGTTCAATTGTCCTGGGTTTGGTGAGTAGGAGGCTCCTTTCAACTGGCTTCTGTGTCTTTTTTTTTTTTTTTTGAGACACAGTCACACTCTGTCACCCAGGTTGGAGTGCAGTGGCACGATCTTGCCTCACTGCAACCTCCACCTCCCAGGTTCAAGCAATTCTCCTGCCTCAGCCTCCTGAGTAGCTGGGATTACAGGCATGCACCGCCACACCCAGCTAATTTTTGTATTTTTATTTTTATTTTTTTCTTTTCTTTTATTATTATTATACTTTTAGTTTTAGGGTACATGTGCACAATGTGCAGGTTTGTTACATATGTATACATGTGCCATGTTGGTGTGCTGCACCCATTAACTCGTCATTTAGCATTAGGTATATCTCCTAATGCTATAATTTTTGTATGTTTAGTAGAGACGGGGTTTCGCCATGGTGGCCAGGCTGGTCTCAAACTCCTGACCTCAAGTGATCCACCATTCTCGGCCTCCCAAAGTGCTGGGATTACAGGCGTGAACCACCGTGCCCAGCCTGTGTCCTTTGATGTGTCCCTATCATTCTTTGGGCACTTCCTTACTTTCCGGCACAGCAAGATGCTCTAGGCTCATCTTTTCCTGCTCCTGTTCTGGAATCAGCCACTTCTCCAAGGAGTTCCTATTAGTGAGAATGATATTTAGAAACTAATATGTGGATGATAGTTGTGCTCACTGTTGCTGGGGTCTCACTGCTTCTAGACCTTCTCAGCAGACAGAATTGGGAAACGTGCACTCCTGTGTACAGACACATCTATATCTATTTCTACATCCATACATTAAAAACAATCCATTGATACTGATACTTCCAATCGCAGTCCAACACACTGAGGGTTGACTTTTGGCATTCTACTTTCCATCTTTATAACTTCTCTCTCCAAAGGGATGAAACTTGGCTCCCATTATCCACAATTTATTTCCGTATTTGCTCAAACCTAGAATACACATAGTTTCAGAATCACTAATCCAAACCACTGTGAAAAACCAGCCAACCAACTGAAGTTTAATATTAGTTCACAGTTATTATAATCCCTAGCTTAAGGGTTTAGGGTCAAAATGTCAAGTTCAAAGGTTACTAGTGTTAGTTCTCTATCCCTCTCCTATCCCCTAAGGCATGGTCACATTATTCAATTGAAATACATTTCAATTTACTTGTTTTGCATTCTTCTTTTTTAAAATCTTGTCCAGTTTATTTACTTTTTCAAGTATGTGAAACATTCACATGTTCTAACAGTCAGAACTACATAAGAAGGTATGCTCAGAGTCAGGCCTCCCCAACACACACCTGCTTTCCTCTATTCCCCGCTCCTCACCTGTGACATGCCTTTCCCATCTACCCACCCATAACCAATTTCTCTGCTTCAGGTTTCTCTTTCCTGTGTTGTTTCCCCAGTAGAAATGAGCAGATAAGGGTATTTTATATCTCCCTTTTTCCAGAAAAAGTAAGCGTATTAAGGATACTCTTGCATTTTGCTTTTTTTCTATTAACAATATATCCTGGCAATCACTGCATGTGAGTCATAGAGGTCTTTCTCATTCTTTTCTGAAGATGGAAAAAAAAGTGATGTGGCTCCATTGTGCGAGTGTATCATAATGTATTCAATCACACGCCTCTGCACAGGCATTTCGGCTATTTCCAATATTCTACAATTACAAACAAGCTTCAGTTAATAGTGGTATATATGTATTTTCATATATTGCTGGAAGTGTGATGTACATAGTTTTCTTAGACATTGCCAAAGTCCCTTCAAAACAGTTGGATGAATCTGCATTCTCATTAGCAAGGTATGAGAGGGCGTTTCCCCACAGCCTTTACCAACAGAACCTGTTGTTATGTTTTTTTAATTTTTGCCAATCTGGTAGGTGAGAAATGGTACCTCAGTGCAATTTTAATTCGCATTTCCCTAATTATGGGTAAGGTTGAACATCTTTTCATCTGTTTAAGTATCTCATATATATATTTAAAATTTGGTGAATTGTCTGTTTCTTTTCCTCATTTTCTATCCCATTTTTGGTGTTTTACCCTATATTTTTATGATTTAAAAAATAATTTTAGGGATATTAGTCCTGTCTGTAATGTATGTTGCAAATATTTTCTCCCAGCTTGGCTGTCTTTTGATTTTCTAATGATGTTTTTGACCATCTGAAGGTGTTTTTCCTTTTTATGACTGAGGCCCTACTGACCTGAGATGCCACCTGCATCATACTCAATTTCCACATGTACTTGGGTCTATGTCTAGGCTATTTTATTCTACTAGCCTGTTTGTCTACTTATGAGCCAGTACTGCACTGTTCTAATGATACAGGTTTTAGGGTATGTTTTAATGCTTGACAGGGCTAGCTCCCTTGGTAGCTTTTCTTTTTGTGGTGTTTTCCTATCCTTTAATGCATACCTATTTTTCCACATCATCACCACCTTTAAAAAGCTTTCAATAAGTGTGTTAAATTAATTCATATTTATTGATATGACTGATATGTGTGGTCTCAACTTGGTCATATCATTCTATAGTTATGTGTGTAATATTTTCAGTGTTTCTTTCTCTAGGTGATATTTTCTTTGCTTGTTTATTTATTTAGGTCTACATTTTTGTTCTCACGCTTACCCAATAGATGACAGGAACATCACTTTCCCCAGGTTGTGGCAATTAAAAATATCTCTAGGCCTTGCCAAATGTCTGCTGGGAGGCAAAAATCACTCCCAGTTAAGAACCACTGTCCTAAACCAAGCAATTCCACTCCTAGGAATAGATCCAAGAAAAACTGTAGCCCACGGGTACTATGGAATACGAACAAGAATGTTCTGAGCAGGACTGTTTATTTGATTATTTTATTCTTATTTTTTTGTGGGTACATAAGAGTTGTATATATTTATGGAATACATTAGATGTTTTGATACAGGCATGCAATGCATAATAACCGTATCATGGAGAATGGGGTGTCTTTCCCCTCAAGCATTTATATTTTGTGTTACAAACAATCCAATTATACTCTTCATTATTTTAAAATGTAAGAGCAGGACTGTTTATAATAGAAAAACAGAAACCCAGAAATAAATCGAATGACCATTGATTGAAAAATGGATAAATAAATTAGTATATATTCTGATAATGGAATATTTCCTATCAGTGAAAATGAATAAGCTATAGCTAAACCAACAAATTGAATGAAATTTAGTAAAAAACACAAAATGTTCAGTGAAAAATTAAGTCCCTGAAGATAACATATAATCCCTTTAAAATAAATTAAGTTAAAACCCAGGGAAAATTAAAGAATAAATTTAGGAATATGCATATATATATGGTGAAGCATCCCCTCCAAAACAGGAGAGAGAATGATAAACACGCCAGGGGACAGCAGCTCCTGCGGGGGCGGTGGGGGGCAATCCCAGGCAGCACAGGCTGCCAATCATGCTGCAGCTCCTGGTCCAGTTCTATGTTCAAAGATGCCCACTGCACTATAAATAAACCAATATGAAAGGGCCATGCCTGCGTTAGTGATGACAGTGTGTCATGAGTCAAGGGTCACGATGAATCCAAATTTGTACATCTGAATTTAAAATGACAGGGACACCTCACTAAGCAGGGAGCCCTCCTCCCAGCCTGTGAGGCCCAGACTGGTGTCTCCTGCTTAGGTGGTGTCAACTTCTCCCTTTCTTCCCCTCACTCCTGTGCTCTGGCCACCCCGCTTCTGTTCTTCTGAGCTTTATCACCATCTGGCATCATTTTATGCAAGTTGCTGGTCTCTTGTCCATTTTCTATGCTACAGACAGGCTCCGTGAGGGCAAAAACTTCGTGTGGTCCACGCCGAACAGTGCCTAGAACTATGCCTTTATCTCCAGGGGCTCAGTGAGTATTTACTGAATAAATATGAACGCCTTAGTAGCATATCTCATAAGCCAGTTTGACACTAGAGCTGGGACTTACCAAAAAGGCCAGCCTTCATCAGAACTCCAAGGGCACAAAGGAATTCTCAAAATGTACTCCACAGATTACCTGAGACTCAGCTGAGATGCCCAAGAAACACAGCAGTGAGAAAAGGGAGAGCTCCAGGACGCCACCGTCCTTCCCCTCACTCCCTGCTTCCCCTCTAGCCGTCCTGGCCTCCTGGGTTCCCCAGAGCTGCTGAATTGGAATTTCTGTACTGCCTGTCAAGAATGTGCATTTCCCACAAACTACGCTGGTGACTCTTAGTCCTTTTCAAGCCTGAGCACTATTGAACTCAGTGGAGAAATCAAGGCCCCAAATAATTAAGCAGTCTAGCAATTCAACAGTCTTTCCTACCTCAAAGAACTCGGGGTGGAGTACAATGAGATAATGTTAGTCTAAATGGTTGAAAACAAGATGTGTCATTCACAAGCAGGGTATGAATATGTTATGGAAATTGAAGGTTGGTTAAAATGTCGATTTAGAAAGACTGATAAATGAGTTTCATCCTTTGCAAATCAAATAACATCTAAATAAACATGATAAAATACCAATATATATTTTCAGTGTCATGGTTGAAGCTTTTTTCTTTTCTTACATTTTTCTACCTAATAGATCAGTCAAAAATTGTAAATTAATATTTTAAATGCCGAGAGAAGCCAGCAGCTTGTTCCAGTCTGATTCAGTTAAGCTCTTAAAATATTTTGACTGTTTGAAGAAAATTAATAATGGGATGTTAGGCGGTAGATTAACTGACACTAAATATCAACATAGCTAGATTTATTTTTGGATAACTGTGCTCATCTCTTCAAAGAACGGAAGCAAGATTTATTAAATCATGAGTTATTAATTTACACAATACCAAAACAGCCCCGAAACAGAGCAGACAGCACCACAATGTATTTAAAGATTATGCAAGAGGCTGCAAGTTTAGATTTGACATTAGCTAGGGCTTGGATTGTATAGGCTACAGTTGATTACCTAAGGCTTACAAGGACACGAGAAGTTAAGCCAGTAACTGTCTTGGCAATTTCAGAATCAAATCAGTCACAAGTGTCATTCCTTCTCCCCTGAGTAGCCAAAGAGCAGATCCCCATTTCTGCCAATATGGACAAACAGATACATATGAAAGTCAAAGATGCTTTTATTTCTGCCATTCATGTATTCATTCAGCAAATGCTGAGTGCCCATTTGTCCTTCCTCCCCTCCTCTCACCCCATCTCCTCTCCTAAGAGTGAACTCCCTGTGGGTTCACAATTGTGAAGGGGCCTCCAGCATGTGCTCCATATCAAACACAGTCCTCAGGCTAGGAGGTGACTACTCCTAAGGTTCTGATTGGCCCCGAAGCCCTGGTGCTTCCAGGCCAACAACAAAAAGCTGGTTTGGCTTTAGATAAGCCAAGCTGAAATATACAGAGGGCTCAAAAAGTGCCAATTTGGTAGTCTCCCCCTCCCTTTTCCCTTTTTATACTCTGAAGAAACTGTCGATGATGGACTGAGACTCCCAATTACAGACTGGACCTGCCACGAGGGACAAAGGCCAGGGTTGCTCCAGGCACGTCAGGAGCTTCTTGGCAGGGACTGCTTGGTGAAGGAGGAAGCCAAAATGGGATCACCAAAACCTGCCTTTTGTCCATAAATTGCCTGAAGTCCAATGACTTCATGCTGTTTTCCCATGCATATGCACAAACAACCCCCAAGCCCTCTACACTCATATACCAAAAGCAGATGAGATTTAGAACAACAACAAAATCAGTGGAATGTGTTACTGTAGAACCAAGGCTGTTTAACAGGAGCCGCTCTGGACACCCATGTGGGCACTGCAACATCAGGTTTCACAACTCAGGTGGCTCTTAGGAAAATGCCGTCTTTCCCTACTGATCACAACACCTCCCTGCTCCTCCAGAGAGGAGTCTGCACTGGCTCTGTGGCTTGGGCTAACACTTAAAAATGTATCCTGAGGTGGGTGGAGCAAGATGGCCAGACAGAAGCCTCCCCCGACCATCCCCCCTGCAGGAACACCAATTTTTAACAACTACACACAAAAAAGCACCATAATAAGAATGAAAAATCAGGTAAGCAATCACAGTATCTTGTTTTAACTTTATTTCACTGAAAGAGGCATTGAAAAGAGGAGGAAAGACAGTCTTGAGTGACACCACTCCTCCTCCTTCCTCCAGCAGCTGCTAAATGGCCTGGAGAGGATCTGCACACTTGGGTGAGGGAGAGCACAGCGACTGGGGGACTTGCCATTGAACTCAGTGCTGCCCTGACACAGTGGAGAGTAAAGCCATGCTGGGCTCAGCTGATGCCATATCCACAGAGGGAGTATTTGGACCAGTTCTGGCCAGAGAGAAATCACCCACCCCAGTGTGGGAACTTGAGTTTCTCAGCAAGCCTTGCCAGCGTGTGCTAAAGTGTTCTGGGGTTCTAGGTAAACTTGAAAGGCAGTCTAGACCACAAGGACTACAATTCCTAAGCAAGTTCTAGTGCTGGGCTGGGCTTATAGCCAGTGGACTAGGGCGGCATGTGACCCAGGGAGACAGTAGCCTGGGTGGCTAAGGGAGTGCTTGCGCCACCCTTCCCCCAATTCTAGGCACCACAGTTTACAGCAATGAAAGTGACCCTTCCTTCTTCTTGAGGACAGGAGAGCGAAGAGTAAAGAGGACTTCGTCTTGCATCTTGGACATCAGCTCAGCCACAACAGGATAGGGCACCAGGCAGTCGTGAGGCACCCATTCTAGGCCCTAGCTCCCAAATGATATTTCTCGACACCTTGGGCCAGAAGGGAATCTGCTCCCTTGAAGGGATGGACCTAGTCCTGGCAGGATCCATCACCTGCTGACCAAAGGGCCCTTGGGCCCGGAATAACCAACAGTGACACCCAGGTGGTATGCCGTGGGCCTTGGGTGAGACTCTGAGACGTGCTGGCTTCAAGTGAGATCCAGCACATTCCCAGCCGTGGTGGTTCTGGGGAGAGACTCCTTCTGCTGGAGAAAAGCAGAAGGAAAAGTAAAAGGGACTTTGCCTTGCCCCTTAGGTACCAGCTTGGCTACAGGAGGGTAGGGCACCAAGTGGGCTCTTGGGGTCCCTGAGTCCAGGCCTAGGCTCTTAGATGGTATTTCTGGACCTGCTCTGGCAGAGGGGCATCCACTGCCCTGAAGGGTGAGTCTCAGGCGTGGCAGCATTCACCACACCTGTATGGTGAGTGTAAATTAGTACAATCACTATGGACTTTTCACTGACTGAAGGGCCCCCGGACTTTCAGTGAACATTGGCAGTGGCCTGGCAGAACTCCCCACGGACCAGTGGTGGTGGCGGTCACTGGGAGAGGCTCTTCTGCCTGTGGAAAGGGGAGGGAAGAGTGGGAAGGAGCTCAGCTGCAGTAGAATAGAGTACCAGCTAGATTTCTAAGGTTTTTGACTCCAATCCCTGGCTCTCAGACAGCATCTGTGAACCCACCTGGGACCTAGGGGAACTTGCTACCCTGAAAGGAAGGACACAAACCTGGCTGGCTTCCCCATCTGTTGACTGTAGAGTCCTAGCACCTTGAATGAACATAGGCGTAGTGGTTACAGCGAGCCTTGGGCAAGACCCAGTGCTGCGCTGGCCTCAAGTCTGACCCAGCACAGTCTCAGGAGTGGTGGCCACAGTGGTGTTTGCATCACCTCATCTCCAGCTCCAGGTGGCTTAGCACAGAGAGAGAGAGAGGCTCCCTTTGTTTGGGAGAAAGTAAGGGAAGAGGACCAAGTCTCTGCCTGGTAATCCAGACCTAAAAAATAGCGTTAAAGGGCAAATCTAAGTGTCATTGGTCTTAAAGAGGAGGTAGAGAAAAAAGACGGGTACAAAGTTTATTCCAAGGGGTAACATCAGATCACTGTCCAAAACTAGAGAAAGACAGCAACATTCAAGTACAAGAAGGTTATAGAACACCAAGCAAGTTTAACCTGAAGTAGACTACCTCAAGGCATTTAATAATCAAACTCTCAAAGGTCAAGGATAAAGACAGGATCCTAAAAGGAACAAAGCAACAGAAAAGAAACAAATAACATAGAGTGGAGCTCCAGTCCATCTGGCAGCAGACCTCTCAGTGGAAACCTTACAGGCCAGGAGAGAGTGGCATGGCATATTTGAAGTGCTGAAGGAAAAAAACTTTTACCCTAGAATAGTATATCCTATGAAAATATCCTTCAAGCATGAAGGAGAAATAAAGACTTTTTCAGACAAACAAAACCTGTGGGATTTCATCACACCAGACCTTTCCTATAAGGAATGCTAAAGGGAGTTCTTCAATCAGAAAGAAAAGGATGTAAATGAGCAATAAGAAATCATCTGAAGGTACAAAATTTGCTGGTAATAGTGAGCACACAGAAAAACACGTAATATTATGATACTGTAATTGCGCTGTGAAAACTACTCTTAAGTAGAAAGACTAAACAATGATCCAATCAAAAATAATAACTTTTCAAGATATAGGTAGTACAATAGGACATAAAGAAAAACAACCAAAAGTTAAAAAGCGGGGCCATGAAAAAGTGTAGAGTTATTATTAGTTGTCTTTTTGCCTTTTTTTTGTTTGTTTGTTTATGCAAGCAGTGTTGTCATCAGTTTAAAATAACAGGTTATAAGGCTGGGCACGGTGGCTCATGCCTGTAATCCCAGCACTTTGGGAAGCCAAGGGGGCAGACTGCTTGAGCTCAGGAGTTCAAGATCAGCCTGGGTAACATGGTGAAACCTGTCTCTATCAAAAATACAAAAACTTAGCTGGGTGTGGTGGTGCGGATCTGTGGTCCCAGCTACTCGGGAGGCTGAGGAGGGAGGATCACTTGAGCTCAGGGGGCGGAGGCTGCAGTGAGCCAAGATTGTGCCACTGCACTCCAGCCTGGGTGACAGAGTGAGACCTTATCTCAAAAATAAATAAATAAAATAAAATATAAAGAATGAATAAATAAAACAACAGATTATAAGATAGTATTTGCAAACTTCATGGTAGCCTCAAATTAGAAAATATACAATGGACACACAAAAAATAAACAGCAAAAAATTAAATCATACCACCAGAGAAAATCACCTTCACTAAAAGGAACAAAAGAAGGAAGGAAGACCTCAAAACAACCAGAAAACAGCAAAATGGAAGAAGTAAGTCCTTACTTATCAACAATAACACTGAGTATAAGTGAACTAACTCCAATCAAATATAAGTAAACTCTCCAATCAAAAGACACAGAGTAGCTGAATAGATAAAAAAGCAAGACCCATTGATCTGTTGCCTACAAAAACAGCCTTCACCTACAAAGATACATACAGACTGAAAATAAAAGGATGGAAAAAGATATTCCATGCCAATGGAAACCAAAAGAGAGCAGGAGTAGCTATACTTACACAAAATAGATTTCAAGACAAAAACTGTAAAAAGAGACAAAGAAGGTCATCATATAATGCTAAAGGGGTCAATTCAGCAAGAGAATATCACAATTGGAAATATATATACAACCAACAATGGAACACTTAGATACATAAAGGAAATATCATTAGAGCTAAGGAGAGAGACAGGCCACAATACAATAATTTAACACCCCAATTTCAGCATCGGACAGATCTTCCAGACAGAAAACCAACAAAGAAACATCAGACGTAACCTGGACTACAGAACAAATGGACATAATAGATATTTACAGAACACTTCATCCAATGACTGCAGAACACATATTCTTCTCCTCAGCACACAGATCACTCTCAAGGATAAGACTACATGGACCATTCTCAAGCACAGACCATACGTTAGGTAACAAAACAAGTCTTAACACATTAAAAAAAAAACTATAAGAATATCAAGCATCTTCTCTGACCACACTGGAATAAAATTAGCAATCAATAACGAGAGGAATTTTGAAAACCATACAAACACACGGAAATTAAACAATATGCTCCTGAATGACCAGTGGGTCAATTAAGAGATTAAGAAGGAAACTGAAAAAATTTCTTGAAATAAATGATAATGGAAACACAAAATAAAACTGGCAAACCTTTAGCCAGACTAATTAGGGAAAAAAAAAAAGAGAGAAGATACAAATAAAATAAGAGATGAAAAAGGAGACATTACAACTGATACTATAGAAATTAAAAGGATCATTAGTGGCTACTATGAGCAACTACATGCCAATACATTGGAAAACCTCGAGGAAACGGATAAATTCATAGACACATACAACCTACCGAGACTGAACCATGAAGAAATCTAAAACCTGAACAGACCAATATCAAGTAATGACATTGATGCAGTAATAAAAAAGTCTCCCAGTAAAGAAAAGCCCACGATCCAAAGGCTTCACTGCTGAATTCTACCAAACATTTAAAGAAGAATTAATACCAATCCTACTCAAAGTATTCCAAAAAACAGAGGAGGAAGGAATACCTCCAAACTCAGTTTATGAGGCCAGTATTACCCTGATACCAAAACCAGACAAAGACACAACAAAAAAGAAAACTATAGGCCAATATTTCTGATGATTATTGATGCAAAAATCCTCAACCAAATACTATCAAACTGAATTCAACAATACATTAAAAAGATCATTCATCATGACCAAGTGGGATTTATTCCAGGGATGTAAAGATGGTTCAACATACACAAATCAATTAATGTGAAACATCATATGAACAGAATGAAGGACAAAAACCATGCGATCATTTCAATTGATACTGAAAAAACATTTGATAAAAACCAACATCATTTTATGATAAAAACCTTCAAAAATTTGGGTATGGAAGGAACATACTTCAACATAATAAAAGCCATATATGACAGATTTACAGTTAGCATCATACTGAATGGGGAAAAAATGAAAGCCTTTCCTCTATGATTTAGAACATGACAAGGATGCCCACTTTCATCCTTCCATAATACTGGAAGTCCTAGCTAGAGCAATCAGACAAGAGAAAAAAATAGAGGGCATCCAAATTGGAAAGGAAGAGGGTCAAATTATCCTTGTTAGCAGATGATCCGATCTTATATTTGGAAAAACCTAGACTCTGCCAAAAAACCATTAGAACTGAGAAACAAATTCAGTAAAGTTGAAGGATACAAAATATACAGAAATCAGTAGAATTTCTATATGCTAAGAGCGAACAATATGAAAAAGAAATAAAAAAGTAATCCGATTTAATAGCCACACATAAAATTAAATACCCTGGAATCAACCAAAGAAACAGAATTGAGAAATAATGAAAACTCTCATAATGAAAACTATAAAACTCTCATAATGAAAACTATAAAACACTGATAGAAGACATTGAAGAAGACACAAAAAGATGGAAAGATATTCCATGTTCATAGGTTGGAAGAATCAATATTGTTAAAATGTCCATACTACCCAAAGCAATACACATTCAATACAAGCCTTATCAAAATACCAATGATATTTTTCAAAGAAATAGAAAAAAAAATCCTAAAATTTATATGGAACCACAAAAGATCCAGAATAGCAAAAGCTACCCTCAGCAGAACAAAACTGGAGGAATCACATTACCTGACTTCAAATTATATTGCAGAGCTATAATAACCAAAATAGCGTGGTACTGGCATAAAAAGACACATAGATCAATGGAAGACACTAGAGAGCCCAGAAACAAATCCATACGCCTACAGTGAACTCATTTTTGACAAAGATGCCAAGAACATACATTGGGGAAAAGATATCCCTTCAATAAATGGTGCTGGGAAAACTTAATTTCCATATGCAGAAGAATGAAAGTAGATCACTGTCTCTCACCATACATAAAAATCAAATACAAATGGATTAAAGACTTAAATCTAAGACCTCAAACTATGAAACTATTACAAGAAAATGTTGGGGAAATTCTCCAGGACATTGGTCTGAGCAAAAATGTCTTGAGTAACATCCCATAAACATAGGCAACCAAAGCAAAAATGGATAAATGGGATCATATCAAGTTAAAAAGCTTCTGTACTGCAAAGGAAACAATCAACAAAGTGAAGAGACAGTCCATAGAATGGATCTGCAATATTACTGAATTGCAAACTACCCATCTGACAAAGGATTAATAGCCAGGATATATAAGGAGCTTGAACTCTACAGGAAAAAAAAAATCTAATGATCCAATTAAAAAATAGGCAAAAGATCCGAATAGATATTTCTCAAAAGAAGATATACAAATGGCAAAAACCCAGTTAAAATAGCTTTTATCCAAAGACGGGCAATAACAAATGCTGGTGAGGAGGTGGAGAAAAGAGAACCCTTGTACACTGTTGGTGGAAATGTAAATTAGTACAACCACCATGGAGAACAGTTTTGAGGTTCCTCAGAAAACCAAAAAATAGAGCTACCATATGACCCAGCAATCCCACTGCTGCATATATACCCAAAAGAAAGGAAACCAGTATATCAAAGAGATAGCTGCACCCCCATGTTTGTTGCAGCACTGTTCACAATAGCCAAAATTTGGAAACAATCTTGGTGTCCATCAAGAGGTGAGTGGGTAAAGAAAATGTGGTACATATACACAACGGAGTACTATTCAGCCATAAAAAGTACAAGATCTTGTCATCTGCAACAACATGGGTGGAAATGGAGGTTGTTAAGTTATGTGAAATAAGCCAGGCACAGAAAGATAAACTTCGTTATGTTCTCATCTATTTGTGGGAGGTAAAAATTAAAGTAATTGAACTCCTGTAGATAGAATAAGGATGGTTACCAGCGGCTGAGAAGGGTAGTTGGGGTGGGAGTATGGGGGCAGGATAGTGGGGATGTTTAATAGGTACAAAAAGTAGTTAGTAAAAATAAATAAGACTTAGTATTTGATAGCACAACAGGGTGACTACAATCAATAACAATTTAATTGTACATTTTAAAATAACTAAAAGAGTATAATTGGATAATTCATAAAACAAAGAATAAATGCTTGAGAGGACAGATATCCATTTACCAGGATTTGATGATTACACATCACAGGCCTGTATCAAAGTGTCTCATATACCCCATAAATACATACACCTACTGTGCACCCATAAAAATTAAAATAAAAACTTTCAAAACAAGTATCCTGGTATATGCAAGAGAATGCTCATGCCAACATTATTTATAAAGCAAAATTGTAACCAACCCCAACATGCCTTGGCAAGAGAAAGAATAAAGTGTGGACAGTCACAGGATGGACATTAGACGACAATGATCAAACTGCCAGATACGACCACCATCAGGGATACAGCTCAGAAACAATATACATAGTATGATACTATTTCTACACAGCTCAAAACTCAAGGAGGCATTATTTAGGGATACAGGCACATGTGGCAAATTGCATTTTAAAAATGAGAAGGGGTGCCTCTCAGGGTGGAGATGACCACGGGTCGGGAGGCAGGGACTGGGGAGGAGCCATATTGTTTATATTCTATTTCTCAAATTGAGTGATGAGCTCATGGGTTTATCTAAGCTTTATAATTTACATATACATTACATATATTCTTTAGTATATATCAAATTACATAATTTAAAAATTTTAAGAAAAAATTGGCCAGGTACAGTGGCTCATATCTGTAATCCCAGCACTTTGGGAGGCTGAGGCAGACGCATCACTTGAGCTCAGGAGTTCGAGACCAGCCTGCCGTCTCTACAAAAAATACAAAAATTAGCCAGGCATGGTGGCACACACCTGTGGTCCCAGCTACTCAGGAGGCTGAGGTGGGAGGATTGCTTGAGCCCAGGCGGCTGAGGCTGCAATGAGCTGTGATCACGCCACTGCACTCCAGCCTGGGTGACAAAGTGAGACCCTGTCTCAAAAAAAAAAAAAAAAAAGAAAGAAAGAAAGAAAGAAAGAAAAAATCACCAGCCTAGTGCCTGGTAGTCCAAATCTTACTTGCCACCAGCATGACCTGTCCTCAGAGACAAGAGGAGGACAGCATCCTGGAGGCTTGGGGAGATAGGGATAGGTGTCCCCGCAGCCACGGGAAACAACTGCCTCCATTTCCTACTTGTCAGATGAGCACAGTTGGTGCTACCCACCTCGAGGGCCACAGTGAGGACCAGATGAGATAAGTGCTGTGTAAGCCACAAGACTCTGTCCACACAGACGTTCACTGTGCCATACAGACGGCTGGTTCCTCTAGGGAATTACTTCCCCTCCACTCCTTGCAGTTCTGTGGGGCTGCCAAGGCCTGACTCCCCCATCCTCTGGGCTCAGGGCAAGGAGCAACTGCAGGCTAGGCCAGCAGGAGTGTTCTTCCCAGGTTGTATGCACAGGGATGGAAGGCGGTTAATACGGAATCATTTGGGCCATGGGGCCCCCTAAAAAACGTTGTCCTGATCTTGTTCCTGACATGCCTGGAGCTACTCTGGTTTTTGTCCTGCCGGGCAGGTCAGATTAATCACTGAGTCTGATGCACCTGGCACCATCAAACAGCAAAACCAAAACCAACTCTTTCCTTATGTAAGTCAATCAGAGTTTCTGTTGACTGCATTCAAGGAAGCCCAGCCAATTCAGGAGGAAATGCCGTTTTATTTCAAAAGCACAGGCACAGTTCGTACATTTGCCGAGGGAGGTAAAGGAAGGTGTCAGCTGAGACTGCTCAAGTGCACCCTGCTTCAACGGCCTCTTAACTGGTCTTTCCCCATCAGTCTCGCTTGCCCCCAAAGCCTTCAGGAATACACTGCATTCCAGAATAAATCAATTTATTCCAGATTCATCTCCAGAAAACACTTTTTGGGGAACAGGTGACTAGCAGTAGGTAGTGGGGGAGGTGGCATCTGTTGGTCCTGCTCCCCCTCCAGGTAGGAATTCCCATCACCCACCTCACGATGGATGTGGTAGCAGTGAATAGCCTAGAGATTTGCCATCTCATAAAATTCCAACTTTTAATAGTAAATGCCAAATGCAGGCATTATGTTAAAAGTATGATTAACCCCATGGCCCATGGCAATCTGATTCTGAATCAAATCACCTACCACTGGCCCTGTAAGTAAGCACCAGCTTCTGTGAGTTCCTGTGTCGCTGAAGAAAGGTAACAAGTAGGCACCTAGATCCACGTGTCTGAATTAGCGGGGGTGGATGGGTGTTAGTGGTAGTAAATAAACAGGGCATATGAAATGTGATTCTTGCCTTGAATTGAGCCCCTAAACTCTCTCATCAGTCTATTAGGACAGAAGCTCCATGGGAAAGCAGGCGAGGTCGACCATCACTGTGAAATACATGCCTGCCTTCTCAGGTGGAAGGAACTCATCTGTGTGGCCTGTTTGCCTGGAATCCTGTTCCCTCTGCTCATTCCCTTCAATGCCAAATCCCACCCTCATTATGAAATGGGAGCTCAATGACCCAGAAATAATTTGAACAAACCTATTTCACTGAGGATGCATTCATTTTTATCTTCATTAACTCTCTGGGGCCCTGTCAGGTATGCTGAGAGCAGGGTTTATGTTTCAACTGCTAGGTCTGGGGTATCTTAAAATCTGGGCAATTTGTACATTTAACTGAGGCAGACTTTTTTTTTTTTTTGAGACAGAGTCTCGCTCTTTTGCCCAGGCTGGAGTGCAATGGCGCGATCTCAGCTCACTGCAACCTCTGGAGGCAGACGATATTTTGTGTTCTGTAGACAGATGTATTTTATATGAAGAAAACTGTTTCCCTTTTCTATGAAAAAAACATCGCATTATCTCCTTTTCTTTATGTTTTAACTGAAAGAAATTTTTTAAATATTATGTTATCCAGGTGAATGTCACTAATTTGTTTCCCCCACAAACGAAGTAACAAACATTTAACAAGCCCAGATCTTTTCCTGTCTTAAGACCAAAACACGCACGCACACACAATGCTCCCCGAAGATGAACGGCTGGAGTAAACAGTAACTCATCCTGGGTGACTGGCTATTTATAAGATTTCACACAAGTAAAATGCTAAAATATGGGGAGTTCACACTAGGCTCCAAAGCAGCAACAGCAGAATAGATGGAAAAAATACCCAGTCCTGAACCTTACCTCCCTGACGCCCATCGAAACCATCATTCTTATTCAATAAACTCTGCTTTTTATAAAATGTGGTGGTTCCTCAAAAATCTGTGTTCAGGGAAGTATTCTTCAAGCACATACAAGTATTATTACACAGACCACTAGAAAAGCTTCTCATCATTGAGGTCTCTATGCCTTCCTAATTAATAACATAATTTAGCATTTCTATCCCACTGTATTTCCAAAACACACCTGTCTTCGGTGAATTCATGCAAATACAAACATCTTCTAGGAGATTATGAGGCGATGTGTTCAGAGCAAACCATAATCAGAAACAGCAAAACCAGAAGTCATCAGTCTCAGAACACTTTCTTCAAATACATAATATTCTGGTTTTATATTAAGAGAGTGTTTTCTTTTTTTTTCTTTTTTTTTTTGAGAAGGAGTCTTGCTCTGTCACCCAGGCTGGAGAGTGCAGTGGAGTGATCTCGGCTCACTGCAAGCTCCGCCTCCCAGGTTCATGCCATTCTCCTGCCTCAGCCTCCCCAGCAGCTGGGACTACAGGCACCCACCACCACACCCGGCTAATATTTTGTATTTTTAGTAGAGATGGGGTTTCACTGTGTTAGCCAGGATGGTCTCGATCTCCTGACCTCGTGATCCGCCCGCCTCAGCCTCCCAAAGTGCTGGGATTACAGGCGTGAGTCACCGCGCCTGGCGAGAGTGTTTTCTTTAGCAGGATCCAACAGTTGAGCATCACTATTGTCTACTATACTCCTTTGGGGAAAATAGAAAACAGATTCGCCAAAACATTGGGAGGTTGCATTAAGTGACTTAAGGTGAAATGGTCTTACAGTGTCTTTCCTCTCTGGTTAAGTCTTACATGGGGTCTGAAATTTTGTTCAAAAGCAAGGTTTCAATGTGCAGAATTCTTAACCTACAGAATGCCAGTAAAGAAACTATGTTATTCACTATCAAATTGGAATTTAATCCCCATTCTCTAGATCCTACAACACAGGACCAGAGAGTTAATTGTGAAGTCCATTTTTTCCCCCAACATCCCTACAAATCAGTCAAGCTGATCTTACCAGAAGCATTGCTGATGTTCCATTGGGTCTGGATAAGTGGATGGACATTTCAGGAAACATCCTGTCAATGCGGCTGATCACATCATCAACATATCTACATGGGAAAAAAATAAACATGTGTGAACTACAACTCCAGTTAAGAGCTACAGATTAATAGTATTCAAAAGACATTGCTTTTAAATATAATTTTAAATCAATATAACACATTTTTAAGAAGGCAAATAGAATTAGAAACCTTTTAGTCTTTACCTCTGTATGTCCAGATAATGTGTTTTTAATGCTAGTTCTTGATTTTTCATTTTAAGGCATGACTATTAATCTTCTTCTATAGGAGGTCAGAATTTAGCTGTGTCACCTGCTGGGCCACTGGACTCCAACAACATGGCCCCCTCCCTTTGTCCTTCCAGTCCAGGATGGCAGCAGTGTCCTGCTGTTGCGCACCTCCGGGCTGTCTCACTGTCTAATCTGGCTTCTCCTTTGAATCACTGGAATAACCAATTCCCAGGATTAAATTCCTTCCTTTTTTTTTTTTTTTTTTTTCTTTGAGACAGAGTCTTGCTGTGTCACCTAGGCTGGAGTGCAGTGGCGTGATCTCGGCTCACTGCAACCTCTGCCTCCCGGGTTCAAGCGATTCTCCTGCTTCAGCCTCCCGAGTAGCTGGGACTACAGGCGATCCCCACCACACCTGGCTACTTTTTATATTTTTAGTAGAGATGGGGTGTCACCATATTGGCCAGGCTGGTCTCGAACTCCTGACCTCATGATCTGCCCGCCTCGGCCTCCCAAAGTGCTGGGATTATAAGCATGAGCCACTGTGCCCGGCCAATTCCTTCTGTTTTAAATACCTGAAGTCATTCCTGATCTCCTGGTTGTGCTCTAATTCAAGTTATATCACAATTTTTACTTAAATCAGTAGTCTGTGATTATATTCTAAAATCTCTGCATATATTTTTAATAGCTGAGACACATAGTGGCTCATGACTACATTTATTTACTTATACAGCTTTCTGTTTTCTTACATTTCTATTTTTTCTTCTCTTTTTTTCTTTTTTTGAGACTGAGTCTTGCTCTATTGCCCAGGCTGGAGTGCAGTGGTGCTATCTCAGCTCACTGCAACCTCCGCCTCCCAGGTTCAAGAGATTCTCATGCCTCAGCCTCCCAGGTAGCTGGGATTACAGGCACCCACCACCACTCCCGGCTAATTTTTGTATTTTTAGTAGAGATGGAGTTTTACCATGTTGGCCAGGCTGGTCTCGAACTCCTGACCTCAAGTGATCCACCTGCCTCAGCCTCCCAAAATGCCGGGATTACAGGCGTGAGCCACTGCACCCAGCCCTGTTTTGCCTTTTCATTTGATTAGTTTTCTATGTATCTGTTACAGTTTTATTCCTAAACTCTCTACCTGGCTCTTACCCCAAACATATCAGGCAAGCTATCAGCTTCATGTTTTCCTTGGAGATATCCCACCAAAAGGGAATCCTCTATTCTTATACCCAGATGAAACCTGTATCTCTTAAGGTTTTCAGTGACATTAAGGACTTAGCATGAGAACTGGCACATATAAAGGACTCAAAAATTTTAAGTGCCCTGATTGATAGTTCTACCACTTACACCATGGGCCAATTCTGCAAAAATGCCCTCTCTTACTGGGATAAATTCTCCCCTACAGTGGTAGCGCATTGTGAAGACATCAGCCCATAGCACTGAGTAGGGTCTGGCTCAGGTCCTTTGAGAACAAAATCATACAAGAATTTGTGTTCACCATCCAATTACACTGGACACAAAGAGGATGTATAATATAATAGCTGACATGTAAAACTATCTATTAAGGATTTTACATTGGATTTCATATCCATTGGCTACGACAAATTAAATTACATGTCCGTTAAGTCAGGGACATATAAAAGGTATATTCTCTTGGGGTAAGAGGGAGATTAGTTCTCGGTTCACAACATGAAAAGATTTTAGTTTGAACCTGGGGCTCATGAAAGATAGCAGAAAACATAATGCCTTTTGTTAAAAAGCGAACACACACGCCAGCTCTGAAAGTTAGAAAGTGACCCTACCTATTCTCTAAGGAAAGCCTATCAGGTTTTCCTTAGAGAATGTTATGTCGAGTTTTAAAACTTTAAGCTGAAGAAGGAAGGGGAAAAATTAGAGACGGCCCAGTGGTAAACAACGACAACAGTAAGAAGACTGCAGCAGAGATGAGTGAGAAGGCGTGGAGGTGCACTGAAGGGTATTTGCTCCCGGAGAAAAGAAGGCCAAGGGAGACTTTGATATTCTTCAAGTACATGAATGGCTTTCATGATCTCAGTACCAAACAGCATCTCCTATCTCTCAAAAGCACCATACCGTGAGGATATGGCACCAAAAAGTGAACTTGCTCAGAAAGAATGACAGGCATTTCTTAAAGGCAAAGCCCCATTCTGCTGAATTTTTTTTTTTTTTTTTTTTTTTTTTGAGACCGAGTCTCGCTCTGTCACCCAGGCTGGAGTGCAGTGGCGCAATCTCAGCTCACTGCAAGCTCCACCTCCCTGGTTCACACCATTCTCCTGCCTCAGCCTCCCAAGTAGCTGGGACTACAGGTGCCCGCCACCACGCCTGGCTAACTTTTTGTATTTTTAGTAGAGACGGGATTTCACCATATTAGCCAGGATGGTCTTGATCTCCTGACCTTGTGATCTGCCCACCTTGGCTTCCCAAAGTGCTGGGATTACAGGCGTGAACCACCGTGCCCAGCCTCTGCTGATTTTTTAATAGTTTAATAAACAATCTTTCCTGGATGGCTAAGACACAGGTTGACCACACATCATCTCCCGTGGTTCCCTCTAGATTTACAGCATCATGACACACAACCTTGGATCTAAGCTTAAATGCTACAAAAGGGGTGAGAAGTGAAGAAAGGAGGAAATGAACTCATTTTTCATCATTGCCTGACGTTTCTTGAAATGGTGAAGGCACATGACAAAAACATCATGCCCAAAGTTTATACCAGGTCACTGGAAACATTTCTGCATGTATATACTTCTTCTCTAAATCTATATGTGTGGTTTAAACCCAGTTTCTTCCGACTCAGCAGGAAGCAAACATCCACTGTCCTGTGTGAATGGAGGTCATTGCTAAGTATATGCTAATGGGGAGGAGGATAGGCGATGTCTTCTGAACATTGAGGCTATTGTCCTCAATCAATAGCCATCATAGCTCTGGACAGCAGAAAGCAGATGAATATGCAGATCTTCAGCACAAAGGTAACATCATAATTTGCTTTCCATTGTACCTTTCACCTTGAAGGCGTCAAGATACATTCTGGAAAACTAGTCTCCTTAGGAGGCTAGAAAAATAAAGAAATGAGGTGGGTTAAGTGATGATCCCAGGTCAAGCAAAAAGCCAGAAACCAAGCTCAGTGTGTAGATTTCTAGAATTCCATGCCAACTACCTAACTTTGCTTGCTTTTAGTAAGGGCCAGAGTTCTAAATGGGCAAACAAATGTTCCTGGCCATTTTTGATTCCTTTATTGATGAGATTTTTACCTGTAAGAAAAGGCAATGGCAGAAGAAAAATAAGTTCCTAGGAAAAATATCTGCAGTTGGCACAGGTAAGTAAAGAGATCTGGGTGGGTTTTGTTGTTGTTTTGTTGTTTCTTCCCCAACCCGTGACCTCAGACAAAGCTCAGCAAACTCAAAGACTGTATGAAGCAAAATGGATTTTCAGGAGATTGTTTTCCATTCACATGCCTAATACAAAGGAGATGCAAATTTCTTTTCTACAGGTGACATTATGTATTTGCCAAAAGGGGAAAGAGAGAAAGTCAGCTGCATTTTTAGCTGAGGAAAACAATGTCTAAATTCTCGAGGCAAAAATCAAAACATTTCATTTTCAAACAGACCCAACCTTCGAAACACAAATCAACCACTAGTGACTTGACAGAAATAAGGAAAGCTTGGAAGCTCAAATTAAAAATCTAGAGACAAAAATGACACTCTTTCTTGTTGAGGGAGGGGGTGTTGGTATGGGAGGTGGTCTCTGGCAGTACTCTCTGAGTGCTGCCTCCCGAGACGGTGAGCACGGCTAGCGTCTGCAGCGGGCTCTGCAGTGCGGCGCCCCACTTTGAGAGCAGGGCTAAGGACAGGTAGGAACAGTGTGCTCCCCTCCTACACTTCCACCATATGTTACACTCTGTTCTGTGGCAGAATCAAATTACTTTAATTTTTACCTTTGGAATATAGGCAAACAAGCAGTAACACAGCAGTGGTGACTAGTTTACACTTGAGCAGACGCGGCGCGGAAAGACATTAATTTAGTGCCAAATTGAGCAGTGAGTCACAATTTGCACATATCTGTCAACCTGTTAACAGGGTAATAACTTGGAAAGACTGCTGTTCCTATTTACATTACAGAAGGCTTTCGAAAATGGAGAGCTGCTTGGTTCTCCTTTTTGAAGTATTTGGTCAATGAGCTGGCTTGATGGTCCAAGAACTGGGCTAGAAACACAAACTTCTAGAAATTACAGATTCAAATCAAGGTATGATCCATAACTTCAGTATGTTCGGATAGAAAACGAACTTTTAAGCAACCAGAGCATTCTGTTTCCCTGCCCTTTGCCCTAGCTGCGGTAAGACTCTCAACGGTTTCCAATCCACTTTTTTCCAGCACAACCCAACCATCTCTTCCAGAAGGACAGCTTCAGTCTCAACTGCCTCAACATCTCCGCTGCATCAGAAACAATCCCACCATTTTCAAATGGCGAAAATGGATTTCAAGAGCCCTATACTTTTGTTCACTTCTAATTTTCTTCAAGTAGCCCAGCTTGCTCCTTTCAATGGCCTTAGTCCGAGAATTAAAGAACACCAGGACCTCAGAGGTCCTCTCATCCAGTGTCCCCAACAATTTACGGCTTGAACAGCATCTCCAACAGGTGGTCTGCATAAATACCCCCCATTGCCACCTCATGAGGCAACCCCTTGCATTGCCTGACGTCTGATTGTTTCAAATCCACTTACTAGTATCTGCACCCAATCACCCTACTTTAGCCTTTAGAATGACACACAAATATTTCCTCCAAAAACTAAAGGCTTTCTGGGGTCCATGAATGGACTTTATAAAAGACTGTTGGGTTTTCTGATTTCTTTCATCAGTGGTTTTTAGTCTTTTTTTTTTTTTTTGAGATGGAGTCTCGCTCTGTCACCCAGGCTGGAGTGCAGTGGCGCAATCTCAGCTCACTGCAACCTCCACCTCATGGATTCAAGCAATTCTCCCTGCTGCCTCAGCCTCCCAAGTAGCTGGGATTACAGGCACCCGCCACCATGCCAGGCTGATTTTTGTATTTTTAGTAGAGACAGGGTTTCACCATGTTGGCCAGGCTGGTCTCGAACTCCTGACCTCAGGTGATCTGCTTGTCTCTGCCTCCCAAAGTGTTGGGATTACAGGTGTGAGCCACCACGCCCGGCTGTTTGTTAGTCTTTCTTGGGTCACAGATCCCTTGGAGAAGGTATGAAAATTAAAACACATGTCTGTACAACATTTTATATACAATCTTCTGCAGTTCATGGACCTTTAAAGTCCATTCATGGATCCCAAGTTAAGCATCCCTGCTTTAGCCCTGTTCTAGAACTGTGGTCCCTGGTTTGCTTTTTTGTTCTTTTCTGAATGGTTAACTTTCATTTTTCAATAAAGCTACTTTTATTTATATATAAATATATATAAATAATTTTATATAAAAATATTTATATATAAATATATAAAAATATCTTTATATATAAAAAATTTATATATATATAAATATAAAAATATATTTGTTGCAGCCCAGAAGTGAACATAACTGAAATGGCATAGGGGGTACAAAGAATCTACTAATTCTGATCATCTTTAAATCATGTTTCTGTGATAGAGCCGCAGGCTAGTTTTTGTTTATTTATTTTTTAATTGACAAATAAAGATTGTATATATTTATCATGTACAACCTGTTGTTTTGAAATATGCATATATTGTGGAACAGTTAAAGCAAGCTAATCAGCACATACACTGCCTCACATATTTAGCATTTTTGTGTGTGTGTGGTAAGAACACCTAAAATCTACTGTCTTAGCAATTTTCAAGAATATAATACATTGTTATTAACTACAGCTACCATGTTATACAATAGATCTCTTGAATTTATTCCTCTTACCTACTTGAAATTTTATATCTTTTGATCAGTATCTCTCCCCAACCCCCATGCCAAGCCCTTGGTAACTACCATTCTACTCTGTACTTCTATGAGTTCAACTTTTTTAGATTCCACATAGAAGTGAGATCGTGGCCAGGTGCGGTGGCTTATGCCTATAATTCCAACACTGGGAGGCCAAGGCAGGAAGATGGCTTGAGCTCAGGAGTTCGAGATCAGCCTGGGCAACATGGCAAGATCCTGTCTCTTAAAAAAAAAAAAAAAAAAAAAAGTTAGCCGGGTGTGGTGGTATGTACCTATAGTCCCAGCTACTTGGGAAGCTGAGATGGGAGGATTGCTTGAGCCCAGGAGTTCAAGGAGGCAGTGAGCCATGATTGTGAGACTGCATTCCAACCTGGGTGACAAATCAGACCCTATCTCTTAAAAAAAAAAAAAAAAAAAGCGATCGTGCAATATTTGTCTTTCTGTCTCTGGCTTATTTTATTTAATATAATGTCCTCTAGGTTCATCCATGTTGTTGTAAATGACAAGATTTCCTTCTTTTTCAGGCTGAATGGTATTCCACTGTGTATATACACCACATTTTCTCTACTCATTCATCCACTAATAGACAGTTAAGTTGATTCCACATCTTGGCTATTGTGAACAATATTGCAATGAACATAGGGATGTGGATGTCTCTTTGACACACTGACTTCATTCCTATGGACATATACCCAGTAGCAGAATTGCTGGGTCATATGGTAGTTCTATTTTTAACATTTTGAGGAACCGCCATACTATTTTCCATAATGACTGTACTAATTTGCAGTTCCATCAACACTGTGTGAGGGTTCCCTTTTCTCCACATTCTTGCCAACACGTATCTTTTGTGTCTGTTTTTAAACACCTGCCTCTGACTGTTACTCATCCTTCCAACAAAATCAAAGACCTACCCCCATGACTTCAGAGGTCATCTGATTGGGGTAACCACTTTTGCCCTCTAAAGCCACATTTCTCATGCTTTACACCCATGCTCCTTGTTTGTATAAGTAAAGGGCTCCCTACTTTTTGTATCACTGTTAAGGCACAGCTCAGTGGTAAACTAAAGTCTCAAGTCCTAGGAGGGCCAAGGAGACCTTCACTCCAGCTGCAGTGACTGTTACAGCCTCATCTAGGCTTCTTCCACGTCCCTGAGCAGGCTCACTCTATCTTGGACACTGTGCACACTCTGTCTGGAAGATTCTTCTCACAAGTATTCTCACCCCCGTGCCTGGGTCATTCCTATTCATGCTTCCGTCTTTGAGTTTTCATCTTAAATGATGCTTCCTCAGGGAAGTACGGTCTCACACTTCCCTTGGCACCCCATCAGTCAGTGTACCCCATTTTATCTCTCATGGTACTTTTAAATTTGCTTTGTGCTCCTGTCCCCTTTGTCATTAAATAATTTTTTGAGTGATTATTCAACACCTAACTCCCCTACAGAATTCTATGGGAACCTATGACTGTCTTCTTTGATGCTGAATCCCAGCACCTTGTCACAGTATCTGGCACCCGCTAAGCATGCCTTAAATATTTCCTGAATGAACAGACTGTACATTAAAAGTAAGCCACGGAGACCCAAATTAGGCCATTATAAAACAACTACAATACAAAGTTCTCTTTAGCAGAGGAAGATGTGAGGTGTCGGGGGTCCATTACATTAGCCATCAAAAGTCACCAACAACAGCAACCAGAGAACTCCACAAAACAAACCTCGAAGAAAGCTGCAGAGCTCCTTTATAGTCTTCCAGCTTGATATGCAGCTCCAGAATCCCTGCATGTGTTTTAGTAGAAGCTCAGTGCCTCTTAGAAGCAAAACCTTCTAAAGAAACACACTGTTATTGACATGCCAATTTTAAAATGTTGCTTTTAATGAACTAATTAATTCTGCAAAACATTAGTACAAAGATGCACGCTACCAAATTGGGATTACAATACTAAAATGATCACAAAACAGAATGTGGAAGACATTTCTAAAGATATCGCCTTTGCAAAACATTAATTTTTTACTCCACACATCCAAATACATTGCAAACTATTTGTTATTAAAACCTTAAAATAATTTACTGGACAGATGGCTTAGTTCTCTAAAGACTGACCCCCTCCTCAAAAGAAAAAAAAAACACACACACACAACAAATCTGGGCCCTAGCCAGTGATCCCATGTTAGTGTGATGCTTAGCAGCTCGAGCCGGATTTAAATAGCACTTACCCCACACAATGTGTAAAATATATGCTGTTCATTTTCTCCACCCGTACAAAATCTAAAAGTTAGGAATGCATATATTAATAGACCACCTTTTGGGGAAAAGGGTAATGCCCAGTAGATATCAAGAAGGGAATCATTTGCATGATCTGAAAATGATTTAAGATTTTCCTCTACACCTGTCCGCAGTGATGAGACTGAGAGGCCTTTGACAGTGGGTGGAAACAGACGAGGGCTTGTTTAATTACTTCAGGAGATGAGATTGACTGAAACTACAACTATCAATCTCAAGATGCTGAAGAAAGAGATTGGAAGCTTAGGTCAAATTTGCTTACTTCTCAGATTTATAAAATATTTATATCACGGTTGTGAAACATTTCTGATTATTTGCTCAAGAAAATCAAAAATACTTTCTAAACTGTACAACCAGGCCGGGTACAGTGGTTCACGCCTGTAATCCCAGCACTTTAGGAGGCCAAGGCAGGAGGATCAGTTGAGGTCAGGAGTTCGAGACCAACATGGCCAATATGGTGAGACCCCATCTCTACTAAAAATACATAAAAACTAGCAGGGCATGGTGGCATGCGCCTGTAATCTCAGCTACTCAGGAGGCTGAGGCACAAGAATCGCTTGAACCCAGGAGGCAGAGGTTGCAGGGAGCCAAGATTATGCCACTGCACTCCGGCCTGGGTGATAGACACTCCGTCTCAAAAAAACAAAAACAAAAACAAAAAAAAAAAACAAAAAACCAAAACATAACACCAACCAACCAAACAAAAAACAAAACCGTACAACTAAAAGCAAGACTAGACGTACTGCAGACAGAAATAAACACACACTAGCTTAAATTTCCACACCATCTCTCACTACACACCCTTCTCATCCTAACACAACTGGCTACTTATCTACTGTGTTGTTCTCTTCCAAGGAAAGACACTCAAAAACTTCAAGATCTCTTTATGGCAACTCAACACTTAGGCAGGCAGAGCTGGCAAGATGAGGAAGAGCTGCTTCCTGGGAGGGAAATGGTGACCAGGCAGCAGTAGATGGGGAGCTTGATCCTGTCTTCTCCTTAGTAGCTCTTGAATTTCGAGCCATGTGAATATATTACCTGATGAAATGTAGGAGAATCACCCAGGCAAGCAAATAAAAGCTACCCCTCCATTTCCAGAAGTCGAAATCAATGCACAAGGGCCCAGCACACGCTGAAACGTATAAACCAACCTGCCTACCTTCTTCCTGCTACGGGGTGTCAAGTCGCCCTTTGAGTTCATGGGTACGTCATGAACTAGAACACGTGACAAATACCATCACAAAATAGAGTTCTTCTTACACATGACTTAGCATGATTTAGAGAAGAATTGTTTACTATTCCTACAGTATCTATTAATAAATATTTTTGAGTGCCTACTCCTCAACAATGACTGTGTTCTAGGAATGACATTAAGTACTAAGGATAGAAAACAATTATGGCAGCTGGCTCACAGGCCTTGTGAAAGGGGAGGATGGCGGGGCCCGAGCTTGGCCTTTCTGCTAGAGGAGGGAGAGTGACAGAGCAGGCACTGTTTTCCAGTTTTCAAAGCACTTTTGCACTCTTTGCCTCGCTCAATCTCTCGTCAACTCTGGGAAGTAAGCAGGGCAAGCAGAAAACTCCTGTTTTACAAATGACAGAAAAAAGAAGGCTAAGTGACTTGCCCAGGAAGACACTATGGCTGAGTGGCACAGCTGAGCCCAGAATCCACGTCTCTGGATTCCCCATTCTAGGGCTTTCTTACACACCGCAGTGCTTTTATTAGGTCTGCGAGGATTCCTTGGAAAAAGCAGGTTTCATTTTTGTCATTCTTCAGGTTTCTCATAAAACAACTGAGAAATCTTTTAGTAGTGTAGTAACAAAATGAAATCAATTGATGGTTTTCTTTCTTCCCAGTCATTTGGTAAATATTCATGCAGTGCCTAAGTGAGCTCAGGGATGCAGTGATGACTAAGGCAGTCTCTGCCTTCATGGGGTTTCCAGTTTCTTCAAGGCAGAAGGCTTGTCTCCAGAGAAACAGGACAACCAGGTTAAACGTCCTGAAGTTCTCCTGCTGGGTTTTTGATTTTGTGACTCTCAATTAATGTGCAAAGTTGGCAGGAAACAGGGAGGAGTGAAACAGTGAATACTTGCTTTGCATTTTATTTTATATTAATAACTAAAAATATTAATATAATTAATAATTTCTAAATTTCTGTTCTTCTTGCATTACAAATTTACTCAGGTATCTTGTGGGTCCTAGTTTTCCCTAAAACATTTAAGCAACATACTAAGTTTGGGAAAGAATTTTAATGTCACTCAACAGCTACCTGCTCTGCATGCCCTTACATCTTTACGAGAGAGAAAAAAGAAAAAAAACCCCTAATAATAAAACACCTGTGTTGAGCTTTCCAGCAACACCAATTAACAACGGTTATTAAGTCAGCCATTTCTGTCAGATCTGGTGAAATGACGCTTGGAGCTCAGATAGATGGTGAACTGAGATGCAACAATTCACATGGAGTTAAAGCAAAGCAACCTGTGGGCGGCAGACATTCAACCAGGAGCTGGCGAGGGCAGATGATGCCTGCCTTCCCACATTCCAATGGCTTTCCCTCCCGTGCCCAGGAAGGGCTGAGGACTGTCGCTGTGGCACCTCTTGGCAATGCTCGGATGTGGTGACTGCTTCCAGTTACTCAGTTTGCCGCACACGTGTAGAACCATTATTTCATTTCCATTTGATTTTTTTAACGTCCCTGAGAATCTACATGGTAGATTTCACAAAAAGAAACGCCAAAGAGAATGATCACAATCACTGAACGACTTGTTCTAGTCATAACCATACATTAAAGCAAATGCACACTCAGAGTCAGAAACAGTCAACACATCTGAGGAAACCGCAGAACCCCTCCTGGGACAAACACGCTATTTGTATGACAGTAAGTTTGATAGTCATTCATCAGACAATCAACTCCTTGAGGGGAGAGTCTGAGGCTCACGTCTTTAATTCCTGCAATAATCCTGCACATAATGCATACTCAATAAACATGTGGTGAACGGGACTGATTTAAGTAGACTGAATCAAAGAGAAATAAAGATCCCAGAGTAAACACAACTTTGTTCTGTAATTGTTTCTTCTACAAGTAGTAAAAATTTCTTAATCACAAAATGTCATCCAACAAAGTGAACAGACACAGTGAAGTTGTGCCCTTCCTCTCCCCTTTACTGAGGGCATTACTGTAGGGCAGCTGGGTTATAAAGCAGGACTGAGATGATGACAAACGGAAAGTAACTCACACAAAAACAGACCTTCCTGGGCGAGGTGCCTCGGCTGGAGCTCCAGATTTTCCCACCTCAGGACTCATCCCCCAACCTCTTAAGTGAATTGCTTTCGGGTGTCTACTGAACAGAACCTTCAGTAGAGAAGCCTTCTCCAAGGCCCTCAAATGCACACCAGACAAGTGTCATCAATCACGGTATCCTTGCCCTGTCCTTCATAGTACACATCACAGTCTATCTCACACATGTGGGGGAATGACTGTTTATTTGTTTACCTTGCCCACTAGACTGAGAACTCCACAGGGGGAAGGCACAGGCCATATTTCTCCCTGCCATCAGCCCCCAGCACACTGTCCAGCACACAGCAGGCTCTCAACAGACAACTGATAAATGAATCTTGCACGTGGACTCCTTACAACTCTATTCAGCACAACAGAGTCTGAAGCTGGGGCTTAGGAATCACAGGGACCTAGATGCTCAAGTTCTCACAGTGCCCTCATCTTGGACAAGTTACTTTAACCTCTCTAAGCTTTGGCATCCTTATCTGTGAAATAAGGTAGCATCACTATCCTCTTCACATAATCATTATGAGAAGTAAAGGAGTGAACACAGCACATAAAGCACTTAACACAAAATAGGCAAATAATGGTATTAGCTGTTCCTTTTATGTGTACAAACATTGTCTTTTTCTGCACAAAAAGGTTAGGAACTTCTGTTTGTGTCTACAGAAATACAAAGCCTCAAAAAGTTAATTGCAGTCATGAAAACACCTCGAAGCATGAGCTTTAAAAGCAGGGATGTTCTTTCAGGTTTCTGGTTCATTTTACTACATCAATGCATTTCAGTTAGTAAGCACAGTTCTTTTCATTATTTTTCTAAGAAGGCCAACGAGAGAGTGGACAGACTGTTCATATTTGGCATGATCCTGAAATGACCTAGTCAGGAAGTGAGCTGGAGTAAATGGATCTGGCTTCTAGAACAGGGACTATGCTGGAGAGCTTTCGTTTGTCCCTCTGCCATCCCGCACTGTGCCCCAGGAGGCTGGCCTACACACAGATTACATCAACAAGCCTTTTTCCTCTCTGGCTTCCAGCTGTGTTCTGACCAATACTAGGCACTGGCCGGAGACTCAGAGGGCAGGAGAAGCACGAGGCCAAGGGTCCTTGTCCTTGAGGGCTAGCTGTGACAACTCAGTAACAGCAAAACACCAATTTCTCCAATCCTACAGCAGGAAAGGTCTGGTTCATTCCACTATTCAGCAGAGGCACCAGCAGCAGAGGATAACAGGGACATGGACTGGGGGGAAGCAGAAGTCACCCATGACCAATGACATCACAGACCTTGTTCCTGGCGGCAGGGGGGCAGCAGCAGCTATGTTTCATGTTCACTGTTTCTCCACCCCCTGCCCCACTACCTTATGTAAAGAGCATTGGGTGGGAAATGACCAGAGCCTTCACCCTCTCCAGACCCACCCTCTCCACAGTGGTCTGTGCCCCAAAAAGCTGACCCACGTGGACTGCATCCATGGGCTCCTTTGCCCTCTGGCTGAGTTTGGCCAAAGGGAGATGTGGAAGGTGGAAAAGCAGTGAGGTCAGGGTATTTATCCTGCCTACAAATTCCCCAGGAACTGGCTACAACCCTCATCATAGCTCTGTCAGGATCCCTCTCCACGCAGCTCTCTCTCTCACTCTGGGCTGCAGTAAGTATGCCCTCCTCTTACCCCTGGGGGAAGGATAGTAACAGCTCCGCCCATGGGCACTAGCCCAGGTACTGCCCTAGTCCCTTATGGGTTCCTTATACCCTGCCCACACCTTTGGAAACAGTCCCTTTATTAAAGTCTCCTCAATCTGGAAATCGTTCCCTTAGACAATTTCTTCTCAGAACAAAAAGTTCTTCCTAAATAAAACACATGACATTAAAACCAACCCTGCTAGAGTAAGAAACATGGTAAATTGAAGAATATTTAAACCAACTGAAGGTAACAGTGATATAAGTATTCTAGATTAGTAATGAAACAAAATTTACATGCGCTCTGCTTAACTGAACAACATTCATTTAATAATTTTCCCCTGGAGTATTTTAACTGTGGATGCGGCTAGTTTAGAAATTCAAGACATCCAAACAGGATAATGGAAGGATCTGCCTCCCTGAGAAACAGGTACCCCAGTCTGGTTTTCTGCTGCCTCTCTTATTTCCCCTTCCTTCCTAAAGTGCCCTGGCACCTCCAAACTGTAGCCACAAAGTAGTCCTTCTCAGGCCACTGCAAAGTTTGCTTTTTCCTTTAAGTTTACTGTCAAGTTCATATTTGCAGGTGTGAATTTGCACAGACTAACAGTTTCCAAAATGTCATACACATAAAAGTGGTTTTAGGTGATATATGGATGAACATTTTTCATTTCAATATCTGTAGGTATAGAACAATATACAACTAGTAAATAAAACCTGTGATTTCATAGATAGCATTGCTCAGTCATGGTACCACAGAGGCTAGGCTTTAAAAAATTATACAAATATTATACAAATTATAATTAAAATTACATTATTTAAGAATATTAAAAATACTATACAAATAATAGAACAGCTGGCCAAAGGTTATGGCAAAAATTCTACAGTTGGTTTGCAAATGACTGAGTTTAGAAACACTATCTTACAGTAAGGCAGGTAATTAAACAGCTTCGTTCCAAAAGGGTTTTGCCTTGTTCGTAAATTGTGGGGTTTTTTTTCCCCCACTCTAAATAAATCTTCACTTTTATATCTTTTTTTTTTTTTTTTGAGATGGAGTCTCTGTCTGTCACCCAGGCTGGAGTGCCAGTGGCATGATCTTGGCTCACTGCAACCTCTGCCTCCCGGGTTCAAGTGATTCTTGTGCCTCAGCCTCCTGGGTAGTTAGGATTACAGGCCCCTACCACCACACCCGGTTAATTTTTGACAGGGTTTCGCCATGTTGGCCAGGCTGGTCTCAAACTCCTGACCTCAGATGATCCGCCCGCCTCAGTCTCCCAAAGTGCTGGGTTTACAGGCATGAGCCACCATGCCCAGCCTTTTTATCTTTTTAAAAAAGTTTTCATGCATATATTTGCATATATTGAAGAAGGAGAAATGGACAAGCACCCTAGGAGTGGCCAGGGTGTTTAGGTAAGCAGCACCACTAAGCAAGGGCTGCCAGTGATCAATCAGCTGGGAGCTGACCACACTGGGATGCATGTCTGGGAATGTGTGATGTGAGCACAGGAGGAGGGCCTCCTTGATAGAAAATGTCTTTCCCACAGCCAGCAGCATGCACGCTCAGTGGCTCCAAAATCCCTTTTGCCCTTTTCAAAGGAGTTAAAAACCACACCAGAACATACTTCTCTCAGTGGAGCCAAATCTAGGAGTCTACCTGAGACAGGTGGATTGATGCTTGCAATGCCCTGAACAAACTTTTAGAGGGTGCCCTCTACAGGTTTAAGGTGGCCTCAACAAACCATTAACTAGCCTCAGCTGTGATCTCCTGAAGCTGAGAAGTCTTGTGGCAGTCTTTCAAGTTCTGGCAGAAACTCTTTTATATTGTATATCAGAGGAGAAAGAAAGTGAATCAATTTGACCCCTCTGCTCATCAATGCTACCACTGACCCTCTGAGCCCTACTACCTATTTCTCTCCCATAGCATGCCACCCCAAAGAAACTCCTCTGCCCAGAGAAAGGGGACAACTTCAGGGGTGAACGAAACCCATTATTTATAAGCAAGGAAGGTCATAAGAATTATTATTATTTTTTTAAAAGCTTAGAAGGATGAGCTCATCCAGAAGACATAACAATCCTAAATGTGTATGCTCCTAAAAAATAGTCAATACCACGCCTCTCTCAGTAATTGACAGAACAAGTAGACAGAAAGTCAGTAAGAATACAGAAGACTTGAACAGGGTTAACCCAATGACATATATATTCTATATCCCAAAACAGTAGAAGGTACATCCTTTCCAAGTGCACCTGGAACACTCACCAAGACAGACCATAAGCCGGGTCTCGAAACATGCAGAATATGTTCTCTGACCACAACTGAAGTGAAAAATAAATAACAAAAATATAACATAAAGAGCCCCCATATATTCAGAAATTAAACACACTTTTAAACAACTCACGGGTCAAAGAAGAAATCACAAGAGAAATTAGAAAATACCTTGGGCTGAATGATAAAAATATATTAAAACGTGTGGGATGCAGCTAAAACCATGCTCAGAGGGAAATTTATAGTTTTTAAAAGCCTATATAAGAAAAGAAAAAAGACTTGAAGATCAAATATCTAAGCTTCCATTAAAAAAAGAAAAAGAAGAGAAAATTAAATCCAAGGTAAGTACAAGGAGGCAATAATGTGTGTAAATCAATGAAATAGAAGACAGATACAGAAAAATCACCAAAACCAAGAGCAGGTTATGGAAATAAAAATCAACAAAACTGAGAAGTCGCTAGTTAGACTGATCAAGAGCAAAAAGAGGGAAGATAATTTATCAATATCAGGAATGAATGATGAGACATCGCTCAGATTCTAGAGGCATTAGAAGAGAATACTATGAACCAATCTCTTCGACAGCTAGACGAAGTGGATGTCTTTGAAAGATGTAAGTTATATAACTGACATGAGAAGAAATAAACATCTAAAAAGCTTTACATCTATTTTGCTAAAAGTGAATTTGTTATTAAAAATCTTCCCATGAAGAAAACTCCAGACCCACACAGATCCCTCAGTTAAATCTATCAACTATCTAGGGAAGAAATAGTATCAATCATATGGAAATTCAGAAAACAGAGAAAAAATATTTCTCAACTCATTTAATGGATCAAGCATTATCCTGATACTGAAACTAGAGAAAGACACTACAAAAGAAAAAGAAAGTTATAGACAATACTCTTCCATGAACAAAGATACAAAATTCCTTAATAAAATATTAGCAAATAGAATCCAGCAATATATAAAAAAGATAATATATCATGATCAAGTGTATTCCAGAAATGCAAAATTGGACTAACATTCAAAAATCAACCCATGCTGTGTTCTAGCCATACCATGAAATATTACTCTGACACCTGCTAAAGGTATGAACCTTGGGGAAATTACGCTAAGTCAGAAAAAAATAAATACTGTCTGATTCCACTTTTAGGATATACTTACAGAGGTCAAATCCATAGAGACAGAAAGTAGAATGGTGGCTGCCAGGAGATGGTGGAGTGGGAATTGGAAGTTACAGTTAGTGGGCACAGTTTTAGTTTTGCAAGATGAAGAGTTCTGAAGATGAATGGCGGTGATGGCTGCACAAAAATGTAAATGCACTTCGGGAGGCCGAGGCGGGCAGATCACCTGAGGTCAGGAGTCTGAGACCAGCCTGGCCAACATGGCGAAACCCCATCTCTACTAAAAATACAAATATTAGCCAAGCATGATGGCAGGCGCCTGTAATTCCAGCTACTCAGGAGGCTGAGGCACAAGAATTGCTTGAACCCAGAAGGCAGCAGTTGCAGTGAGCCGAGATCACGCCACTGCACTCCAGCTGGGTGACAGAGTGAGACTCCGCCTCAAAAAAAAAAAAAAAAAGTGAATGTACTTAATGCCACTGAATTGTAACATTTAAAAGTGGTTAAATTATCTGTTATGTGTACTTAATAAGAATTTTTTAAAAATCAATCCATGCCATGTAACTTACCATATTAAAATAAAGGAAAATCATTTGATCACCTCAATAAATGCAGAAAAAACGTTTGACAAAATTCAACACCCAATTGATGATTAAAAAAAAAAAAACACATACACACTTTCAGCAGAGTAGGACTAGAAGAGGGCAAAAGATCTGAACAGATACTTACTTTGTAACAAGGACATGCCAATCTTCAGGCCAGTAAGCACCTAAAAGGAGGCTCAACATCAATAATCAAAGGAAAATGCAAAATGTACTTGGCCTGCACTAGAATGGCTAAAATAACAAGAACTGGCAATATGAAATGTCGGTGAGGATGCAGAGCAAGGAGACGTCGCATTCGCTGCCGGTAGGAGTACAAAGTGGCAGAACAACTTTGGAAAGCTGTTTAGCAGTTTCTTATAGAGGTAAATATACACATACAACATAAGATTCAAGAATTCCACTCCTAGATATTTGCCCAAGAAAAGTAAAATGTTATATCTACACAAACACTTGTACACAAATGCTCATAGCAGTTTTATTCTTTTATTCTTTTTTTTTTTTGGAGACAGGGTGTTGCTCAGGCTGGAGTGTGCGGTGATGTGATCATAGCTCACTGTAGCTGCAATCTCCCGGGCACAAGCAATCCCTCCGCCTCAGCCTCCTGAGTAGCTGGGACTACAGGTGTGTGCCACCATGTCCAACTAATTTTTTTTATTTTTAGTAGAGGTAAGGTCTCTCTATGTTGCCCAGGCTGATCTTGAACACTTGAGCTCAAGCGAGCCTCCCCCTTTGGCCTCCCAAAGCATTGGGATTACAATGTAGCATGAGCTACAGACCATGTGCCTGGTCCAGTTTTATTTTTATTACCCCCAAAACTAAAACAACCCACATGTCTGTAAACAGGTGAACAGATTAAACACATTGTGGTATATCCATACAATGAAATACTACTCCATAATAAAAAGAATATACAATGCCTGAACAACTTGAATGAATCTTGAGAACCTATGCTGAGCAAAAGCAGCTGGGACACAAAACATGCTTCCATGCACCATATATGAACTCTCAAAAGACACATCTGGCTGGGCTTAATGGTTCACGTCTGTAATCCTAGCACTTTAGGAGGTCAAGGTGGGAGGATTGCTTGAGCCCAGGAATTCAAGACGACCCTGTCTCTATTTAAAAAAAAAAAAAAAGAAAGAAAAAAAAGACACATTTAATCTAGAGTGACAGAGAGGAGACCAGAGTCTGCCTGGAGTGCAGACTGGGAGGGGGCAGATGACTGGGGTGGAGCATGAAGAAATTTCTGGGGTGATTATCCTATCTTATTTGGGGTGATATTTACATAGATGCATATATTTGTCAAAACTCATTGAACTGTACATTCATAAACATAAAATACATAAAACTGGTATATTTTATTTTATGTAAGTTATACTTCAAGTTGATTTTTTAAAACATGCTCGGAACATGCATTGAATTCTCAGCACTAATCTCAAATATTAATAGGATGAGAGTCAAATTCAGTGGGGTTTTTTTTTTTTTTGAGATGGAGTCTTGCTCTGTTGCCCAGGCTGGAGTGCAATGGCGCGATCTCAGCTCACTGCACACCTCCGCCTCCCGAGTTCTAGCGATTCTCCTGCCTCAGCCTCTTGAGTAGCTGGGATTACAGGCGTGCGCCACCGTGCCTGGCTAATTTTTTTGTATTTTTAGTAGAGACAAGGTTTCACTATGTTGGTCAGGCTGGTCTCGAACTCCTGACTTCGTGATCCACCTGCCTCAGCCTCCCAAAATGTTGGGATTACAGGCGTGAGCCACTGCACCCGGCCAAATTAAGTGGTTTTTAATAAGTCTTGGTTAGACAAGGCAAGAGACAGGATCTCCTAGGGACTCAGGTGATGAGAACTCAGGTTGCTTTGCTCTGCAGGCTGTGTCAGTGCTAGGGAGGCCATCAGCTCCCACCGTGGTGCCAAACCAGATGAGGTTCAGCAGCTGCTGTATCACCTGTGCCTGTTGAAACTACAGTCCTGAAAGACTCAGGCACCAAGCTTGGTTTTATAATCATTGCTGCATTCCCATCTGAGCCTGTGACCGGTCTTTACAGCTACGACCTGGGTGAAAATGGACGTGAACGTGTTCAGAGATAGCTGGAGAGGAGACGCAGACTCCACGTGCTGAGCAGAATTTCAGCAGGACAACCTCATCCTGTGAAGCCCTTTGGCTCTTTATTTGCCTGTCTGGACTATTAAGAGTTTCACATGTGTTTGAATAGAGAAAACATTTTTGACATATTTAAACCTGTACATTACTACTGAAGTAAGATATTTCCCTCAAAACAATTTTTGGATAGAAAATTCTTTTCATGTTGAATGGGAACAATTAATAAAACAGGAAGACAGTGCTGTAGTTTAGATCATGAAATCAGGCGTCCAACTGCCTTGGTCCAATTCCCAGCTCTATGAAGTAGGTGAGTTACTGGGCTTCAACTCTCATTTTGAAGTGAGGACAATAACAGTATCTTCTTTCATAAGGTGGCTGTGAAGACTAAATGCGTAAGGCATGGAAGGAGCCTGGCACATTTCCTGTACAACACACATGTATACCCGCACTAAGTGGTCAGTTATATGATGAAGATAACTCAGTACATTGAACTCTGACCCAGAATCCAAGTAACTGGGTCTTTTGCCACAGTTTTCTCCACCACCTCACCTTAACCCAAAGCATATAGGGCAGTGTAATCAGCTGAAAAAATCCTGGCGCCGCTCTGGAAAAGTCTAGATTCCATCCTGGCCCTCCTCCTTGTACAGAGGGCCACAGCGGGCAAATCACCCAGCCCTCTGGCTTCGGTTTCCTCTTCTTTAGACAAGGTAATCTCTAAGGGTCCTTCCAGCTCTAGTCAGTTCGATACACATTTCCTAAAGCTTACTACATGCACAAAGAAGCAATTATACAGTTATAAAGACTGTCCATCTTTGAATGGTACATACGGTAATTATTCCAGAAAACTCAAATTAATCAGAATACCCTATTTCTTAACCTCTGGGAATAACTGGAATCTATTATGCTTGATAGATTTCAGTGAAATCTATCAGTATATAACAGCAGAACAATTCCAAGTACCATTCTGGCATAAAATACGTGTTCTTTGCCACTATCTAGGGGGGCCCATTACTAGAAATTTCTGAAGAAACTTGTAACTAGAAGGAACTATTGCAACTAAGCCTGAGGACTAAAGATGAGTATTTTAACAAGAACCCCAGGAAACAAATTTTGTAATCAAGGAAATTTACAGGAACACTACAGTTCACAAATGAATATTTGCTGTAGCTGAGTAGGCTGCCCTAATGTGGCTGTGTAGGATGCTCAGAGGGCATGTGTAATTAAAGGGCACATACCTCATCTGTCTTTCACTTGAGGATCTCAGAATAGAACAGATAAAAACAATTATTTACTTAAATGTCAACGGCTTTAGAAATAGAAGCCAGGAATATAAGCATGCAGGTCTTCGAATTCTTAAATTTCAGACACCCACTCTTGTAAACAGGAGATCTGTTACAATTAACAGATGCAGCTGTAACTCAGATTCAGTTGTGTCGTATCAATCACTCCGTTTAATGCTCCAAATATCACCATATGCACCTACCCCATGAAGGCTGTAGCTTGACGCTCTGACTTGTGAAGTGGGGTGTGTGTGTGCGCTCGTGCACACAAGAAATATTTGAGTGGGTACAGTTCAAGAGCTAGGGACGTGGCTCATAATGATCCAGCAAAGAGTCTCTCTCACTCAGATCTCACCTTTGTCTTGACAGAGACTGTAGTGAATCACACTGTGAATGAGTCAACAATGCAACAGCGTTAAAGTCAACTGCTTAGAATTGTGTTAATATAAAGGATTACATGTAAAATGGGAGATAATCATTCCATTTTGGTAAAAACACGTGTAGTACCAACATGAATAATAATGAGGGATGACAAATTGGAGCGTATGTACAGAAGATGAATACAGCCAGTAATCCCTTTGAACACAGGTATACAAAGCCTTAACAACAAGGGGAGAGTGTCTACCACAAAATAAGAGATGAGATGACACAGCTACTCCTAAAACATGCAAATGGAAGTTGCTGAGTGAAGACAGATCAATTATCCTCAGTCGATGAGAATAATAAGACAGAGTGACAGCAGGAAACACTGAGGTTAAATATTAGGCAAAACGTAACAATGGGAAGAATGCTAGCAGAGGAGAGGCTGCCAGGAGAGTCGAAGAAATGACCGCCTGTAGAGGCATGCAGGGTTAAAGCTGGACACCTGCCTCATTATGAGTGGAATTATTCCTGCCACAGCTCAGGGAAACTGGAGAAGAGTGTCATTAGAGAGGTCTCTGCTGATCTAAATGGGTACGAAAACAAGGAGGCTGAGCTCTTGCTTATCAACATTTTTAACCCTCCAAAGTAAGTGAGGGTTTTGCCCACTGGGCAACAGTCTTGACACTGAAACCCATCACATGCCCGTAAAAATGGCCCGCACGTGGCATATGTCGCAGCAGGCAAGAAGGCAACACAATGGCTGCTTGTTTCAGAGACAGAAGCTTGAAGCTGTCTGGGCGGCGGCTCTGGGTAATCACATCCCAAACACAGAACAGGATTTTTTCCCTGCCTGAAATGCTCTCTGATATTTTTCAGCCTTAATTCAAAGGTTTCTTTCTTTGTTGAGTTCAGAACAGTATAGCATGTTTTCTGTTGTTAAACAACGTAAAGCATTTACACTTGATTAGCTGTAGTATGAGTATCAGCAGGACTTGGAAACTTTTCATCATCTTCATGAAGGTTCTGAGGGTCCGCTGACAGCCCTGGGAAATAGTGTTTTTCCAGATTTCCACTGTAAATAATGGCTGACCATTGGCCTCTGTGTTTCAAGGCCTGATGAAGGCAGCAGGGCACAGGACAGAACCGCTGCTTTCGTGAACTAGCGAAGGAGCCTCATGCTGGGGAGGCGCTGCTTTCTACAGTCCCTTCCCACTTAGGGTAGCACAGCCTGGCCATATCCACAGGGGCCCTAAACACTCTACAGCTAAAAAGCCTTCTTCTGCTCTCTCTCTCTCTGAAAGATGACAATATGTGCTGTGCACCCTTAGCGCTATTTTCTCCATGAAGTGAAAGGCACTTCAGTGAATCAATCCATGTTTGGAAATATATTCCAAAAGTTGATAGATTTAAGAATTATAATGATAATCTCCAAAGGAATCATATAATCCTGGAGACAGAAGACAACTGAGAGGATAGCTAGTCTAAATTTGTTACTCGATGGACAGGCTAGCTGACTGGTTTAAAGACTTCTATCTAGTGGTAGGCAAAGCTGGGACTGGAACTCAGATCCTTCTGAATGTTTTCTTTCCCCCATACACTAGTCTGAGATAGAGACATTTAAAATGTGGCTACTGATAAGCATTGTGAACCAATAAACTCTTCCAAAAGGCAGATTTAAGATACTCTTACAGCCACATGGAGAAAAGTTTCCACTGTTATTTATGTATTTATTTTTGAGACGGGGTCTGACTCTGTCACCCAGGCTGGACTGCAGAGGCACAATCACAACTCACTGCAACCTCCGCCTTCCAGGCTCAAGTCATCCTCCCACTTCAGCCTCCTGAGTAGCTGGCATTACAGGCATGTGCCACCACACCCAGCTAATTTTTGTATTTTTTTGGTAGAGACAGGGTTTCACCATGTTGTCCAGGTTGCTCTTGAATTCCTGGGCTCAAGTGATCCACCCACCTCAGCCTCCCAAAATGCTGGGACTACAGGTGTGAGCCATTGTGCCTGGCGTGTGATTTTTTTTTTTTTGTGATAGGAGTATTATATTCTGATCCACTCTTACTTTTCCAGCAATAAATTCTGGTCATAGTTTACATGTAATCGAAATTATCCCACTAGGTTTTGAGAAAGCTTGATCTATTTTCAAACACAGATTCAAGAAATCATGAGTTTGTGTTTAAAGTGGATGCTTGGACATACTCAACTCCATCCCGGCTGGGTGCTATTTTATGCTCAATTAGTATCTGTTTTGGTATTTTCTTTAAATCTTTTGGAATAAAACAGTAATCCTGTTAAATAAATTTTTGTAAATATTCTTGGCATTCTTTCCTTTAGTGAAGAGGAAAGCTGGATGAAGTTCATAGTAAGATGGTTTCATTTTATCTGAATTTTAAGTAACTGGCTAATGATTTTCATTCCACAGATGTGGACGACATTTCAGCATTGATTCAAATACACTTGATTCATCTATTTTGGTTTGCAAGAAAGTTTCTAATATAAAAATAAAACTTTAAAAAGCCGAACATAAATTTCTAAACCTGTGCTGCAATGGCCAGTAAAATATTAAAGCATAATGTTCAGCTAAACTATTTCCAAGCCATACATCATTTTCTGTTTGGGTCCTACCCAACTGTTTCAAAGTTCATTTTTACAGTGTTCAGGGATAATAGCAACCGTATCATTCACAGGAGCCATGGCCAGTCAATTTCTACAGAGAGGAAATGGAATTGTTCCAAACAGATTAAGTTTTAGCGTAGAGAACAAAGACCCCCTGAGGTTAGCATTTCTGAAACAAAATGGCCAGAAATTAAGTTTAGATAATTTCAAGGGATATATTTCAAGTGTGACTAGCTTAAAGTGGCAGGCCCCCTAACTTAAACATGAAAATTTTTAAAGCCCCCAGAAGCAGCAAGCAGAAGAAGATGGGAACAAGGGAGACACCTATATCATGGCAAAAGTATTTATGACACTAACAGCTGTAAGGAGCCAGGCTCAGTGCCCCAGCCTCCCCTCATTTGTCCACCACTGCTGGAGAATGTGCCCTTTCTCATTAGCAAAGGTTTCAGATCCTTCATGCCTATCTCTTCGAATGCCTACGCTTAATTTTTTCTATTTTTATGAGTATCTTTTTAAAACAAAGATATACTTACATTTATTCCTAACGAGAAAACAACTTAACTTTTGTGAATGTTATGAGCATCGGCTCCTGTGCTTTATATTTATAGTTCTGTCCATCTCCTCTCTTGTTATATAAGCATTGGCTCCTAGCTGTTGTTAGTATGTGCGCTGCATGTTTCCAAATTCGTTACCCTGACAACCCGGAGAAAATGGGCTTTGTGAGAGGGTCTTTGACAGTATGGGAAACCCATAACAGCACTTTCGGTTAGGCCTCCTCTCCATACTTCTTGGTTCTTGACTGCGTTCCAATTTATTACGGGGGTTAAAAAATGAATAGTGAATAAGTGAGTGTGCCCTTCTATGATGTTGACTACCCACCCAGAGTAAGTACTGATCTGATTGTGAGGAGAGTGGAGAAGGTGGTATAGAAGCTGAAAGGGTTAAAAATATGGGCTCCAGTGAACCTGGGGAAGTAATTAATCACTCTGAGCATCAGTTTCCTCATTCATAAAATGAAGATTGTAGTTGCACCTAGTTCAGAAGGTTGTTAGGATTAAATAAGGTAATCAGTGTTAAGTGCTTAGAACAGTGTCTGACAGAGTAATCACTCAATAAATAACAGCTGCCAGCAGTGATGGTGGTGGTTGATAGCGATTGTGGTGGTGCTGGTGCTGGTGGTGGAGGTGATGGTGGTGGTGGTGGAGGTGATGGTAGAGGTGATGGTAGTAGTGATGGTGATGGTGGTGGTGATGCTGGAGGTGATAGTGATGGTGGTGGTGGTGGTAGTGTTGGTATTATGCCTGTGAAGTAATATTCAGGCTCCTTTGTGCCTTCAGTAACTCCTTCACTGCCAAGATGGTCAATGAAAATTTCAGCCACTAAGACAAATCACTCTAGCCAAGTATCAGACAGGACCACAAATACAAAACTGGGTATTTTCAATAACATAAGAACAAGAGAAAGAAGGCGGCAAGGAGAATTTGGATTGGTGATATTGATACCTAACCCCCATCCTAAATTCTCTTACTTAAACCTTGAACCAAGGACGTGCAATTCTTATAAGACAGCGGTCTGTTTTAGAAAGTGGAAGGCATAATGTTTAAGCACAAGGGATCAAACTGGTCTGCTTTGATGAAGTCCTTTCCGATACAAGGACATATTACCCATATTTTAAGCTTTCCCATGGTACTATGCTAATGCATGTTCAACGCTACATCTAAAATCCCACAACCCTTCCAGCAATTCCATACTCAGTTCTTATTTTAAACTCATTGTATTTACATGCCTACACCTTTTCAATAAAGGCTTTTTAAAAGTGAAAGTACAATAAACTTACATACATTGTGTATGCATTATGACTTTTATTTATCTGGATTTACAGCATTTGCAGGTAGTTTCACTTAAGTCAAAAAGGTTTGGGAAGGTGAAAAAGTTCAGATCCCTTAATCTTTTCTTCTGAAAATAAATTATTCATGAAGCTCTCTCCCTCATTCCCAAATGGTTAGGTTTAAACAATTGCTTAAAGTGCTGATTTTAACTGACGAACACATTATTCATAAAGCCTACAGCCCAGGAAACACTTACTTGCTAACTGGTCATTTTCATCTGATCAATGACTTCACAGAGTTGAAACATACCACAGTGGAATGTGCTTCTAGCGCGAGGCCATGGCATTAAGTGCCTGACTCTCATGAACAAAGCAAGCTGGTTAATGGTCATTTTACGGTCCACATACTACTCTGAAATCTATTAGAGTGTGGCTTAGTCAACCTTATCAGAGATGATTTGGGGGTACTCAGCACAGTGGGAACCTTCCTGTAACAGGTTAATGGATCAATTTATTTATTTCAAATCTGTTCTTTTCAAGTTGAAAAGCCACTAAAGACTTTCCAAGAGATCAGCTCAATAACCACAAGGAGAGGCAGTGATGCTGGATCTGTTGCTCTTGGTCCTTCTCTGTCACTTATGGTTCAGAGCCACCGGCTCTCTGGTGACACCACAGCAGAGCTGAGTGAGATGAAAGTCTGGCTTTGCCTCTTAGGAGTCTACATGTCGATTAAAGTCCTGGGATACCTTATGTTGCAAGGCATCACCTCACTTTTTCTTGAACAAAAAATAAAGGATTCCACTTAACAGACCCTAGGCTGTTCCCCTTTCTTGATAAATGTTATTTCAAATTTTTGATAAAAACATGTCACTAACTTTAGACCTGTATCACCACCACCACCCGCTGGGAATTCTCTTTTTAAATTAACACTTTTTCAGAGTATTGTTTTGCAAAATATAACGCACCATTGGAAAGTAACCAAGCATCAGCAAGACAGCAGGTGACCTTCAGAGACCCGGGAGTCTTTAGTGCTCGCAACCATGCGCATCCCAGAGAGGACTTCCACCTTGCAGTATGGTCTGACGCCTAAGAATAAAGACTGCATTTTGGCCAGGGGTGGTGGCTCACACCTGTAATTCCAGCACTTTGAAAGGCTGAGGTGGGAGGATTGCTTGAGGCCAGGCATTCGAGATCAGTCTGGGAAACACAGTGAGAGCCTGTTTCTTTAAAAAAAAAAAAAAAACAAAACAAAACCAAAAGCAACTGATTTGCCAGGCATGGTGGCATGTGCCTGTAGTCCCAGCTACTCAGAAGGCTGGGACAGGAGGATCACTTGATCCCAGGAGGGCTGCAGTAAGCCATAATTGTGCCACTGCACTCCAGCCCAGGCAAAAGAGCCAGACCCTGTCACAAAAAAAAAAAAAAAAAGGAAAGGAAAGGGAAAAGGAAAAGGAAGTGTATTTCCACTAATGGTCCCTAAACTCAAGATTTCACAGACCAGGCAAGAGGAAGCTTTATTTGTGCTGAATTTCAGGTTACATGCTATATGGCTAAAAACCCAATGTTATCCCTAACATAAAAAACAACAAGTTTAAAATGTCTTTACTTAGGATCCCTTGTACTCTTCTAGTATCACTTTTAATGAAATGGTTGAAAGCAAGAGCTTTGGAGTCTGTCAGTCACTATACTGATGCTGGGTGGCATGATCTAGTGGACAAGGACCCGGACTCCCGACGCTTCAGTGCCCAAGTTCAAGTCCTTGCTCTGGCAGGACCTGAGCTAGCTATGTGACCCTAGCCAAGTCACTTAACCTCTCTGTGCTTCAGTTTCCTCCTTTACAAAAAATACCTAATAATATCAACCTCACAGGAATTCTGGAAGACTCAATGACTAAAAAAATGCAGAGTACTTGGACTCTAGCACGTAGCAAGTACTATCTGGATGCTCACCAGAGCTATGACCATCTTCACTCTTCACTAGCTGTGTGGCATTAACTTTCTTGTATCTCAGTTTCTTCATCTGATAAAGAGGAACAATACTATTTCACTCACAGCATCGCTAAATAACCATGCATGTAATGTGCTTGGCACAGGGTCTAGCATATGATATGTGCTTGATATGCAGTAGCTATCATTAATGTTCTATCAGTAATTGAATACTTTCTTACACTGTTCTTTACTCTGTACAAAAATCTTTGTGCTTGAATAAATATGCCATAAGTTTATTCAAAATATAAACTCTAGGCCATTCCAATTTGTGGGTGTTAATTCAAAATTTTCAGAAATGCATGGTACAATTTTCGGAACTGTACCTTCCCAATAAATCTCTCTTAAATGTATCCCCCATGACACCACCACTGTGAATCAACAAAAAATGCTCAATGGCTACTTGCAAATGGATAATTTTAAAATTAAACTGAAGTATAGATTTTAAAGTGATTACTTCTGCTTTCATTATCAGGTTGCACTTACGGCAGAGTCTCCAGCTCAGAAAACACTTTCCTCTCATGAATCTTTTTTTTTTTTTTTTAAGTTTTGAGATGGAGTTTCGCTCTTGTTGCCCAGGCTGGAGTGCAATGGCACGATCTCAGCTCACTGCAACCTCGGCCTCCCGGGTTCAAGCAATTCTCCTGCTTCAGCCTTCTAAGTAGCTGGGATGACAGGCATGCACCACCAAGCCCAGCTAATTTTGTATTTTTTTTTTTTTTTTAGTAGAGACGAGGTTTCTTCATGTTGGTCAGGCTGGTCTCAAACTCCCGACCTCAGGTGATCCGCCCTCCTCAGGTGATTCGGCCTCCCAAAGTGTTGGGATTACAGGCGTGAGCCACTGTGCCCAGCCTCTCATGATTTTTTTTTTTTTTTTTTGAGACGGAGTCTCGCTCTGCCGCCCAGGCTGTAGTGCAGTGGCGCATCTTGGCTCACTGCAAGCTCCGTCTCCTGGGTTCACGCCATTCTCCTGCCTCAGCCTCCTGATTAGCTGGGACTACAGGCATCCACCACCATGCCCAGCTAATTTTTTGTATTTTTTTTAGTAGAGACGGGGTTTCACCGTGTTAGCCAGGATGGTCTTGATCTCCTGACCTCATGATCCGCTCGCTTTGGCCTCCCAAAGCACTGTGATTACAGGCGTGAGCCACCACCCCCGGCCTCATGATTCTTATACTCAGGAATTAGAATGGGTCTTAAGCTAAAAGATATTTATGCTTATAAGAATGTTGAGACCAGGCACGGTGGCGCATGCCTGTAATCCCACCACTCTGGAATGCCAAGGTAGGAGGGATTGCTTGAACCCCGAGGTTCGAGACCAGTCTGGACAACATAGTAAGACTTCATCTTTACAAAAAGTACAAAAATTAGCTGGGCATGGTTTTGCATGCCTGTGGTCCCAGCTACTTGGGAGGCTGAGGTGGAAGCATCACTTGAGCCCAGGAGGTTGAGGCTGCAGTGAGCCTAGATCACACCACTGCACTCCAGCCTAGGCAAGAGAGAGACCCTGTCTCAAAAAAAAAAAAAAAAAAAAAAATCGTAGTACTACGAGGTGAAAGGGACCCAACCCTCTTCTTTTACTGACAGTAGAAACCCTGGTGCATGCAGAGATAGGCCCAAGGTTGCATCATTACTAAGGGGCAGAGATGGGACAAGAATCTTGCTTTGTTTCTGGCTCTAAGTCCATCTTTCTTCCCATTATTTTACAGGACTCCCTAATGGAAACACTTGAAAACATTGTATTTGTGAATCTAGAGCAGGAGTCTCCAACCCCTGGGCCACAGACGGGTACCAGTCTGAGCCTGTTAGGAACTGGGCCGCACAGCAGGAGGTGAGTGGTGGGCGAGCGAGCAAAGCTTCATCTGTATTTACAGTCGCTCCTTATTGCTCACATTACTGAGCTCCACCTCCTGTCAGCTCAGCAGCCGCCTTAGATTCTCACAGGAGTGTGAACCTGATTGTGAACTGCGCATGCGAGGGATCTAGCTTGCACGCTCCTTATGAGAATCAAATGCCTGATGATCTGTCACTGCCTCTCATCAGCCCTAGATGGGACTGTCTAGTTGCAGGAAAATAAGCTCAGGGCTCCCATTAATCCTACATTATGATGAGTTATGTAATTATTTTATTATATATGACAATGTAATGATAATAGAAATGAAATAAAGCGCACAATGAACGTAACGTGCTTGAATCATCCTGAAACCACCCCCCGCTCCTGCCCCCCACACCTTCTGTCCATGGAAATAGTATCTTTCACGAACCAGCCCCTGGTGCCAAAAAGGTTAGGGACTGCTGATCTAGAGATTGTTTACTCAGTCTTAGATATCAGGGACTCCATAAAGGAAAGACAGAAACCAAGATATCAGTCCTCTTTGCTGGGACAGGGTGAGCCTGGATTTTTAGTTTTTGGTGACGGTTGATTCAGTGTATATTTCATTACTATTTTAAACATCTTCAATGGAGGTTTCTTCTTGCATTTTGTACATTAAGTGCTCTCGTAACATTTTAGAAAAAGATTTTTCTTTTACTCATATTTCAGGGTAACATAATCATAATAAAGAGGTTGAGAGCTTTTGGGAAAAGTTTCCCAGTTTCTTGGTGGCAAGGGAGGATAAGCCCGTTGTGCCCATCATTTATACTAGGCCGCTGCTATTCTAGCCCAAGAGGGATTGGAGAGGGAGCCAGATGGCCCTGGCAGACTGCAAGGATGAAGAGCAGGTCCGGGGTGATGTGCGCCACACACAGAGCTCAGAGGCTTGAGAGGGCAGCGCATGAGAGTGGCTACTTGGAGGTGGTCAGGAAGGCCCTGAGGCAACCTCTCATCTGATGGAGCCAGCATAATTTTGGAATCTCTCTAAATCTCCTCCTGGAAACCAGACAAAGCAGCTATAATATTGAGAGCTGAATGAACTCTTCAGTAAAGCCAGATTTAAAGAACTCCCCATGATCCACAGCATATAGGTGGGCAGCACCACCCAGCATCAGCAGCCATGAGGCTGGAGGGCTGGGGGGGGGTGGGGGCATAGGAGGGAGGTGAAAGAGGACAAATGACCTGCCCTAGTGCCACAAGATCCCAAGATCTCCAGGAGATACTCATCTCCATAACAGGGCCCTGCAGCGGGAGCCTTGACAAGTGGGTCTGTGAACAGCAAGCAAATTGGGCAAGGTCCTCTGAGGGTGTGCATGCAGATGCCCACAAACCCTTACAAAAGGGTCACCAAGGGGCTGCAGAACCACCCAGCGAACCTCCACTCAGAAAAGCAGCTCCTCTTCTGTGGACACGTGGCTGGGAGCAGAACTCAAACAAAGCCGGCGGGACGCCCGGAGTGGAAGGAGGGTGGGCTGTCCAGGGCCTGGCAGGGCCACCAGCACAGCACCTGAAGGCCAGGACAGCCACAGAGTGCAGACAGGTACCCAGTACCTTCGTCCTCACTGAGGCCAGGAGGCCGCCCTGGCTACCATGCTCTCTCCACGGAAGAGCCCTCCACGGGGCCAACACAGAAACACTACACCCAGTACTACAAGAGAAAACAAGGTGAACCCGAACAGGACAGTCCACACCACGAAACAGGGACCACAAGCCGGTGAAAACTGTAACCAATTATTTCAAACTGAGCTGAAAGAAATTAAGGAAACAACTAACTGCTGCTTTGAAAAAACAGCACAAATCAGGAATAGACGTTCTCAGAAGCGAGATGGCTGGACAAGAAGAACATGCGAAATGAGAACTGGCAAAACTCAGTAAAATGTGAAGGAAAACAATGTTAGAAATAAAGACCAAATTAAAAGAGACATAAGAGCAAAGAGACATCACAGAAAGCACAGCAAGATAAATGGAGGCTAGGAGGAGAACAGTAGAGAAGACAAACACCAAACAGATCATGTGGAGTTCGTTTGGATCCTGATAAAAAACAAACTGTAAAAAGGCATTTTTAGACAAGTAGGGAAATACGAATACAGGCAGAGTATTGATGATATGAAGGAATCACTAATTATGTTACATGTGATAATGGCATTGTGATTATAACAGTGAATGTCCTTATTTTGCAGAAACAAGTGTTCGGGGGTAGAATGACATGACACAAGGGATTTGCTTGAAAACATTCCAGTAGCAACAACAAAAAAGCAAAAGCAAAAAAGAAAGAAACAAAGGATAGATAAAGAAAACACAGCCAAATGTTGGTGATTTGGGATTTGGGGGATTATCCCATGGGAGTTCATTTTCCCATTCTACTTTTATGGACTTTAAAACTTTAATAATGAAAAAGCATGCTGGGAAGAAGGACACCTGACACACTGTGAAGAGAGCACAGCTGGCAGAAGGAACAGAAAGTGCTGAGGCACAGGTGGGCTCAAACTTGGAGATTTCCCGGAACAGCGAAGAAGCTTAGCAAGGACAGGGGGAGAGAGAGGGAGGTGGAAGGCGATGAGGCAGCGGAGCCAGGAGGGGCCAGATCATGGAAGCCTTTGCAGACCAGCAATAAGAGGAGTTTGGAATTTATCGCGAATGTGATGAGAAGCCACTGAGGGGTTTAACAATTAGGGGCAAAATTAAACCTATGTCGTGAAATGTTGCTCTGGCTGCTTTATGTAGAGGCCAGAGTAGAAGCAGAGTCCAGTGAGGAGACCTTGGCCGGACCCCAAGTGCCAAAAGAGGGTGGCCCGGACCTGGGCCCCGTTAGTGGTGACGGGGAGAAGAGCAGGACTTGAGATGTAATCTAGAGATATTGCTTGTGGGCTAGACTGGGAGTGGGGGGCGGGGAGGTGAGGAAAACAGACATTTATTTTTGGATTCCAGTCTTAATTACCTGTCTGATTTTAATCCTTTTCCCAGAAATGAGAGGAAAACTTTGCAGTTTTCTATGGTTTATCTCTATACAAAGGAGTCTGCATCTCTAAAAGGGAATTTCAAAAGCACTATCAGATTTAAACCATTTCAGAAGTCTGACTTACATGTGTGGTCACTGAGGTCACTCTTCCATATAGATATTACAGTGATAAGCTTGCAGACTACACAGGCAACTGACAGAAGGGATTTTACTGCAAGGCTAACTACTCTCTCTCAAAAAAAAATCTATGTTGGCACTTTCTGTTTGCCTCCCTCTATCCCTCTTAATTCTAGTACAGACAGCTTCTAATCGGATTTGTTGTGATTAGAACATACAGGTTTCAAATATGAGAGGTTTGAAGCAATGAATATTTATTTCAGATCTTTCTGGAGGAATGAGTACTAAAACGATCTATTCCTTTTCCCTACATGGAAAGTGAGGTCAAATTTCATATTCCAATTTACAGTTGGAGCAAGTCCCCAATACAAAATAGTGTCTTTTAGATTTACCAAAAAAAAAATAATAGCTTGAGCAGGCAGGTTTTGCTCACTTATTCTTACACCAAATGCTATTCTTCAGAGGTTCTGCACTATAAATAGAGACAGACACATGCAGTTGATGGACAAAGCAAAGAAATATCCTAAGGCAGTAGACAGCAAATGTAACCTCCAGCAAGAAATTCTTCAAAAGCCACACTAAAGTCTCAGGTGGTATGTCCCTGCCACCCAGAATCTAGCACTCAGCCCTGTATACATTCACGTTTAGTAAATGTCCAATGAATGAATGAATGAGTATTAAATCTTTGACTCCAATTGTCCCGCTTCTCTCCTGAACTCTCCAAGTCCCTGGGCTGAATGAAGAGAGACTCAGGTAGGGGTAATGCTTTCATGGGAACAAGGTCAAGAAGACCCCTGGTAACATTCATGGAAAAGAACTGTTATACCAAAAAGGCTAATCCCAACACAGAGTAACCTACAGAGTTTGCCCCATCAGTCCTGTTCAGAAAACCAACAACAGGGAGGCTGACACGGGTGGGTCATCTGAGGTCAGCAGTTTGAGACCACCCTGGCCAACATGGTGAAACCCCATCTCAACTAAAAATACAAAAAATTAGCCAGGTGTGATGGTGTGCACCTGTAAACCCAACTATTTCCAAAACTGAGTATGTACCTCTCTATATTAAAATGCAGAAAGTAATTACTATCACAGAATTTATAAATGAGGGAAGCAATACAAGAAAATTTCAAACACTCAAATGCTCAGAGCAGGAAGATAACTGACATTAATCATGAACCATCTTCCTGTCACCAATTCCTACCTAGAAGAAATTATAAACTTTCTAGTACACTTTTTTCTTTTCTTTTTCTTTTTAACTTTCTAGTACACTTTCTTGCTTTAATAGTTCCCTGTCCATTCCCTCTTTCCTCCTTATGAACAAAACCCTGCCTGTGACAATTATCCCCTTTCAGGGAAGGGCCTATCCCCAGCTGTAGGGATCCTGAGCAGGTTGACACTATCCCCTCCAGGATAACTCTGGGTCCTTGGCAATGACTGGGATGCCAACAGGCATGCATGTGATGTGTGACCATTCTGGCCAATGAGACATGAAGAAATCGGCCGCAGGGCTTCTGGAAGAGGCTTCCCTTTTCTTTTTTTCTTTTTCTTTTCTTTTTTTTTTTTTTTTTTTGAGATAGAGTCTCACTCTGTCACCAGGCTGGAGTGCAGTAGCGCGATCTCGGCTCACTACAACCTCCGCCTCCTGGGTTCAAGCGATTCTAGAGGCAGAGTTACCTGGGACTTGGCTTTGTCTTGTCTGACTGGACGGGCTGCAGCCGTCTTGCAGCCATCAAGGGAGCAGCCGGAGGAAGAACAGCAGTTTACAAAGATGACATCCTTGAGCTACTGAATTACTGTATTACTGGATTCTTTTTTCTTCGAGACGGAGTCTTGCTCTGTTGCCCAGGCTGTAGTGCAGTGGCGTGATCTTGGCTCACTGTAAGCTCCACCTCCCGGGTTCACACCATTCTCCTGCCTCAGCCTCCCAAGTAGCTGGGACTATAGGTGGCCGCCACCACGCGCGGCTGATTTTTTCTATTTTTTTTTTTTTTTAATAGAGACGGGTTTCACCATAGCCGGGATGGTCTTGATCTCCTGACCTAGTGATCCACCCGCCTTGGCCTCCCAAAGTGCTGGGATTACAGGCGTGAGCCACCGTGCCCGGCCTACTGGATTCTAAGATACATTTCCCTCCACATTTATTAATCTCTGAAATCAGATGTGTTTTCTAAGCTGCAGTATGTCATCATGTAACTGGCAGAGATTTTCCTTCCTTAGTGGAACATAGTACCAGGGCACATCTTACAGGTGGTGACATCTCAGAGTTGACTGCAGTTCACCCTAGTGCTGCCCTCACCTTGGAATTTCTTTTTATAATAAACTGTCTTGTTATAAATGCATTGTCCTGTTTCGGTTAGTTAAATTAGTTCTACTGTTAAGTTAGTTTAAGTTAGTCAGTTGCAGGGTTTCTGATACTTGCAGAAGAAGGTACCAGGCTTAACGGATATACAGATCAAGTAGGAATCCCTGAGGCTCCTGTGTCAGACTGACCAGCAACCTCATTACCATTCTTACCACACAGTTCTGTTAGTAGACTGAACTTTTAATGATCCCAGGACACTGGGGATGTGTGATTATATCTGACTATGTAGATAGTGTTTTCAGAGTGAGAAGGGGCCTTGGAGATTGCAAAGTTTAATTCTCTCATTTAAAAAGTAAGGAAACTCAGGCCCGGAGAGAAATGACCTGCCCAAAGAAGAGGAGTGGGTCAGACAGAGCTGGGGACAGAAATCAGGAGTCTGGACTGTTTTACACTCACAGGGGCCTCCTTTGTTCATTTGCCTGAAATGTGGAACACGGGAGAGAAGAATGTGGTGGAGGGTTATACTTGACTTTGACTGTAAACTTTCCTCCCAACTCACCTGTTAGGCAGGACTTTGGATGTGCTCTTGTCACTCCAGCTGTATTCCAGTGAGTATCCTCCATCTGTCACTTTCACCAGTTACCTCATTTGCTGTCACTTCCTCAGTGTTTTCCTACATCTCCCCCTTCTTTCCCTCAGTTCAGAAGGGCATATATCTTTTTTTAAGACCAGTAAACCCAAAAACTTGGCTGGTAGTGGGTGTTCGATGGAACCTAAGTGATTCTCTACCTGATATGCTCAGTTCTAAGTTTAACTCTCATCTGTTTTCATGCTGACCTTTAAGCCAAAGCAAAAAGCCACGAAAAGAAACATAATTACTTTGTAGTCATTTGTAAAACTTGTTTTAGTTGCTGTTATTTATCTCTTTTTCCTTTAAATATGTGATTTGGAGAATACTCAAATTACATCTTAGAGCCAGTCTTTTTCAAAAGGAATGTATCTCCAATTTTATAATCAAATAAATAGCAGCTTAGCATTGTACCTCCACTATGAGAAGTTCACCTACTTCTTAAAAATTGCAAACAGTCAACTCTCTGTGTTATGAAGAATATGTAGGAATTTGGCTAGTAGGTCATCCAGACCAAGTTACTATTCCTTTCATCTTGCTGAACAGTTCGTTGCTTACTCACACCTCAACAGACAAGGGCAGAAGCAAGGACAGTAGGTAAGTCCTGAGTTCTCATCTTGTTTCTGCTTCTAAATGAACAAGCTTCATCAATTTTCAGTGAATATCATCTCGCTGGGTTAGTTTCCTTGTTTTAATTTTGTTTTAAGCAGCAGTGGTCCAGTCATTCATTCTTTTGACCACCATTGACCACATTCCTATACTGCCATTAGCGCTGGGGGAGCAAAGATGAAGAAGACACAATCCCTGCCCTCAAAGAGTTAACGGCTTAGAGAAGCAGAGTAACGCAAATATGTAATAACTGATGAGAAAGGAACGATGGAGAAACACAATGCATTATGAGGATACAGAAGATGTCATCAGGATCAACTGGCTGCAAAGAACAGGAACCCACTAAAACTAAGTTGAGTAAAAAAGGATGTGGGGTTTCACTGGCAGGACACCCAAATGTCCTCACAGATTCAAACATCAGGAATTCTGCCAGCTCTCCAAGGGAGAGGAACTACAAACTGAGGGACTGTCAGAAATCTAAGCAGCATCTCTCTGTCCTTCTCTGTCAGCTTTGTTTGATTCTCTAGGACATACTCATTCCCTTTCCTGTCCTCCATTTAGCAGGGTCTGTGATCAAAGGCCATGGGGTGTGAGGTAGGCAGTTTTCCACGAAGGGCTGTAAGGGCACAGAGAGAAGGACTGACAGAGGCAACAAGTGTCATCTCCAGGAAAGAGAAGGTTGTGTGTGGACCAGAGCTGTATCATACAGAGGAGTTCAAAGACACCTCGGGACTTGCTTAATCCAACTCCTGGTAATTATAAGGGAAAAAATGGCGGTGAACTAAAGTCAGGTGAGCCCAAGGTCACCTGGCTAAATCAAGAAAGCCCAGAATGAACCCAGACTCTGGTCTCTTACTCAATCCAGGCATCAAAGCATACCCCAGCAAAATGCTGCAATGCTGGAGATTCAATTATCCTCTCCATTATCCTAATCAGCTGATAAGTTATGCTCTTAAAATCAAAGGCCAAGAAAATAACAATAAAAACAGTCACTGGGCAGTGGGTGTATTATTAGTAGGTTATCTTATTACTGAGATGAGTGATAGGATTATTCCCAGGACCCTGAGTGCAGGTCCTGTAACCAAATGTGAAGAGCAAATGTTATTACTAATCCAATCTCCCATTACAAATAGGCCTTGCCAATGAATTTAAACAAATACTGCCAGGAAAAGGCAGGTAATTTAGGGAAGTTAGCAAAGAAATATCTACAAAGTCTTGTTTCTTCCTTGACAAACTGAACTTTTGACCAACTACTTCCTCATTTGCTTTAAGAAAATCTGTAAATATAAACTGTTTACAATGATTACGAAAATAGCTACCAAAAGACATCCAACCAAATAAATGAATACAGCAGTAAACTAAGCTGGTCCTGTCTCTAATCTACAACACTATTATCTAATCAGGAAAGACTGAAAAACAGATCATTACGCTTTAAGAACACTATAATTAAAAGAGGCCTTCCCCCTTTCTGCTCTCCCAAACCCTGATCACAACACGGTTATTTCAAGATTCTACTTGCAGGAGCCCCATTTAAACAGGAAAAGCACTAATTGGGGCTCTAGTAGCAGCTGTACTACTTTGATGTCAGTTACAAGGATGAACTTGAACAGAATTTTTTATGGCCCTGCCAAGCCAGCCAGTCACCAGTCCAGTTAACCCTTCAGCCACTCGTTATTCCAATCATGATTCCTGGAACCGTATTCAAAAGTTGCTTCTTCAGGAACTCCGCGTGTGCCACATTCTCTGCCTGAAGCCCCTACGCAGAGCAGAATGGTGACCATCATAGAGCAGCCAGGTGGCAGCCAAATAAGGAAGTGGCGGCTCTGGAACCAAAGGCAGTCAGGTCAAAGCCTGGTTTGTGGGAAGTAGTACTGAACTGAAAGTGAGAAAATTCAGGCTCTAGTTACCACTTGTCATTACTACTGCAGCCTTAGACAATATTTCTGGGCCTCATTTTCCTTGTCTGTAAGAGTAAGTTGGTCTGCATGATTGTTAAGGAGTGTCCGACTCCTTGAAAACCATCGTTAGGGCAATCTGATTTGATTTCTCCAACACAGCCCTTGTTCCCAGTCAACTCTCTGGGTGGCGTGGACCACTCTGCTCTGCGGCTGGCTGTGAAGAGATCTTCCCCTCCCTGAGAGCTGTGTCCTGGTCTCTCTGGAGGGGGTTCTGGAATGCAGTGCAAACAGCAGCACCCCAATAGCCTGGGGCTGCTCTTGGTTCATGTAAAGGGCTTAGGTCATTGCAAAAATGAATGGTCCTAGCCAAAAATAATTGTTATGTTCATTTCAAGAATAATTAGAAAATAAGTAAATTGGTCATTGTTGAGGGGTGCTAGACAACCAGCTCTATTCTGAAAACTAGAACACAAAGAAACCAATCAAGCATTTACTCTGCCTGTCCTGTAAAAGTTATACCACAGAGCAACCAAATTGTTTGAGATGGGGAAGTTTGTCTTTGTAGACGTGTTCCAGCTGATAGATGAACCGGGAAGATGGCATGACTATATCACCTCCCTGCACCCTGAGGAATGTGGACACTGAGCATAAGCGGCAGCTAACGTCATCAAAAAGAGAGACAACCAGACATTTTGTGCCTCCTGCTAGAACACAATACCATCGATGAAGCAGCCTTGTGAAAACAAACAAGCAAATCAAACATGACTCTGATCAAGCATCTTCACCCAGCCACCAAATCTACAGTATAGACCAAGCACAGACACATGTTTAACGAAACCAAGGAGATGAAGTCAGCAAAATCCAGACTATGGAAAACAACTTGGTGTCTTCAGCGACAAAATTTCAGGGGGAAAAAAAGGGAGATGTGGAAGGAAAAATTATATATACATACATTTAAAAAGACACAAAAGACATATCAATCAAGAAGTGGATTTTATTTGGATCCCAATTCAAACAAACTGCTTAAAAAAATTATGACACCTATGAAACAACCAGAAATTTATAAACTGACTAGACAGCTGACATTACAGAACTATTATTAGTTTTATTTTAGGTGGGATAATAGTATTATGGTTTTGTTTCTTGAAAGTCTTTACACTTTATGTATCTTGAAACTTTAGAGGTCCATAGTGAAATGCTTATGGATTAAATGATATCTTAGATTTGCTTTGAAATAGCATAAGGATCTGATGGATGCCGGAGTCCATATGAGTTTATTTCAGTGTTCTATGTGTGTGGACATTTGAAGTTCTCCATTAAAAAGTTAAAACAACAACAACAACAAAAAAAACTCTTAAGAAAAATGACTGTCCAAGCATGGTTTCACTCTGCCCTGACATTTAACCTTGTACCATTCTGCACTGGATCCAAATGGGCTGAAACACACTACTCTTCAGAACAACTGCAGAGCTGGAGAAACCATCGCAAGAGGGCGTTTTATTCAGGTTTCAATTGTGTATGTACAGAACTTGGAGCAAAGAAAATTTCCTTGCTGTCTATAATATGGCTAGATCATCCCTACCCTTTCTCCCACTTTCCTTGCTCTTCCTTTATACTACAAAGCCCTAAAAATTATGTCAGGGAAGAGCCCTTTATGTAAAGAAATGAATTATCATCTTTACATACATAAGATTAGCTACAACTACCTGGTGACAATTTGGTGCACAAGCTTGTACAGGCAAGTGATGAACCGCAGAGATGATGGGTGTCACTTGGCATCACTTGCCTTTTTCTTTTTCCCTCTCACCCATGCCTTGGGCCTTGGGAGCTCCCTGGACATTATCTGGCTCTCCCGAGGCACATAGCTGGAGGCAGCAGACCCAATCTAGGTCAAATATGGGACCTAACACCTCCCTCTTTGCCTCACCATTTTAAAGAACAGCATCAGCACAACCAATGAATGAAATCAGGTAAGATCCAGAGTATCTCTGCAATCTCGTTTTAAGCAGATTAGAGAATGTAACCAACGCTTATGTATCTTCCTTTCTGTATTAGGAGCATATGATAGATCTGAGCAAACATTTTGTTTTTCTAACTAAGTCACACTACTTATTTGCTACTAAATATTAAAAGCTGTTCCAAAAAAAAAAAAAAAAAAAAACCCCACAATAACCCAATCTGGATTTTAGTACTGAAACTAGATCACCTAGGGAGCCTGGTCTTAATGCTATCTGCCATCCGCCTTGCAGAGGGCCTGGAATATGGCAGGTGCTCAATGAAATATGGCATTGAATAAAGAATGAAGGAATCACTCTTAATTAAACTCCCCCATTTTAGGAATGGAGAGTTTACATTTTAGAAATGTGACATCTCCATAAGGACATCTGCTCAGTGGCAAAGCCACTTATGCCAAAATATTCCTTACCTTGGATGGGTTCTGTCTACTAGTCCATGCTAACTCCTTGTAGAGTGGCACCTGAAAACAAGATGGCTGGCTGGCTGGCTGGCTGGCTGGCTGGAGAGAACTCACCCTCGAGATTCTATGGGACTTCTTTCCTTAGGCTACTTGGTTTGCCTAAATTAACATTTTAATTTTTTATTTAAAGCATAATAAAACTGTATACATTTTCAATTCAGAACTTAAGCTCAAACCTTAACTGTTTCTTTAAATGGCTTTTGGTCTATGAATTGCCAAAAGCACAGATATACCTCTAACAAGAAAATTGTTATTTCTTGGGGGATGGGGGAAGGTAATATATGTGTGTGTGTATATATGTGTGTATATATTATAGTGCCACATACACATGCACATGTACACACACACGTATGTATAAAAGCTTACAATGGGAAAATGGGAGGCGGGTGGCGGGGGGGAGAGGGAGGAAAGTGAGGTGCTATTTAATAAGAGCAGTTGCTCTAAGCACTGAACTGCCTTAAAAATAAACCAGCCACCAAGTTCATTAAAAATCAAATGCTGGACCAGGCAAAATTTTTCCTCACATTCAGAACACACCGGATTCTGATGCTAAAACAAAGACTATTGTGCAATCAGCAGAAGGCTTCAGTGATTGAGAGATTCTAGTATTCGCGAGAGCTGAAAACAGACTGGCAGGCACCCCTCACGGACACAGCATGCTATTTCATGTGTCTGCACTTTGTCTTTCCATAAAACAAATGGGACCTTAGGGCAAAAAGGTAAGGGGTACAAAATAATACATCACTCTTCACTTATCAGGAAGCATTTGACAGAAGACAGTTATGCTTCCCAATTAGTTCCTAAAAATAAACGCACAATATTCCATCATTTTATGGATTCTGCCCTTCTTGAAAACTGTTTTAAAACGGGCTTTGACTGTTTGCTGGAAAAACTGTATGGAAACATGAGCCTGACTAGTCCCATTTAAAAAAAAAAAAAAGGTACAAAAATGTCACGCTTTAACCACTTCACTGCTGCTCCAGAGAGCCTTCTTAGTTCAATGAATTCTGACACTTCCCGCAGCAGACAGCAGGCAGCATAGACACAGTTGAATTTCTTGTTAGTGAAGAAACAGTTCAATGGAGCAGTTTAGGAAATAAAACCCTGGAGGAAGAGTTTCAGTCACCCCAAATTTTTGACAGAATTTGCACATCTTTAAAGCAAGGATTAAACTCCAGGTTTTCACACACACAAAAAAAATTCAGTATAGCTTTCTTTATCAAGAGCTAAATCTGGATGATGGTATCATTTCTTGAAGCAGCAGGACTCCTAATTGCAACAAAGAACACCACTGAAATTGTTACCCAAAATATAAATATGATTTCAGAGCTGTTGGCTAGAAGCACATTTTGTGACTATATGAAACTTAATTTCACACCTTGTATAAACATTTGCTCATTCACAGCAATTGTTACAAGTTTTAAGGAAAACCACTATTTGTCTTGGCTAAATTACAATAAATCATATCCTTCTGATTTTTGCACAGGGTGATGGCTAAAGACGTTTTCCTTCAAAACTGGCGTAAGACATGTGTAAAGCCCCATGGAATCTGGGCCCATGTGCTCAAATGAAACTAAAATACGATCTCTGATCGTGAAGAAGTCAAACACATAAGAAAATGCACAGATGATCCAAAATTCCTCTCTCAGTTTATTTTAAAATGTGGCCATTTGTGAGAACCAATCCTAACTGAGGCAAGCTGTACAGTTCTTCCTTCCTCAACTATTCCCAGGAGAAGGGACTGCTAGTCCAAAAGAGGAGGAGGAGCAGAAAGGGCTCATATAATTTACAACAGCCTGGGCCGTTGAAGCTGGTGTGCATCCGCAATAGCAGGAAGGCAACTTACCACGTCAACACAATTGCAGAGCAAAGCCAGGAGATGGGGCAGGAGGCTATAGTCAGCCCTGTCACCCAGTCATCACACTGCTACCCCAAGCCAGCAAGCGGAGCTCAGGGAGAGGGGGCACACGGCGGCCAAGGAGGCAACGCACTCTCTAACAAAAACAGTCCTCCAATTTCCAACCAGATTTGACAACTGACTCCATTTTCTTCCTACTTTATTTTGAAGTGGTAGACAGGGTAAGAAAAGGGACTCCAGTCAGGAGGAAAGCACCTAGGGAAAGGCACTTACTACCCCAGACCCTCCCCTGACGTCCAGCCCGCCATGTATATGTTTCTATCAGCAGCAGTAGCAGAAGTGGTAGATACCACTTATCATGCACTTCCCATGTTCTTCCACGTTGGTAGTCTGTTTCACTCATGGTCCCCGGTGGAACACTTCCCAGTATTTATGCCCTTGTGGAGTCTCCTCCCCTTGAGTCTGGGACAGTCTTGTGACTTGCTTTAAACAATAAAACATGGCAGAATTGACATGGTGTCAGTTCCAGGCCTAAGCCCCAAGAATGCTTGGCAGCTTTTGCTTTCGCACTCTTGGGAACCCTGAACTGCCACCTAAGAAGTCCAGCTCTTCTGCTCAAGAGATCACGTGCAGAGGCCACACGGAGAGGGAGGGGCTCTGAGGCTACAGGGAAAGAGAATCAGCTCCCAACCAACCACACAACTGAATACAACTCCCTGAATGATCACTGACAAGATCAGGAGTAGAATCACCCAGCTGGGCCAGACCAGACTACACAATCGTGAGTAAATAAAATGTTTTGTTGTAAGTAGCCAAGTTTTGTCATGGTTTGCTATGAGGCAGACGATAAATGATTCAACATGTATGGCCTCATTTATTCTCATGACTACCCATGAAGCAGATACTGTTATCCCCATTTTACAGATGGGAAAACAGCACACAAGTAACTTGGTCCACAGCTACTGATGGGGAGGTGGATTTGAACCCAGTCGGTGGGACACTAGAGGTGGTCCTCTAAATTGGGGACCAACAAACATCTTCTTGAAGGCCCAGGGAGTAAATATTGTCAGCTTTTCTGGCTACAGGATCTGCCGCAATGCCTGACCTCTGTGCATCTCCAACTGTAGTACAAAAGCAGCCATATGTAATATGGAAATGAATGCGCATGGCTGTGCTCAATAAAACTCTGTTTACAGAAACGGGTAGTAGGCTAGTGGGCCTTGGTTTGCCAATCACTGCTCTAGTCAATGTTTTTCCAACTGTAATGATATTCACCACCTGAGGATTTTGTTAAAATGTAGATTCGCATTCAGGAGGATCTGTGACTGAGTTTCAGCAAGTTCCCAGGAGACCATGCTGCTGATCCACAGACCACACTTTCTGACTCATGACACTCAGAAGTGCCTCATGTAATTAACGAGCACTTATTTTGTCCCAGGCATAATACTAGCCACTTTCTATGCTTCCTCTCTCTTTACAATCATGTAAGTTTTATTTTTATCCCCATTTTACAGATGAGGAAAAGGATTAAAGTCACCTGGGCCAGATCTTTTCATGAAGAAAGCTACCATGGATTTTCCCTCACTGCATGGCTCCTGTTACTGGATTCAATAAAACTTACTCTTCACATTTCAAGAACACCACACTTTAGAAGGAAAATTTTAAGACATGCACAAAAAACTTTAATGATGGCTAACCTGCCAAGCAAACTTTCTCAGTGTTTTGTCATTCTGCAAACTTTCTGTCACTAAATAGGGAAGAGGGTCCTTTTATTTCAGCAGTAGCCCCTATTTCAAAGGCTCCTGTAATACTTTACAAAATTGGCTTTGACTTTGGTGAGAGACAAATGTATGGAAGCGTATTACTATATTAAACCTAGTCTTCCCATCCAATCATTAACAATGAATATTTTTAGCATCTAAAAATGTGCATTTCAGGCAGATATGTAAATATTTAGCACTATACTTTTGAGACAACCTTTCATTTTCAATCATGCAGAGGTAGGTGTTTTCACTAATAGTCTAATTATATCTCATATTTTCATTCTACACAATATTTTGCTTCTATATTTGAAATAACCGAATTCATCTGTGCTAATAAATGTTCTAAATGGATATCTTAATAATTGAAATTAGCACATACTATACCCCTCAAAACAATTTACAAAACAAGAACTATTGTTTACATTACACAACAAGGCAAAACCAGCCATGATAGTAGCTTGGCTCCAGGTCACATATCAGGTGAAATTCCTCATGCAGCTCCAACTGATCCAGCTGTATTTGATCAGAGCCACTTTCTGACCTCTCGTCTCAAGAGTAAGTCCAAGCCTTGGTGTTCACGGCCTCAACTTGTCTTTACCCCCTTATGTCACTGTTCCCCATCCTCTGTGTTGCTCTGTCTGGGACACCTACCCTAGAGACCTACACAGCTAACTCCCTCCCCACATTTGCTCAGATGTCACCATTTCAAGGCAGTTTCCCTGACCGTTCTTTTTAAAGTCGCTGCCCACCTCCCACAGGCCCAGCTCTCCTGGCTCTTCACATCCGCCCCACTTTCCCCGATAGCACTAATCACCTCCTCACATTCTGTACATGACTTCTGATTGTTTGTCTTCCATATTCTCCACTAGAATGTAAGCACCACAAGGGCAGGAGTCTGTTCACTCAAGTGCTCAGGGCTCCTAGAACAGTGCCTGCCATTTAGCAGGCACTCAGATGACTATGAACTCAAGATCGACTTGTTTGCCAGGCACTGTTCTAGGCACTGGGGTTACAGCAGTCACCAGAACAAACAGGGTCCCTCCTTCACAGGGATTTGGGCCAAATAACAAAACAAAACACAACATAATACACCCATAAGAGAACAGCGGAACAGAGCGCTACAGAGATCTTAAAAAGGTGTATGATACAAAGTGACTGGGGAAGCTACTTTAGATTGGGTAGTCAGGGAAGGTCCCTCTGAGGAGGTGTCATTTCAGCTAAAAACTACAATAAGGAGAAAGTATTTAAATCTTCCACATGCTTCTCTGATTTTCCATCTTGCTGGTCTGCTGTGAACTCCTGAGGTGAGTCACAGTCCCTGTTTCTCCTGGCGCTTCCTGACATTTATACATTTATGCTGGTATTTTGAGCCTGGGACTGACCTGTTATGGCCTCACTGTGGACTTACATTCTGTCCTTATAAAGCTTCTCTTTGCAGCCATTTATACCATATGCCTTGAGCTCAACCTTATCTAGTATTTCTATTACAAGTCCAGTTTTCTTTTAGTTAGAAATACAGGATCTGTCTTTGTCTAACAGCTGTTTTATGTTGTACATAGCAGGGTTTAATTTTGGGGACAATCTGAGTCTTTTTCCTGTAGTAGATATTTATCTCATTGGTATTTATTGATATTGCAGGTGTGTGGCCTAATTTGGTGGTCTTATGAGACTGTTTTGTTTTATCTTCTTTTATGTCTTATTTCATGTGTCCTGCTCTGGATGCTTGCTTTGGTTCTTTGCCTTTTGCTTTGCGGACTCTAAGTCTTTACTGTTTTCTTCAAGACTCTGGCATCCCCTTTCTTTTTAGTGCTTTTTAAGAATTTTCTTTCAAATTTTACATAATACACTAAAACCTCTATTTCTTAATGTTTAGATATATCTCCTGCTCCCAAATAAGATGAGAAAATTTGTCATCCCAATCTCCTCATTCTATGTGCTTTGTGAATATTTTTGCATTCCCATGTTTTATAACACAGTCAAGTGTCGCATAACAGTGTTTTGGTGAGACCGCATATATGACAGTGGTCCCATAAGATTATAATGAAGCTGGAAAATTCCTATCACATAGTAGCCATGGTAAAGTCACAGCACAACACATTACTCATGTGTTTGTGTTTAAGCTGGTGTCAACAAACCTACTGCACTGCCTGTCACATAGAAGCACAGCCTATACAATTATGTATAGTACAGAGTGCTTGATAATGATAATAAATGACTGTTACTGGTTTATGAATTTACTGTACTATAATTTTAATTGTTTTTTTTTTTTAGCATATACTACTTCTACTTATTAAAAACAGTTGACTGTAAAACATCCTCAGGCAGGTCCTTCAGGAGGGATCCAGAAGAAGGCATTGTTATCATAGGAGATGACAGCTCTGTGTGTTACTGCCTTTGAAGACCTTCCACTGGGACAAAATGTGAAGGTGGAAGACTCTGATACAGATGATCCTGACCCTGTGTAGGCCTAGGCTAATGTGTGCATTTGTGTCTTTGGTTTTAGCAAAAAAGTTTAAAAAGTAAGAAAAAAATAAATAAAATAAAACAAAAATAAAAAATAGAAAAAAGCTTTACAGAATAAGAATATAAAGAAAATCCTTTTGTACAGTTGTACAATGTATTTGTTTTAAGGTAAACGTCATAACAAAAGAATCAAAAAGTTAACAAAATGTAAAAGTTTATAAAGTGAAAAAGTAAGGCTAATTTATTACGGAAGAAAAAATGTTCTTACAGATTTAGTGTAGCTTGAGTGTACAGTGTCTGTAAAGTCTACAGCAGTGTATAGTAATGCCCTACACCTTCACATTCACTCACCATGGCTCACTGACTCACCCAGAGCAACCTGTAGTCCTGCAAGCTCCATGCATGGTGAAGTTCCTGTCCGGGTGTACCATTTTTTATCTTTCTTTTTGGTTTGTTTGTTATA